>NC_000019.10:24552752-24891256 GCF_000001405.40 Homo sapiens
AGCACTCTCAGAAACTTCTTTAGGATGTTTACAGTAAACTCACAGAGTTGAACATACCTTTCCGTAGAGCAGTTTTGAAACACTCTGTTTGTGGGATCCGCAAGTGGATATTTGGACCGCTTTGAGACCTTTGCTGGAAATGGGAATATCTTCACATATAAACTAGACAGAAGCATTCTCAGAAACTTCTTGGTGATGGGTGCATTGTACTCCCTAATTTGAATCTTCCTTCTCATGGAGCAGTTTTGAAACACTCTGTTTGTGCAATCTACAATTGGAGAATTGGAACGCTTGGATGCCCGTGGTAGAAAAGGAAATATCCTCATATAAAAACTAGACAGAAGGATTCACAGAAAATGCTTGGGGATGTGTGCATTCAAATCACGGAGTTGAATCTTTCTTTTGTTAGAGCAGTTTTGAAACACTGTTTCTGTGGAATCTGCCAGCGGACACTTGGAGCGCTTTGAGGGCTATGGTGGAGAAGGAAATATCTTCACATAAAAACTAGAAAGAAGCATTCTCAGAAACATTTATGTGAAGCGTGCATTCAACTCACAGAGTTGAACCTTCCTTTTGATAGAACAGTTTTGAAACACTCTTTTGAACAATTGCAGGTGAATCTTTGAGCGCTTTGAAGCCTTTGTTGGAAATGGGAATATCTTCACACACAAACTAGCCAGAAGCATTCTCAGAAACTTCTTTGTGATGTGTGCGTTGAACCCAGAGAGATGAACCTTTCCTTCGATAGAGCAGTTTTGAAACGCGTTTTTGTAAGATCGGCAAGCGGATAATTGGCTTCGCTTTTTGTCCTTTGGTGGAAACGGGAATATCTTCTAATAAAAACTAGACAGAAATATTCTCAGAATCTTCTTTGTGATGTGGGCATTCAACTAACACAGTTGAACCTTTCTTTTCACAGAGCAGTTTTGAAACACCCTTTTGGTAGAATCTGCCAGTGGATATTTGGAGCGCTTTGAGGGCTATTGTGCCAATGGAAATATCTGCCCCTAAAAACTAGACAGAAAGCATTCTCAGAAACTGCTTTGTGATGTTTGCATTCAACTCACAGAGTTGAACCTACCTTTTCATAGAGCAGTTTTGAAAACCTCTTTTTGTAGAATCTGCAAGAGGATATTCGGACCACTTTGAGGCCTTCATAGGAAACAGTAATATCTTCACATAAAAACTAGATAGAAGCATTGTCAGGAAGTTCTTTGTGATGTGTGAATTCAACTCACAGAGTTGAACCTTCCTTTAATAGAGCAGTGTTGAAACACTCTTTTTCTAGAATCTGCAAGTAGATATTTGGAGCGCTTGGAGGCCTTCGTTGGAAACCGGAATATCTTCACAGGAAATGTAGATAGAGTCATTCTCAGAAACTTTTTTGTGATATGTAGATTCAACTCACAGCGTTGAACCTTTCTTTTGATAGAGCAGTTTTGAAAAACTCTTTTATCGAGTCTGCAAGTAGACATTTGGAGTGCTTTGAGGGCTGTGGTCGAAAAGGAAATATCTTCACATAGAAACTAGACTGAAGCATTCTCAGCAACTTCTTTGTGACGTTTGCATTCATCTCACAGTGTTGAACATACCTTTCCGTAGAGTAGTTTTGAAACACTGTTTTTGTAGAATCGGCAAGTGGATATTTGGACTGCTTTGAGGCCTTCATCGGAAACGGGAATATCTTCACATAAACACTAGAGAGAAGCATTCTGAGAAACTTCTTTGTGATCTATCCATTCAACTCACAGAGTTGAACCTTCCTTTTTATGGAGCAGTTTTGAATCACTGTTTTTGGAGTATCTGCAAGTGGATATTTGGAGCGCTTTGAGGCCTATGGTAGAAAAAGAAATATCTGCCTCTAAAAACCAGACAGAAGCATTCCGAGAAACTTCTCTGTGATGTTTGCATTCAACTAGCAGAGTTGAACCTTCCTCTTGATAGGGCAGTTTGGAAACACTCTTTTTGTAGAATCTGCATGTGGATATCTGGAGTGGTTTGAGGCCTACGGTCAAAAATGTAATCTCTTCCTGGGAAAAATAGACGAAAGCATTCTCAGAAACTGCTTTGTGATATGTGCATTCGACTCACCGAGTTGAAACTTTTTTTTGATAGAGCAGTTTTGAAACACTCTGTAGAATCTGAAAGTGTATATTTGGAACTATTTGAGGGCTATGGCGAAAAAGAAAATATATTCACATTAAACTAGACAGCAGCATTCCCAGAAACTTCTTTAGGATGTTTTCAGTAAACTCACAGAGTTGAACATACCTTTCCGTAGAGCAGTTTTGAAACACTCTGTTTGTGGGATCCGCAAGTGGATATTTGGACCCCTTTGAGACCTTTGCTGGAAACGGGAATATCTTCACATATAAACTAGACAGAAGCATTCTCAGAAACTTCTTCGTGATGTGTGCATTCTACTCCCGAATTTGAATCTTCCTTTTCATGAAGCAGTTTTGAAACACACTGTTTGTGCAATCCACAATTGGATAATTGGAACGCTTTGATGCCCATGGTAGAAAAGGAAATATCCTCATATAAAAACTAGACAGAAGGATTCACAGAAAATGCTTTGTGATGTGTGCATTCAAATCACGGAGTTGAATCTTTCTTTTGTCAGAGCAGTTTTGAAACACTGTTTCTGTGGAATCTGCCAGCGGACACTTGCAGCGCTTTGAGGGCTATGGTGGAGAAGGAAATATCTTCCCATAAAAACTAGAAAGAAGCATTCTCAGAAACATTTATGTGAAGCGTGCATTCAACTCACAGAGTTGAACCTTCCTTTTGATACAACAGTTTTGAAACACTCTTTTGAACAATTGCAGGTGAATCTTTGGAGCGCTTTGAAGCCTTTGTTGGAAATGGGAATATCTTCACACATAAACTAGCCAGAAGTATTCTCAGAAACTTCTTTGTGATGTGTGCGTTGAACCCAGAGAGATGAACCTTTCCTTTGATAGAGCAGTTTTGAAACGTGTTTTTGTAAGATCTGCAAGCGGATAATTGGCTTCGCTTTGTGTCCTTTGGTGGAAACGGGAATATCTTCTAATAAAAACTAGACAGAAAAATATTCTCACAATCGTCTTTGTGATGTGGGCATTCAACTAACACAGTTGAACATTTCTTCTCACAGAGCAGTTTTGAAACACTCTTTTGCTAGAATCTGCCAGTGGATACTTGGAGGGCTTTGAGGGCTATTGTGCCAATGGAGATATCTTCCCCTAAAAACTAGACAGAAGCATTCTCAGAAACTACTTCGTGATGTTTGCATTCAACACACAGAGTTGAACATACCTCTTCACAGAGCAGTTTTGAAAACCTCTTTCTGTAGAATCTGCAAGTGGATATTCGGACCACTTTGAGGCCTTCACAGGAAACAGTAATATCTTCACATAAAAACTAGATAGAAACATTGTCAGAATGTTCTTTGTGATGTGTGAATTCAACTCACAGAGTTGAACCTTCCTTTAATAGAGCAGTTTTGAAACACTCTTTTTCTAGAATCTGCCAGTAGATATTTGGAGCGCTTTGAGGCCTTCGTTGGAAACCGGAATATCTCCACATAAAAAGTAGATAGAGGCATTCTCAGAAACTTTTCTGTGAAATGTAGATTCAACTCACAGCGTTGAACCTTTCTTTGGATGGAGCAGTTTTGAAAAACCCTTTTATCGAATCTGCAGGTAGACATTCGGGGTGCTTTGAGGGCTGTGGTGCAAAAGGAAATGTCTTCCCATAGAAACTAGACTGAAGCATTCTCAGCAACTTCTTGGTAACGTTTGCATTCATCTCACAGTGTTGAACATACCTTTCCATAGAGTGGTTTTGAAACACTGTTTTTGTAGAATCGGCAAGTGGATATTTGGACTGCTTTGAGGCCTTCATCGGAAACGGGAATATCTTCACATAAACACTAGAGAGAAGCATTCCCAGAAACTTCTTTAGGATATTTGCAGTAAACTCACAGAGTTGAACATACCTTTTTATGGAGCAGTTTTGAAACACTGTTTTTGGAGAATCTGCAAGTGGATATTTGGAGCGCTTTGAGGCCTATGGTAGAAAAAGAAATATCTGCCTATGACAACAAGACAGAAGCATTCTGAGAAACTTCTTTGTGATGTTTGCATTCAACTACCAGAGTTGAATCTTCCTTTTGATAGGGCAGTTTGGAAACACTCTTTTTGTAGAATCTGCATGTGGATATCTGGAGCGATTTGAGGCCTATGGTCAAAATGGAAATATCTTCCTGGGAAAAATAGACGAAAGCATTCTCAGAAACTGCTTTGTGATATGTGCATTCGACTCACCGAGTTGAAACTTTTTTTGGATAGAGCAGTTTTGAAACACTCTGTAGAATCTGAAAGTGGATGTTTGGAGCTCTTTGAGGGCTATGGCGGAAAAGAAAATATATTCACATTAAACTAGACAGCAGCATTCTCAGAAACTTCTTTAGGATGTCTGCAGTAAACTCACAGAGTTGAACATACCTTTCTGTAGAGCAGTTTTGAAACACTCTGTTTGTGGGATCCGCAAGTGGATATTTGGACAGCTTTGAGATCTTTGCTGGAAATGGGAATATCTTCACATATAAACTAGACAGAAGCATTCTCAGAAACTTCTTCGTGATGTGTGCATTCTACTCCCGAATTTGAATCTTCCTTTTCATGAAGCAGTTTTGAAACACTCTGTTTGTGCAATCCACAGTTGGATAATTGGAACGCTTTGATGCCCATGGTAGAAAAGGAAATATCCTCATATAAAAACTAGACAGAAGCATTCACAGAAAATGCTTTGTGATGTGTGCATTCAAATCACGGAGTTGAATGTTTCTTTTGTTAGAGCAGTTTTGAATCACTGTTTCTGTGGAATCTGCCAGCGGACACTTGGAGCGCTTTGAGGGCTATGGTGGAGAAGGAAATATCTTCACATAAAAACTAGAAAGAAGCATTCTAGGAAACATTTATGTGAAGCGTGCATTCAACTCACAGAGTTGAACCTTCCTTTTGATAGAACAGTTTTGAAACACTCTTTTGAACAATTGCAGGTGAATCTTTGGAGCGCTTTGAAGCCTTTGTTGGAAATGGGAATATCTTCACACACAAACTAGCCAGAAGTATTCTCAGAAACTTCTTTGTGATGTGTGCGTTGAACCCAGAGAGATGAACCTTTCCTTTGATAGAGCTGTTTTGAAACGTGTTTTTGTAAGATCTGCAAGCGGATAATTGGCTTCGCTTTGTGTCCTTTGGTGGAAACGGGAATATCTTCTAATAAAAACTAGACAGAGATATTCTCAGAAACTTCTTTGTGATGTGGGCATTCAACTAACGCAGTTGAACATTTCTTTTCACAGAGCAGTTTTGAAACACTCTTTTGGTCGAATCTGCCAGTGGATATTTGGAGCGCTTTGAGGGCTATTGTGCCAATGGAAATATCTGCCCCTAAAAACTAGACAGAAGCATTCTCAGAAACTACTTCGTGATGTCTGCATTCAACACACAGAGTTGAACATACCTCTTCACAGAGCAGTTTTGAAAACCTCTTTCTGTAGAATCTGCAAGTGGATATTCGGGCCACTTTGAGGCCTTCATAGGAAACAGTAATATCTTCACATAAAAACTAGATAGAAGCATTGTCAGAAAGTTCTTTGTGATGTGTGAATTCAACTCACAGAGTTGAACCTTCCTTTAATAGAGCAGTTTTGAAACACTCTTCTTCTAGAATCTGCAAGTAGATATTTGGAGCGCTTTGAGGCCTTCGTTGGAAACCGGAATATCTTCACATAAAAAGTAGATAGAGGCATTCTCAGAAACTTTTTTTTGATATGTAGATTCAACTCACAGCGTTGAACCTTTCTTTGGATGGAGCAGTTTTGAAAAACTCTTTTTTCGAATCTGCAGGTAGACATTTGGGGTGCTTTGAGGGCTGTGGTGCAAAAGGAAATGTCTTCCCATAGAAACTAGACTGAAGCATTCTCAGCAACTTCTTTGTGACGTTTGCATTCATCTCACAGTGTTGAACATACCTTTCCATAGAGTAGTTTTGAAACACTATTTTTGTAGAATCTGCAAGTGGATATTTGGACTGCTTTGAGGCCTTCATCGGAAACGGCAATATCTTCACATAAACACTAGACAGAAGCATTCTCAGAAACTTCTTTGTGATCTGTCCATTCAACTCACAGAGTTGAAACTTCCTTTTTATGGAGCAGTTTTGAAACACTGTTTTTGGAGAATCTGCAAGTGGATATTTGGAGAGATTTGAGGCCTATGGTAGAAAAAGGAATATCTACCTCTAAAAACTAGACAGAAGCATTCCGAGAAACTTCTCTGTGATGTTTGCATTCAACTAGCAGAGTTGAACCTTCCTTTTGATAGGGCAGTTTGGAAACACTCTTTTTGTAGAATCTGCATGTGGATATCTGGAGCGGTTTGAGGCCTACGGTCAAAAAGGCAATAAGTTCCTGGGAAAAATAGACGAAAGCATTCTCAGAAACTGCTTTGTGATATGTGCATTCGAATCACCGAGTTGAAACTTTTTTTTCATAGAGCAGTTTTGAAACACTCTGTAGATTCTGAAAGTGGCTATTTGGAGGTCTTTGAGGGCTATGGCGGAAAAGAAAATATATTCACATTAAACTAGACAGCAGCATTCTCAGAAACTTCTTTAGGATGTTTGCAGTAAACTCACAGAGTTGAACATACCTTTCCGTAGAGCAGTTTTGAAACACTCTGTTTGTGGGATCCGCAAGTGGATATTTGGACCGCTTTGAGAACTTGGCTGGAAATGGCAATATCTTCACGTATAAACTAGACAGAAGCATTCTCAGAAACTTCTTCGTGATGTGTGCATTCTACTCCCAAATTTGAATCTTCCTTTTCATGAAGCAGTTTTGAAACACTCTATTTGTGCATTCTACAATTGGATGATTGGAACGCTTTGATGTCCATGGTAGAAAAGGAAATATCCTCATATAAAAACTAGACAGAAGGATTCACAGAAAATGCTTTGTGATGTGTGCATTCCATTCACGGAGTTGAATCTTTCTTTTGTTAGAGCAGTTTTGAAACACTGTTTCTGTGGAATCTGCCAGCGGACACTTGGAGCGCTTTGAGGGCTATGGTGGAGAAGGAAATATCTTCCCATAAAAACTAGAGAGAAGCATTCTCAGAACCATTTATGTGAAGCGTGCATTCAACTCACAGAGTTGAACCTTCCTTTTGATAGAACAGTTTTGAAACACTCTTTTGAACAATTGCAGGTGAATATTTGGAGGGCTTTGAAGCCTTTGTTGGAAATGGGTATATCTTCACACACAAACTAGCCAGAAGCATTCTCAGAAACTTCTTTGTGATGTGTGCGTTGAACCCAGAGAGACGAACCTTTCCTTTGATAGAGCAGTTTTGGAATGTGTTTTTGTAAGATCTGCAAGCGGATAATTGGCTTCGCTTTGTGTCCTTTGGTGGAAACGGGAATATCTTCTAATAAAAACTAGACAGAAATATTCTCACAATCGTCTTTGTGATGTGGGCATTCAACTAACACAGTTGAACATTTCTTCTCACAGAGCAGTTTTGAAACACTCTTTTGCTAGGATCTGCCAGTGGATACTTGGAGCGCTTTGAGGGCTATTGTGCCAATGGAGATATCTTCCCCTAAAAACTAGACAGAAGCATTCTCAGAAACTACTTTGTGATGTTTGCATTCAACTCACAGAGTTGAACATACCTCTTCATAGAGCAGTTTTGAAAACCTCTTTTTGTAGAATCTGCAAGTGGATATTCGGACCACTTTGAGGCCTTCATAGGAAACAGTAATACCTTCACATAAAAATTAGATAGAAGCATTGTCAGAAAGTTCTTTGTCATGTGTGAATTCAACTCACAGAGTTGAACCTTCCTTTAATAGACCAGTTTTGAAACACTCTTTTTCTAGAATCTGCAAGTAGATATTTGGAGTGCTTTGAGGCCTTCGTTGGAAACCGGAATATCTTCACATAAAACGTAGATAGAGGCATTCTCAGAAACTTTTTTGTGATATGTAGATTCAACTAACAGCGTTGAACTTTTCTTTTGATACAGCGGTTTTGAAAAACTCTTATATCGAATCTGCAAATAGATATTTGGAGTGCTTTGAGAGCTGTGGTGCAAAAGGAAATGTCTTCCCATAGAAACTAGACTGAAGCATTCTCAGCAGCTTCTTTGTGACGTTTGCATTCATCTCACAGTGTTGAACATACCTTTCCATAGAGTAGTTTTGAAGCACTATTTTTGTAGAATCTGCAAGTGGATATTTGGACTGCTTTCAGGCCTTCATCGGAAACGGGAATATCTTCACATAAACACTAGACAGAAGCATTCTCAGAAACTTCTTTGTCATCTGTCCATTCAACTCACAGAGTTGAACCTTCCTTTTTATGGAGCAGTTTTGAAACACTCCTTTTGGAGAATCTGCAAGAGGATATTTGGAGCGCTTTGAGGCCTATGGTAGAAAAAGAAATATCTGCCTCTAAAAACCAGACAGAAGCATTCTGAGAAACTTCTTTGTGATGTTTGCATTCAACTACCAGAGTTGAACCTTCCTTTTGATAGGGCAGTTTGGAAACACTCTTTTTGTAGAATCTGCATGTGGATATCTGGAGCGATTTGAGGCCTACGGTCCAAAAGGAAATATCTTCCTGGGAAAAATAGATGAAAGCATTCTCAGAAACTGCTTTGTGATATGTGCATTCGACTCACCGAGTTGAAACTTTTTTTGGATAGAGCAGTTTTGAAACACTCTGTAGAATCTGAAAGTGGATATTTGGAACTCTTTGAGGGCTATGGCGGAAAAGAAAATATATTCACATTAAACTAGACAGCAGCATTCCCAGAAACTTCTTTAGGATGTTTGCAGTAAACTCACAGATTTGAACATACCTTTCCGTAGAGCAGTTTTGAAACACTCTGTTTGTGGGATCCGCAAGTGGATATTTGGACCGCTTTGAGACCTTTGCTGGAAACGGGAATATCTTCACATGTAAACTGGACAGAAGCATTTTCAGAAACTTCTTCGTGATGTGTGCATTCTATTCCCAAATTTGAATCTTCCTTTTCATGAAGCAGTTTTGAAACACTCTGTTTGTGCAATCCACAATTGGATAATTGGAAAGCTTTGATGCCCATGGTAGAAAAGGAAATATCCTCATATAAAAACTAGACAGAAGGATTCACAGAAAATGCTTTGTGATGTGTGCATTCAAATCACGGAGTTGAATCTTTCTTTTGTCAGAGCAGTTTTGAAACACTGTTACTGTGGAATCTTCCAGCGGACACTTGGAGCGCTTTGAGGGCTATGGTGGAGAAGGAAATATCTTCACATAAAAACTAGAAAGAAGCATTCTCAGAACCATTTATGTGAAGCGTGCATTCAACTCACAGAGTTGAACCTTCCTTTTGATAGAACAGTTTTGAAACACTCTTTTGAACAATTGCAGGTGAATATTTGGAGGGCTTTGAAGCCTTTGTTGGAAATGGGAATATCTTCACACACGAACTAGCCAGAAGCATTCTCAGAAACTTCTTTGTGATGTGTGCGTTGAACCCAGAGAGATGAACTTTTCCTTTGATAGAGCAGTTTTGAAACGTGTTTTTGTAAGATCGGCAAGTGGATAATTGGCTTCGCTTTGTGTCCTTTGGTGGAAACGGGAATATCTTCTAATAAAAACTAGACAGAAATATTCTCAGAATCTCCTTTGTGATGTGGGCATTCAACTAACACAGTTGAACATTTCTTTTCACAGAGCAGTTTGGAACACTCTTTTGGTAGAATCTGCCAGTGGATATTTGGAGCGCTTGGAGGGCTATTGTGCCAATGGAAATATCTGCCCCTGAAAACTAGACAGAAGCATTCTCAGAAACTACTTCGTGATGTTTGCATTCAACACACAGAGTTGAACATACCTCTTCACAGAGCAGTTTTGAAAACCTCTTTCTGTAGAATATGCAAGTGGATATTCGGACCACTTTGAGGCCTTCATTGGAAACAGTAATATCTTCACATAAAAACTAGATAGAAACATTGTCAGAAAGTTCTTTGTGATGTGTGAATTCAACTCACAGAGTTGAATCTTCCTTTAATAGAGCAGTTTTGAAACACTCTTTTTCTAGAATCTGCCAGTAGATATTTGGAGCGCTTTGAGGCCTTCGTTGGAAACCGGAATATCTTCACATAAAAAGTAGATAGAGGCATCTCAGAAACTTTTTTGTGATATGTAGATTCAACTCACAGCGTTGAACCTTTCTTTGGATGGAGCAGTTTTGAAAAACTCTTTTATCGAATCTGCAGGTAGACATTTGGGGTGCTTTGAGGGCTGTGGTGCAAAAGGAAATGTCTTCCCATAGAAACTAGACTGAAGCATTCTCAGCAACTTCTTTGTGACGTTTGCATTGATCTCACAGTGTTGAACATACCTTTGCATAGAGTAGTTTTGAAACACTATTTTTGTAGAATCTGCAAGTGGATATTTGGACTGCTTTGAGGCCTCCATCGGAAACGGGAATATCTTCACATAAACACTGGACAGAAGCATTCTCAGAAACTTCTTTGTGATCTGTCCATTCAACTCACAGAGTTGAACCTTCCTTTTTATGGAGCAGTTTTGAAACACTGTTCTTGGAGAATCTGCAAGTGGATATTTGGAGCGCTTTGAGGCCTGTGGTAGAAAAAGAAATATCTGCCTCTAAAAACTAGACAGAAGCATTCTGAGAAACTTCTTTGTGATGTTTGCCTTCAACTACCAGAGTTGAACCTTCCTTTTGATAGGGCAGTTTGGAAACACTCTTTTTGTAGAATCTGCATGTGGATATCTGGAGCGAATTGAGGCCTACCGTCCAAAAGGAAATATCTTCCTGGGAAAAATAGACGAAAGCATTCTCAGAAAGTGCTTTGTGATATGTGCATTCGACTCACCGAGTTGAAACCTTTTTTTGATAGAGCAGTTTTGAAACACTCTGTAGAATCTGAAAGTGGATATTTGGAGCTCTTTGAGGGCTATGGCGGAAATGAAAATATATTCACATTAAAGTAGACAGCAGCATTCCCAGTAAACTTCTTTAGGATGTTTGCAGTAAACTCACAGAGTTGAACATACCTTTCCGTAGAGCAGCTTTGAAACACTCTGTGTGTGGGATCCGCAAGTGGATATTTGGACCGCTTTGAGACCTTTGCTGGAAACGGGAATATCTTCACATATAAACTGGACAGAAGCATTCTCAGAAACTTCTTCGTGATGTGTGCATTCTCCTCCCGAATTTGAATCTTCCTTTTCATGAAGCAGTTTTGAAACACTCTGTTTGTGCAATCCACAATTGGATAATGGGAACGCTTTGATGCCCATGGTAGAAAAGGAAATATCCTCATATAAAAACTAGACAGAAGGATTCACAGAAAATGCTTTGTGATGTGTACATTCAAATCACAGAGTTGAATCTTTCTTTTGTCAGAGCAGTTTTGAAACACTGTTTCTGTGGAATCTGCCAGCGGACACTTGGAGCGCTTTGAGGGCTATGGTGGAGAAGGAAATATCTTCCCATAAAAACTAGAGAGAAGCATTCTGAGAACCATTTATGTGAAGCGTGCGTTCCTCTCACAGAGTTGAACCTTCCTTTTGATAGAACAGTTTTGAAACACTCTTTTGAACAATTGCAGGTGAATATTTGGAGGGCTTTGAAGCCTTTGTTGGAAATGGGAATATCTTCACACACAAACTAGCCAGAAGCATTCTCAAGAAACTTCTTTGTGATGTGTGCGTTGAACCCAGAGAGATGAACCTTTCCTTGGATAGAGCAGTTTTGAAACGTGTTTTTGTAAGATCTGCAAGTGGATAATTGGCTTCGCTTTGTGTCCTTTGGTGGAAACGGGAATATCTTCTAATAAAAACTAGACAGAAATATTCTCAGAATCTTCTTTGTGATGAGGGCATTCAACTAACACATTTGAACATTTCTTTTCACAGAGCAGTTTTGAAACACTCTTTTGGTGGAATCTGCCAGAGGATATCTGGAGCGCTTTGAGGGCTATTGTGCCAATGGAAATATCTTCCCCTAAAAACTAGACAGAAACATTCTCAGAAACTACTTTGTGATGTTTGCATTCAACTCACAGAGTTGAACATACCTCTTCATAGAGCAGTTTTGAAAACCTCTTTTTGTAGAATCTGCAAGTGGATATTCGGACCACTTTGAGGCCTTCATAGGAAACAGTAATATCTTCACATAAAAACTAGATAGAAGCATTGTCAGGAAGTTCTTTGTGATGTGTGAATTCAACTCACAGAGTTGAACCTTCCTTTAATAGAGCAGTTTTGAAACACTCTTTTTCTAGAATCTGCAAGTAGATATTTGGAGCGCTTGGAGGCCTTCTTTGGAAACCATAATATCTTCACAGGAAATGTAGATAGAGGCATTCTCAGAAACTTATTTGTGATATGTAGATTCAACTCACAGCGTTGAACCTTTCTTTGGATGGAGCAGTTTTGAAAAACTCTTTTATCGAATCTGCAGGTAGACATTCGGGGTGCTTTGAGGGCTGTGGTGCAAAAGGAAATGTCTTCCCATAGAAACTAGACTGAAGCATTCTCAGAAACTTCTTGGTGACGTTTGCATTCATCTCACAGTGTTGAACATACCTTTCCATAGAGTAGTTTTGAAACACTGTTTTTGTAGAATCGGCAAGTGGATATTTGGACTGCATTGAGGCCTTCATCGGAAACGGGAATATCTTCACATAAACACTAGAGAGAAGCATTCTCAGAAACTTCTTTGTGATCTGTCCATTCAACTCACAGAGTTGAACCTTCCTTTTTATGGAGCAGTTTTGAAACACTGTTTTTGGAGAATCTGCAAGTGGATATTTGGAGCGCTTTTAGGCCTATGGTAGAAAAAGAAATATCTGCCTATTACAACTAGACTGAAGCATTCCGAGAAACTTCTTTGTGATGTTTGCATTCAACTAGCAGAGTTGAACCTTCCTTTTGATAGGGCAGCTTGGAAACACTCTTTTTGTAGAACCCGCATGTGGATATCTGGAGCGGTTTGAGGCCTACGGTCAAAAAGGAAATATCTTCCTGGGAAAAATAGACGAAAGCATTCTCAGAAACTGCTTTGTGATATGTGCATTCGACTCACCGAGTTGAAACATTTTTTTGATAGAGCAGTTTTGAAACACTCTGTAGAATCTGAAAGTGGATATTTGGAGCTCTTTGAGGGCTATGGCGGAAAAGAAAATATATTCACATTAAACTAGACAGCAACATTCTCAGAAACTTCCTTAGGATGTTTGCAGTAAACTCACAGAGTTGAACATACCTTTCCGTAGAGCAGTTTTGAAACACTCTGTTTGTGGGATCCGCAAGTGGATATTTGGACCGCTTTGAGACCTTTGCTGGAAATGGGAATATCTTCACATATAAACTAGACAGAAGCATTCTCAGAAACTTCCTCGTGATGTGTGCATTCTACTCCCGAATTTGAATCTTCCTTTTCCTGAAGCAGTTTTGAAACACTCTGTTTGTGCGATCCACAATTGGATAATTGGAACGCTTTGATGCCCATGGTAGAAAAGGAAATATCCTCATATGAAAACTAGACAGAAGGATTCACAGAAAATGCTTTGTGATGTGTGCATTCAAATCACGGAGTTGAATCTTTCTTTTCTCAGAGCAGTTTTGAAACACTGTTTCTGTGGAATCTGCCAGCGGACACTTGGAGCGCTTTGAGGGCTATGGTGGAGAAGGAAATATCTTCCCATAAAAACTAGAAAGAAGCATTCTCAGAAACATTTATGTGAAGCGTGCATTCAACTCACAGAGTTGAACCTTCCTTTTGATACAACAGTTTTGAAACACCCTTTTGAACAATTGCAGGTGAATCTTTGGAGCGCTTTGAAGCCTTTGTTGGAAATGGGAATATCTTCACACACAAACTAGCCAGAAGCATTCTCAGAAACTTCTTTGTGATGTGTGCGTTGAACCCAGAGAGATGAACCTTTCCTTTGATAGAGCTGTTTTGAAACGTGTTTTTGTAAGGTCTGCAAGCGGATAATGGGCTTCGCTTTGTGTCCTTTGGTGGAAACGGGAATATCTTCTAATAAAAACTAGACAGAAATATTCTCACAATCGTCTTTGTGATGTGGGCATTCAACTAACACAGTTGAACATTTCTTCTCACAGAGCAGTTTTGAAACACTCTTTTGCTAGAATCTGCCAGTGGATACTTGGAGCGCTTTGAGGGCTATTGTGCCAATGGAGATATCTTCCCCTAAAAACTAGACAGAAGCATTCTCAGAAACTACTTTGTGATGTTTGCATTCAACTCACAGAGTTGAACATACCTCTTCATAGAGCAGTTTTGAAAACCTCTTTTTGTAGAATCTGCAAGTGGATATTCGGACCACTTTGAGGCCTTCATAGGAAACAGTAATACCTTCACATGAAAACTAGATAGAAGCATTGTCAGAAAGTTCGTTGTGATGTGTGAATTTAACTCACAGAGTTGAAGCTTCCTTTAATAGAGCAGTTTTGAAACACTCTTTTTCTAGAATCTGCAAGTAGATATTTGGAGCGCTTTGAGGCCTTCGTTGGAAACCGGAATATCTTCACATAAAAAGTAGATAGAGGCATTCTCAGAAACTTTTTTGTGATATGTAGATTCAACTCACAGCGTTGAACCTTTCTTTGGATGGAGCAGTTTTGAAAAACTCTTCTATCGAATCTGCAGGTAGACATTTGGGGTGCTTTGAGGGCTGTGGTGCAAAAGGAAATGTCTTCCCATAGAAACTAGACAGAAGCATTCTCAGCAACTTCTTTGTGACGTTTGCATTCATCTCACAGTGTTGAACTTACCTTTCCATAGAGTAGTTTTGAAGCACTATTTTTGTAGAATCTGCAAGTGGATATTTGGACTGCTTTGAGGCCTTCATCGGAAACGGGAATATCTTCACATAAACACTAGACAGAAGCATTCTCAGAAACTTCTTTGTCATCTGTCCATTCAACTCACAGAGTTGAACCTTCCTTTTTATGGAGCAGTTTTGAAACACTGTTCTTGGAGAATCTGCAAGTGGATATTTGGAGCGCTTAGAGGCCTGTGGTAGAAAAAGAAATATCTGCCTCTAAAAACTAGACAGAAGCATTCTGAGAAACTTCTTTGTGATGTTTGCATTCAACTAGCAGAGTTGAACCTTCCTTTTGATAGGGCAGTTTGGAAACACTCTTTTGTAGAATCTGCATGTGGATATCTGGAGCGATTTGAGGCCTACGGTCAAAAAGGAAATATCTTCCTGGGAAAAATAGACGAAAGCATTCTCAGAAACTGCTTTGTGATATGTGCATTCGACTCACCGAGTTGAAACTTTTTTTGGATAGAGCAGTTTTGAAACACTCTGTAGAATCTGAAAGTGGATATTTGGAGCTCTTTGAGGGCTATGGTGGAAAAGAAAATATATTCACATTAAACTATACAGCAGCATTCTCAGAAACATCTTTAGGATGTTTGCAGTAAACTCATAGAGTTCAACATACCTTTCCGTAGAGCAGCTTTGAAACACTCTGTTTGTGGGATCCGCAAGTGGATATTTGGACCGCTTTGAGACCTTTGCTGGAAATGGGAATATCTTCACATATAAACTAGACAGGAAGCATTCTCAGAAACTTCTTCGTGATGTGTGCATTCTACTCCCGAATTTGAATCTTCCTTTTCATGAAGCAGTTTTGAAACACTCTGTTTGTGCAATCCACAATTGGATAATTGGAACGCTTTGATGCCCATGGTAGAAAAGGAAATAGCCTCATATAAAAACTAGACAGAAGGATTCACAGAAAATGCTTTGTGATGTGTGCATTCAAATCACGGTGTTGAATCTTTCTTTTGTTAGAGCAGTTTTGAAACACTGTTTCTGTGGAATCTGCCAGCGGACACTTGGAGCGCTTTGAGGGCTACGGTGGAGAAGGAAATATCTTCACATAAAAACTAGAAAGAAGCATTCTCAGAAACATTTATGTGAAGCGTGCATTCAACTCACAGAGTTGAACCTTCCTTTTGATAGAACAGTTTTGAAACACTCTTTTGAACATTGCAGGTGAATCTTTGGAGCGCTTTGAAGCCTTTGTTGGAAATGGGAATATCTTCACACACAAACTAGCCAGAAGCATTCTCAGAAACTTCTTTGTGATGTGTGCGTTGAACCCAGAGAGATGAACCTTTCCTTCGATAGAGCAGTTTTGAAACGCGTTTTTGTAAGATCGGCAAGCGGATAATTGGCTTCGCTTTGTGTCCTTTGGTGGAAACGGGAATATCTTCTAATAAAAACTAGACAGAAATATTCTCAGAATCTTCTTTGTGATGTGGGCATTCAACTAACACAGTTGAACGTTTCTTTTCACAGAGCAGTTTTGAAACACTCTTTTGGTAGAATCTGCCAGTGGATATTTGGAGCGCTTTGAGGGCTCTTGTGCCAACGGAAATATCTGCCCCTAAAAACTAGACAGAAGCATTCTCAGAAACTACTTTGTGATGTTTGCATTCAACTCACATAGTTGAACATACCTCTTCATAGAGCAGGTTTGAAAACTTCTTTTTGTATTATCTGCAAGTGGATATTTGGACCACTTTGAGGCCTTCATAGGAAACAGTAATATATTCTCATAAAAACTCGATAGAAGCATTGTCAGAAAGTTCTTTGTGATGTGTGAATTCAACTCACAGAGTTGAACCTTCCTTTCATAGAGCAGTTTTGAAACACTCTTTTTCTAGAATCTGCAAGTAGATATTTGGAGCGCTTTGAGGCCTTCGTTGGAAACCGGACTATCTTCACGTAAAAAGTAGATAGAGGCATTCTCAGAAACTTTTTTTGTGATATGTAGATTCAACTCACAGCGTTGAACCTTTCTTTGGATGGAGCAGTTTTGAAAAACTCTTTTATCGAATCTGCAGGTAGACATTTGGGGTGCTTTGAGGGCTGTGGTGCAAAAGGAAATGTCTTCCCATAGAAACTAGACTGAAGCATTCTCAGCAACTTCTTGGTGACGTTTGCATTCATCTCACAGTGTTGAACATACCTTTCCATAGAGTAGTTTTGAAACACTGTTTGTGTAGAATAGGCAAGTGGATATTTGGACTGCTTTGAGGCCTTCATCGGAAACGGGAATATCTTCACATAAACACTAGAGAGAAGCATTCTCAGAAACTTCTTTGTGATCTGTCCGTTCAACTCACAGAGTTGAACCTTCCTTTTTATGGAGCAGTTTTGAAACACTGCTTGTGGAGAATCTGCAAGTGGATATTTGGAGCGCCTTGAGGCCAATGGTAGAAAAAGAAATATCTGCCTCTAAATACTAGACTGAAGCATTCCGAGAAACTTTTTTGTGATGTTTGCATTCAACTAGCAGAGTTGAACCTTCCTTTTGTAGGGCAGTTTGGAAATACTCATTTTGTAGAATCTGCATGTGGATATCTGGAGCGGTTTGAGGCCTACGGTCAAAAAGGAAATATCTTCCTGGGAAAAATAGACGAAAGCATTCTCAGAAACTGCTTTGTGATATGTGCATTCGACTCACCGAGTTGAAACTTTTTTTTGATAGAGCAGTTTTGAAACACTCTGTAGAATCTGAAAGTAGATATTTGGAGCTCTTTGATGGCTATGGCGGAAATTAAAATATATTCACATTAAAGTAGACAGCAGCATTCTCAGAAACTTCTTTAGGATGTTTGCAGTAAACTCACAGAGTTAAACATATCTTTCCGTAGAGCAGTTTTGAAACACTCTGTTTGTGGGATCCGCAAGTGGATATTTGGGCCCCTTTGAGACCTTTGCTGGAAATGGGAATATCTTCACATATAAACTAGACAGAAGCATTCTCAGAAACTTCTTCGTGATGTGTGCATTCTACTCCCAAATTTGAATCTTCTTTCTCATGAAGCAGTTTTGAAACACTCTATTTGTGCAATCTACAATTGGATAATTGGAACCCTTTGATGCCCATGGTAGAAAAGGAAATATCCTCATATAAAAACTAGACAGAAGGATTCACAGAAAATGCTTTGTGATGTGTGCATTCAAATCACGGAGTTGAATCTTTCTTTTGTTAGAGCAGTTTTGAAACACTGTTTCTGTGGAATCTCCCAGGGGACACTTGGAGCGCTTTGAGGGCTACGGTGGAGAAGGAAATATCTTCTCATAAAAACTAGAAAGAAGCATTCTCAGAAACATTTATGTGAAGCGTGCATTCAACTCACAGAGTTGAAACTTCCTTTTGATAGAACAGTTTTGAAACACTCTTTTGAACAATTGCAGGTGAATCTTTGGAGCGCTTTGAAGCCTTTGTTGGAAATGGGAATATCTTCACACACAAACTAGCCAGAAGCATTCTAAGAAACTTCTTTGTGATGTGTGCGATGAACCCAGAGAGATGAACCTTTCCTTTGATAGAGCAGTTTTGAAAAGTGTTTTTGTAAGATCTGCAAGCGGATAATTGGCTTCCCTTTGTGTCCTCTGGTGGAAATGTGAATATCTTCTAATAAAAACTAGACAGAAATATTCTCAGAATCTTCTTTGTGATGTGGGCATTCAACAAACACAGTTGAACGTTTCTTTTCACAGAGCAGTTTTGAAACACTCTTTTGGTAGAATCTGCCAGTGGATATTTGGAGCGCTTTGAGGGCTATTGTGCCAACGGAAATATCTGCCCCTAAAAAGTAGACAGAAGCATTCTCAGAAACTGCTTTGTGATGTTTGCATTCAACTCACAGAGTTGAACATACCTTTTCATAGAGCAGTTTTGAAAACCTCTTTTTGTAGAATCTGCAAGTGGATATTCGGACCAGTTTGAGGCCTTCATAGGAAACAGTAATATCTTCACATAAAAACTAGATAGAAGCATTGTCAGAAAGTTCTTTGTGATGTGTGAATTCAACTCAGAGAGTTGAACCTTCCTTTAATAGAGCAGTTTTGAAACACTCTTTTTCTAGAATCTGCCAGTAGATATTTGGAGCGCTTTGAGGCCTTCGTTGGAAACCGGAATATCTTCACATAAAAAGTAGATAGAGGCATTCTCAGAAACTTTTTCGTGATATGTAGATTCAACTCACAGCGTTGAACCTTTCTTTTGATAGAGCAGTTTTGTAAAACTCTTTTATCGAATCTGCAAGTAGACATTTGAGTGCTTTGAGGGCTGTTGTGCAAAAGGAAATGTCTTCCCATAGAAACTGGACTGAATCATTCTCAGCAACTTCTTGGTGACGTTTGCATTCATCTCACAGTGTTGAACATACCTTTGCATAGATTAGTTTTGAAACACTGTTTTTGTAGAATCTGCAAGTGGACATTTGGACTGCTTTGAGGCCTTCATTGGAAACGGGAATATCTTCACATAAACACTAGACAGAAGCATTCTCAGAAACTTCTTTGTCATCTGTCCATTCAACTCACAGAGTTGAACCTTCCTTTTTATGGAGCAGTTTTGAAACACTCCTTTTGGAGAATCTGCAAGTGGATATTTGGAGCGCTTTGAGGCCTAGGGTAGAAACAGAAATATCTGCCTCTAAAAACCAGACAGAAGCATTCAGAGAAACTTCTTTGTGATGTTTGCATTCAACTACCAGAGTTGAACCTTCCTTTTGATAGGGCAGTTTGGAAACACTCTTTTTGTAGAATCTGCATGTGGATATCTGGAGCGATTTGAGGCCTACGGTCAAAAAGGAAATATCTTCCTGGGAAAAATAGACGAAAGCATTCTCAGAAACTGCTTTGTGATATGTGCATTCGACTCACCGAGTTGAAACTTTTTTTTTGATAGAGCAGTTTTGAAAAACTCTATAGATTCTGAAAGTGCATATTTGGAGCTCTTTGAGGGCTATGGCGGAAAAGAAAATATATTCACATTAAACTAGACAGCAGCATTCTCAGAAACTTCTTTAGGATGTTTGCAGTAAACTCACAGAGTTGAACATACCTTTCCGTAGAGCAGTTTTGAAACACTCTGTTTGTGGGATCCGCAAGTGGATATTTGGACCGCTTTGGGACCTTTGCTGGAAATGGGAATATCTTCACGTATAAACTAGACAGAAGCATTCTCAGAAACTTCCTCGTGATGTGTGCATTCTACTCCCGAATTTGAATCTTCCTTTTCATGAAGCAGTTTTGAAACACTCTGTTTGTGCAATCCACAATTGGATAATTGGAACGCTTTGATGCCCATGGTAGAAAACGAAATATCCTCATATAAAAACTAGACAGAAGGATTCACAGAAAATGCTTTGTGATGTGTGCATTCAAATCACGGAGTTGAATCTTTCTTTTGTCAGAGCAGTTTTGAAACACTGTTTCTGTGGAATCTGCCAGCGGACACTTGGAGCGCTTTGAGGGATATGGTGGAGAAGGAAATATCTTCCCATAAAAACTAGAAAGAAGCATTCTCAGAAACATTTATGTGAAGCGTGCATTCAACTCACAGAGTTGAACCTTCCTTGTGATACAACAGTTTTGAAACACTCTTTTGAACAATTGCAGGTGAATCTTTGGAGCGCTTTGAAGCCTTTGTTGGAAATGGGAATATCTTCACACACAAACTAGCCAGAAGCATTCTCAGAAACTTCTTTGTGATGCGTGCGTGGAACCCAGAGAGATGAACCTTTCCTTTGATAGAGCAGTTTTGAAACGTGTTTTTGTAAGATCTGCAAGTGGATAATCGGCTTCGCTTTGTGTCCTTTGGTGGAAACGGGAATATCTTCTAATAAAAACTAGACAGAAATATTCTCAGAATCTTCTTTGTGATGAGGGCATTCAACTAACACATTTGAACATTTCTTTTCACAGAGCAGTTTTGAAACACTCTTTTGGTGGAATCTGCCAGTGGATATCTGGAGCGCTTTGAGGGCTATTGTGCCAATGGAAATATCTTCCCCTAAAAACTAGACAGAAGCATTCTCAGAAACTACTTCGTGATGTTTGCATTCAACACACAGAGTTGAACATACCTCTTCACAGAACAGTTTTGAAAACCTCTTTCTGTAGAATCTGCAAGTGGATATTCGGACCACTTTGAGGCCTTCACAGGAAACAGTAATATCTTCACATAAAAACTAGACAGAAGCATTGTCAGAAAGTTCTTTGTGATGTGTGAATTCAACTCACAGAGTTGAACCTTCCTTTAATAGAGCAGTTGTGAAACACTCTTTTTCTAGAATCTGCAAGTAGATATTTGGAGCGCTTTGAGGCCTTCGTTGGAAACCGGAATATCTTCACAGGAAAAGTAGATAGAGGCATTCTCAGAAACTTTTTCGTGATATGTGGATTCAACTCACAGCGTTGAACCTTTCTTTTGATAGAGCAGTTTTGTAAAACTCTTTTATCGAATCTGCATGTAGACATTTGGAGTGCTTTGGGGGCTGTGGTGCAAAAGGAAATGTCTTCCCATAGAAACTAGACTAAAGCATTCTCAGCAACTTCTTTGTGACGTTTGCATTCATCTCACAGTGTTGAACATACCTTTCCATAGAGTAGTTTTGAAACACTGTTTTTGTAGAATCGGCAAGTGGATATTTGGACTGCTTTGAGGCCTTCATCGGAATCGGGAATATCTTCACATAAACACTAGAGAGAAGCATTCTCAGAAACTTCTTTGTTATCTGTCCATTCAACTCACAGAGTTGAACCTTCCTTTTTATGGAGCAGTTTTGAAACACTGTTTGTGGAGAATCTGCAAGTGGATATTTGGAGCGTCTTGAGGCCAATGGTAGAAAAAGAAATATCTGCCTCTAAATACTAGACTGAAGCATTCCGAGAAACTTCTCTGTGATGTTTGCATTCAACTAGCAGAGTTGAACCTTCCTTTTGATAGGGCAGTTTGGAAACACTCTTTTTGTAGAATCTGCATGTGGATATACTGGAGCGGTTTGAGGCCTACGGTCAAAAAGGAAATATCTTCCTGGGAAAAATAGACGAAAGCATTCTCAGAAACTGCTTTGTGATATGTGCATTCGACTCTCCGAGTTGAAACTTTTTTTTGATAGAGCAGTTTTGAAACACTCTGTAGAATCTGAAAGTGTATATTTGGAGCTCTTCGAGGGCTATGGCGGAAAAGAAAATATATTCACATTAAACTAGACAGCAGCATTCTCAGAAACTTCTTTAGGATGTTTGCAGTAAACTCACAGAGTTGAACCTATCTTTCCGTAGAGCAGTTTTGAAACACTCTGTTTGTGGGATCCGCAAGGGGATATTTGGACCGCTTTGAGACCTTTGCTGGAAATGGGAATATCTTCACATATAAACTAGACAGAAGCATTCTCAGAAACTTCTTCGTGATGTGTGCATTCTACCCCCAAATTTGAATCTTCCTTTTCATGAAGCAGTTTTGAAACACTCTATTTGTGCAATCTACAATGGGATAATTGGAACGCTTTGATGCCCATGGTAGAAAAGGAAATATCCTCATATAAAAACTAGACAGAAAGGATTCACAGAAAATGCTTTGTGATGTGTGCATTCAAATCACGGAGTTGAATCTTTCTTTTGTTAGAGCAGTTTTGAAACACTGTTTCTGTGGAATCTGCCAGCGGACACTTGGAGCGCTTTGAGGGCTATGGTGGAGAAGGAAATATCTTCACATAAAAACTAGAAAGAAGCATTCTCAGAAACATTTATGTGAAGTGTGCATTCAACTCACAGAGTTGAACCTTCCTTTTGATAGAACAGTTTTGAAACACTCTTTTGAACAATTGCAGGTGAATCTTTGGAGCGCTTTAAAGCCTTTGTTGGAAATGGGAATATCTTCACACACAAACTAGCCAGAAGCATTCTCAGAAACTTCTTTGTGATGTGTGCGTTGAACCCAGAGAGATGAACCTTTCCTTTGATAGAGCAGTTTTGAAACGTGTTTTTGTAAGATCTGCAAGCGGATAATTGGCTTCGCTTTGTGTCCTTTGTTGGAAACCGGAATATCTTCTAATAAAAACTAGACAGAAATATTCTCAGAATCTTCTTTGTGATGTGGGCATTCAACTAACACAGTTGAACATTTCTTTTCACAGAGCAGTTTTGAAACACTCTTTTGGTGGAATCTGCCAGTGGATATTTGGAGCGCTTTGAGGGCTATTGTGCCAACGGAAATATCTTCCCCTAAAAACTAGACAGAAGCATTCTCAGAAACTACTTCGTGATGTTTGCATTCAACACACAGAGTTGAACATACCTCTTCACAGAGCAGTTTTGAAAACCTCTTTCTGTAGAATCTGCAAGTGGATATTCGGACCACTTTGAGGCCTTCATAGGAAACAGTAATATCTTTGCCTAAAAACTAGATAGAAAGCATTGTCAGAAAGTTCTTTGTGATGTGTGAATTCAACTCACAGAGTTGAACCTTCCTTTAATAGAGCAGTTTTGAAACACTCTTTTTCTAGAATCTGCTAGTAGATATTTGGAGTGCTTGGAGGCCTTCTTTGGAAACCGGAATATCTTCACAGGAAATGTAGATAGAGGCATTCTCAGAAACTTTTTCGTGATATGTGGATTCAACTCACAGCGTTGAACCTTTCTTTTGATAGAGCAGTGTGGTAAAACTCTTTTATCGAATCTGCAAGTAGACATTTGGAGTGCTTTGGGGGCTGTGGTGCAAAAGGAAATGTCTTCCCATAGAAACTAGACTGAAGCATTCTCAGCAACTTCTTGGTGACGTTTGCATTCATCTCACAGTGTTGAACATACCTTTCCATAGAGTGGTTTTGAAACACTGTTTTTGTAGAATCGGCAAGTGGATATTTGGACTGCTTTGAGGCCTTCATCGGAAACGGGAATATCTTCACATAAACACTAGACAGAAGCATTCTCAGAAACTTCTTTGTGGTCTGTCCATTCAACTCACAGAGTTGAACCTTCCTTTTTATGGAGCAGTTTTGAAACACTGTTTTTGGAGAATCTGCAAGTGGATATTTGGAGCCCTTTGAGGCCTATGGTAGAAAAAGAAATATCTGCCTATGAGAACAAGACAGAAGCATTCTGAGAAACTTCTTTGTGATGTTTGCATTCAACTACCAGAGTTGAACCTTCCTTTTGATAGGGCAGTTTGGAAACACTCTTTTTGTAGAGTCTGGATGTGGATATCTGGAGCGATTTGAGGCCTACGGTCCAAAAGGAAATATCTTCCTGGGAAAAATAGACGAAAGCATTCTCAGAAAGGGCTTTGTGATATGCGCATTCGACTCACCGAGTTGAAACTTTTTTTTGATAGAGCAGTTTTGAAACACTCTGTAGAATCTGAAAGTGGATATTTGGAGCTCTTTGAGGGCTATGGCGGAAAAGAAAATATATTCACATTAAAAAAGTAGACAGCGGCATTCTCAGAAACTTCTTTAGGATGTTTGCAGTAAACTCACAGAGTGGAACCTACCTTTCCGTAGAGCAGTTTTGAAACACTCTGTTTGTGGGATCCGCAAGTGGATATTTGGACCGCTTTGAGACCTTTGCTGGAAATGGGAATATCTTCACATATAAACTAGACAGAAGCATTCTCAGAAACTTCTTCGTGATGTGTGCATTCTACTCGCAAATTTGAATCTTCCTTCTCATGAAGCAGTTTTGAAACTCTCTATTTGTGCAATCTACAATTGGATAATTGGAACCCTTTGATGCCCATGGTAGAAAAGGAAATATCCTCATATAAAAACTAGACAGAAGGATTCACAGAAAATGCTTTGTGATGTGTGCATTCAAATCACGGAGTTGAATCTTTCTTTTGTCAGAGCAGTTTTGAAACACTGTTTCTGTGGAATCTGCCAGCGGACACTTGGAGCACTTTGAGGGCTATGGTGGAGAAGGAAATATCTTCCCATAAAAACTAGAGAGAAGTATTCTCAGAAACATTTATGTGAAGCGTGCATTCAACTCACAGAGTTGAACCTTACTTTTGATACAACAGTTTTGAAACACTCTTTTGAACAATTGCAGGTGAATCTTTGGAGCGCTTTGAAGCCTTTGTTGGAAATGGGAATATCTTCACACACAAACTAGCCAGAAGCATTCTCAGAAACTTCTTTGTGATGTGTGCGTTGAACCCAGAGAGATGAACCTTTCCTTTGATAGAGCAGTTTTGAAACGTGTTTTTGTAAGATCGGCAAGCGGATAATTGGTTTCGCTTTGTGTCCTTTGGTGGAAACGGGAATATCTTCTAATAAAAACTAGACAGAAATATTCTCACAATCTCCTTTGTGATGTGGGCATTCAACTAACACAGTTGAACATTTCTTTTCACAGAGCAGTTTTGAAACACTCTTTTGGTAGAATCTGGCAGTGGATATTTGGAGCGCTTTGAGGGCTGTTGTGCCAATGGAAATATCTGCCCCTAAAATCTAGACAGAAGCATTCTCAGAAACTACTTCGTGATGTTTGCATTCAACTCACAGAGTTGAACATACCTCTTCACAGAGCAGTATTGAAAACCTCTTTTTGTAGAATCTGCAAGTGGATATTCGGAGCACTTTGAGGCCTTCATAGGAACCAGTAATATCTTCGCATAAAAACTAGATAGAAGCATTGTCAGAAAGTTCTTTGTGATGTGTGAATTCAACTCACAGAGTTGAACCTTCCTTTAATAGAGCAGTTTTGAAACACTCTTTTTCTAGAATCTGCAAGTAGATATTTGGAGCGCTTGGAGGCCTTCGTTGGAAACCGGAATATCTTCACAGGAAATGTAGATAGAGGCATTCTCAGATACTTTTTCGTGATATGTGGATTCAACTCACAGCGTTGAACCTTTCTTTTGATAGAGCAGTTTTGTAAAACTCTTTTATCGAATCTGCAAGTAGACATTTGGAGTGCTTTGGGGGCTGTGGTGCAAAAGGAAATGTCTTCCCATAGAAACTAGACTGAAGCATTCTCAGCAACTTCTTTGTGACGTTTGCATTCATCTCACAGTGTTGAACATACCTTTCCATAGAGAAGTTTTGAAACACTAATTTTGTAGAATCTGCAAGTGGATATTTGGACTGCTTTGAGGCCTTCATTGGAAACGGGAATATCTTCACATAAACACTAGACAGAAGCATTCTCAGAAACTTCTTTGTGATCTGTCCATTCAACTCACAGAGTTGAACCTTCCTTTTTATGGAGCAGTTTTGAATCACTGTTTTTGGAGAATCTGCAAGTGGATATTTGGAGCGCTTTGAGGCCTATGGTAGAAAATGAAATATCTGCCTCTAAAAACCAGACAGAAGCATTCTGAGAAACTTCTTTGTGATGTTTGCATTCAACTACCAGTAGTTGAACCTTCCTTTTGATAGGGCAGTTTGGAAACACTCTTTTTGTAGAATCTGCATGTGGATATCTGGAGCGATTTGAGGCCTACGGTCAAAAAGGAAATATCTTCCTGGGAAAAATAGACGAAAGCATTCTCAGAAACTGCTTTGTGATATGTGCATTCGACTCAGCGAGTTGAAACTTTTTTTTGATAGAGCAGTTTTGAAACACTCTGTAGAATCTGAAAGTGGATATTTGGAGCTCTTTGAGGGCTATGGCGGAAAAGAAATTATATTCACATGAAACTAGACAGCAGCATTCCCAGAAGCTTCTTTAGGATGTTTGCTGTAAACTCACAGAGTTGAACATACCTTTCCGTAGAGCAGCTTTGAAACACTCTGTGTGTGGGATCCGCAAGTGGATATTTGGACCGCTTTGAGACCTTTGCTGGAAACGGGAATATCTTCACATATAAACTGGACAGAAGCATTCTCAGAAACTTCTTCGTGATGTGTGCATTGTACTCCCAAATTTGAATCTTCCTTCTCATGCAGCAGTTTTGAAACACTCTGTTTGTGCAATCTACAATTGGAGAATTGGAACGCTTGGATGCCCGTGGTAGAAAAGGAAATATCCTCATATAAAAACTAGACAGAAGGATTCACAGAAAATGCTTTGTGATGTGTGCATTCAAATCACGGAGTTGAATCTTTCTTTCGTCAGAGCAGTTTTGAAACACTGTTTCTGTGGAATCTGCCAGCGGACACTTGGAGCGCTTTGAGGGCTATGGTGGAGAAGGAAATATCTTCCCATAAAAACTAGAAAGAAGCATTCTCAGAAACATTTATGTGAAGCGTGCATTCAACTCACAGAGTTGAACCTTCCTTTTGATACAACAGTTTTGAAACACTCTTTTGAACAATTGCAGGTGAATCCTTGGAGCGCTTTGAAGCCTTTGTTGGAAATGGGAATATCTTCACACACAAACTAGCCAGAAGCATTCTCAGAAACTTCTTTGTGATGTGTGCGTTGAACCCAGAGAGATGAACTTTTCCTTTGATAGAGCAGTTTTGAAACGTGTTTTTGTAAGATCGGCAAGTGGATAATTGGCTTCGCTTTGTGTCCTTTGTTGGAAACGGGAATATCTTCTAATAAAAACTAGACAGAAATATTCTCAGAATCTCCTTTTTGATGTGGGCATTCAACTAACACAGTTGAACATTTCTTTTCACAGAGCAGTTTTGAAACACTCTTTTGGTAGAATCTGCCAGTGGATATTTGGAGCGCTTGGAGGGCTATTGTGCCAATGGAAATATCTGCCCCTGAAAACTAGACAGAAGCATTCTCAGAAACTACTTTGTGATGTTTGCATTCAACTCACAGAGATGAACATACCTCTTTATAGAGCAGTTTTGAAATCCTCTTTCTGTAGAATCTGCAAGTGGATATTCGGACCACTTTGAGGCCTTCATAGAAAACAGTAATATCTTCACATAAAAACTAGATTCAAGCATTCTCGGAAACTTCTTTGTGATGTGTGAATTCACCTCACAGAGTTGAACCTTCGATAAATAGAGCAGTTTTGAAACACTCTTTTTGTAGAATCTGCAATAGATATTTGGAGCGCTTTGAGGCCTTCGTTGGAAAACGGAATGTCTTCACATAAAAAGTAGATAGAAGCATTCTCAGAAACTACTTTGTGATCTCTCCATTCAACTCACAGATTTGAACCTTCCTTTTGATAGAGCGGTTTTGAAAAACTCTTATATCGAATCTGCAAGTAGATATTTGGAGTGCTTTGAGGGCTGTGGTGCAAAAGGAAATGTCTTCCCATAGAAACTAGACTGAAGCATTCTCAGCAACTTCTTTGTGACGTTTGCATTCATCTCACAGTGTTGAACATACCTTTTCATAGAGCAGTTTTGAAACACTATTTTTGTAGTATCTGCAAGTGGATATTTGGACTGCTTTGAGGCCTTCATTGGAAACGGGAATATCTTCACATAAACACTAGACAGAAGCATTCTCAGAAACTTCTTTGTGATCTGTCCATTCAACTCACAGAGTTGGACCTTCCTTTTTATGGAGCAGTTTTGAATCACTGTTTTTGGAGAATCTGCAAGTGGATATTTGGAGCGCTTTGAGGCCTATGGTAGAAAAAGAAATATCTGCCTCTAAAAACCAGACAGAAGCATTCTGAGAAACTTCTTTGTGATGTTTACATTCAACTACCAGAGTTGAACCTTCCTTTTGATAGGGCAGTTCGGAAACACTCTTTTTGTAGAATCTGCATGTGGATATCTGGAGCGATTTGAGGCCTACGGTCCAGAAGGAAATATCTTCCTGGGAAAAATGGACGAAAGCATTCTCAGAAACTGCTTTGTGATATGTGCATTTGACTCACCGAGTTGAAACTTTTTTTTGATAGAGCAGTTTTGAAACACTCTGTAGAATCTGAAAGTGGATATTTGGAGCTCTTTGAGGGCTATGGCGGCAAAGAAACTATATTCACATTAAAGTAGACAGCAGCATTCTCAGAAACTTCTTTAGGATGTTTGCAGTAAACTCACAGAGTTGAACATACCTTTCCGTAGAGCAGTTTTGAAACACTCTGTTTGTGGGATCCGCACGTGGATATTTGGACCGCTTTGAGACCTTTGCTGGAAATGGGAGTATCTTCACGTATAAACTAGACAGAAGCATTCTCAGAAACTTCTTCGTGATGTGTGCATTGTACTCCCAAATTTGAATCTTCCTTCCCAAGGAGCAGTTTTGAAACACTCTGTTTGTGCAATCTACAATTGGAGAATTGGAACGCTTGGATGCCCGTGGTAGAAAAGGAAATATCCTCATATAAAAACTAGACAGAAGTATTCACAGAAAATGCTTTGTGATGTGTGCATTCAAATCACGGAGTTGAATCTTTCTTTTGTTAGAGCAGTTTTGAAACACTGTTTCTGTGGAATCTGCCAGCGGACACTTGGAGCGCTTTGAGGGCTACGGTGGAGACGGAAATATCTTCACATAAAAACTAGAAAGAAGCATTCTCAGAAACATTTATGTGAAGCGTGCATTCAACTCACAGAGTTGAACCTTCCTTTGGATACAACAGTTTTGAAACACTCTTTTGAACAATTGCAGGTGAATCTTTGGAGCGCTTTGAAGCCTTTGTTGGAAATGGGAATATCTTCACACACAAACTAGCCAGAAGCATTCTCAGAAACTTCTTTGTGATGTGTGCGTTGAACCCAGAGAGATGAACCTTTCCTTTGATAGAGCAGTTTGGAAACGTGTTTTTGTAAGATCTGCAAGCGGATAATTGGCTTCGCTTTGTGTCCTTTGGTGGAAACGGGAATATCTTCTAATAAAAACTAGACAGAAATATTCTCAGAATCTTCTTTGTGATGTGGGCATTCAACTAACAGAGTTGAACGTTTCTTTTCACAGAGCAGTTTTGAAACACTCTTTTGGTAGAATCTGCCAGTGGATATTTGGTGCGCTTTGAGGGCTATTGTGCCAACGGAAATATCTGTCCCTAAAAACTAGACAGAAGCATTCTCAGAAACTGTTCGTGATGTTTGCATTCAACTCACAGACTTGAACATACCTCTTCATAGAGCAGTTTTGAAAACCTCTTTTTGTAGAATCTGCAAGTGGATATTCGGACCACTTTGAGGCCTTCATAGGAAACAGTAATATCTTCACATAAAAACTAGATAGAAGCATTGTCAGAAAGTTCTTTGTGATGTGTGAATTCAACTCACAGAGTTGAACCTTCCTTTAATAGAGCAGTTTTGAAACACTCTTCTTCTAGAATCTGCACGTAGATATTTGGAGCGCTTTGAGGCCTTCGTTGGAAACCGGAATATCTTCACAGAAAAAGTAGATAGAGGCATTCTCAGAAACATTTTTTGTGATATGTAGACTCAACTCACAGCAGTTGAACCTTTCTTTGGATGGAGCAGTTTTAAAAAACTCTTTTATCGAATCTGCAGGTAGACATTTGGGGTGCTTTGAGGGCTGTGGTGCAAAAGGAAATGTCTTCCCATAGAAACTAGACTGAAGCATTCTCAGCAACTTCTTTGTGACGTTTGCATTCATCTCACAGTGTTGAACATACCTTTCCATAGGGTAGTTTTGAAGCACTATTTTTGTAGAATCTGCAAGTGGATATTTGGACTGCTTTGAGGCCTTCATCGGAAACGGGAATATCTTCACATAAACACTAGACAGAAGCATTCTCAGAAATTTCTTTGTGGTCTGTCCATTCAACTCACAGAGTTGAACCTTCCTTTTTATGGAGCAGTTTTGAAACACTGTTTTTGGAGAATCTGCAAGTGGATATTTGGAGCGCTTTGAGGCCTATGGTAGAAAAAGAAATATCTGCCTATGACAACAAGACAGAAGCATTCCGAGAAACTTCTTTGTGATGTTTGCATTCAACTAGCAGAGTTGAACCTTCCTTTTGATAGGGCAGTTTGGAAACACTCTTTTTGTAGAATCTGCATGTGGATATCTGGAGCGGTTTGAGGCCTACGGTCAAAAAGGTAATATCTTCCTGGGAAAAATAGACGAAAGCATTCTCAGAAACTGCTTTGTGATATGGGCATTCGACTCACCGAGTTGAAACTTTTTTTTGATAGAGCAGTTTTGAAACACTCTGTAGAATCTGAAAGTGGATATTTGGAGCTCTTTGAGGGCTATGGCGGAAAAGAAAATATATTCACATTAAAGTAGACAGCAGCATTCTCAGAGACTTCTTTAGGATGTTTGCAGTAAACTCACAGAGTTGAACATACCTTTCCGTAAAGCAGTTTTGAAACCTTCTGTTTGTGGGATCTGCAAGTGGATATTTGGACCGCTTTGAGACCTTTGCTGGAAATGGGAATATCTTCACATATAAACTAGCCAGAAGCATTCTCAGAAACTTCTTCGTGATGTGTGCATTCTACTCCCAAAGTTGAACCTTCCTTTTCATAAAGCAGTTTTGAAACACTCCTTTTGTACAATCTACAATTGGATAATTGGAACGCTTTGATGCCCGTGGAAGAAAAGGAAATCTCCTCATATAAAAACTAGACAGAAGGATTCACAGAAAATGCTTTGTGATGTGTGCATTCAAATCACGGAGTTGAATCTTTCTTTTGTCAGAGCAGTTTTGAAACACTGTTTCTGTGGAATCTGCCAGCGGACACTTGGAGCACTTTGAGGGCTATGGTGGAGAAGGAAATATCTTCCCATAAAAACTAGAAAGAAGCATTCTCAGAACCATTTATGTGAAGCGTGCATTCAACTCACAGAGTTGAACCTTCCTTTTGATAGAACAGTTTTGAAACACTCTTTTGAACAATTGCAGGTGAATCTTTGGAGCGCTTTGAAGCCTTTGTTGGAAATGGGAATATCTTCACACACAAACTAGCCAGAAGCATTCTCAGAAACTTCTTTGTGATGTGTGCTTTGAACCCAGAGAGATGAACCTTTCTTTTGATAGAGCAGTTTTGAAACGTGTTTTTGTAAGTTCGGCAAGCGGATAATTGGCTTCGCTTTGTTTCCTTTGGTGGAAACGGGAATATCTTCTAATAAAAACTAGACAGAAATATTCTCAGAATCTGCTTTGTGATGTGGGCATTCAACTAACACAGTTGAACATTTCTTTTCACAGAGCAGTTTTGAAACACTCTTTTGGTAGAATCTGCCAGTGGATATTTGGAGCGCTTGGAGGGCTATTGTGCCAATGGAAATATCTGCCCCTGAAAACTAGACAGAAGCATTCTCAGAAACTACTTCGTGATGTTTGCATTCAACTCACCGAGTTGAACATACCTCTTCATAGAGCAGTTTTGAAAACCTCTTTCTGTAGAATCTGCAAGTGGATATTCGGACCACTTTGAGGCCTTCATAGGAAACAGTAATATCTTCACATAAAAACTAGATAGAAGCATTGTCAGAAAGTTCTTTGTGATGTGTGAATTCAACTCACAGAGTTGAACCTTCCTTTAATAGAGCAGTTGTGAAACACTCTTTTTCTAGAATCTGCAAGTAGATATTTGGAGCGCTTGGAGGCCTTCGTTGGAAACCGGAATATCTTCACAGGAAATGTAGATAGAGGCATTCTCAGATACTTTTTCGTGATATGTGGATTCAACTCACAGCTTTGAACCTTTCTTTTGATAGAGCAGTTTTGTAAAACTCTTTTATCGAATCTGCAAGTAGACATTTGGAGTGCTTTGAGGGCTGTGGTGCAAAAGGAAATGTCTTCCCATAGAAACTAGACTGAAGCATTCTCAGCAACTTCTTTGTGACGTTTGCATTCATCTCACAGTGTTGAACATACCTTTCCATAGAGTAGTTTTGAAGCACTATTTTTGTAGAATCTGCAAGTGGATATTTGGACTGCTTTGAGGCCTTCATCGGAAACGGGAATACCTTCTCATAAACACTAGACAGAAGCATTCTCAGAAACTTCTTTGTGATCTGTCCATTCAACTCACAGAGTTGAACCTTCCTTTTTATGGAGCAGTTTTGAAAGACTGTTTGTGGAGAATCTGCAAGTGGATATTTGGAGCGCCTTGAGGCCAATGGTAGAAAAAGAAATATCTGCCTCTAAATACTAGACTGAAGCATTCCGAGAAACTTCTTTGTGATGTTTGCATTCAACTAGCAGAGTTGAACCTTCCTTTTGATAGGGCAGTTTGGAAACACTCTTTGTGTAGAATCTGCATGTGGATATCTGGAGCGGTTTGAGGCCTACGGTCAAAAAGGAAATATCTTCCTGGGAAAAATAGACGAAAGCATTCTCAGAAACTGCTTTGTGATATGGGCATTCGACTCATCGAGTTGAAACTTTTGTTTGATAGAGCAGTTTTGAAACACTCTGTAGAATCTGAAAGTGGATATTTGGAGATCTTTGAGGGCTATGGCGGAAAACAAAATATATTCACATTAAAGTAGACAGCAGCATTCTTAGAAACTTCTTTAGGATGTTTGCAGTAAACTCACAGAGTTGAACCTACCTTTCCGTAGAGGAGTTTTGAAACACTCTGTTTGTGGGATCCGCAAGTGGATATTTGGACCGCTTTGAGACCTTTGCTGGAAATGGGAATATCTTCACATATAAACTAGACAGAAGCATTCTCAGAAACTTCTTTGTGATGTGTGCGTTGAACCCAGAGAGATGAACTTTTCCTTTGATAGAGCAGTTTTGAAACGTGTTTTTGTAAGATCTGCAAGCGGATAATTGGCTTCGCTTTGTGTCCTTTGGTGGAAACGGGTATATCTTCTAATAAAAACTAGACAGAAATATTCTCAGAATCTCCTTTGTGATGTGGGCATTCAACTAACACAGTTGAACATTTCTTTTAACAGAGCAGTTTTGAAACACTCTTTTGGTAGAATCTGCCAGTGGATATTTGGAGCGCTTGGAGGGCTATTGTGCCAATGGAAATATCTGCCCCTGAAAACTAGACAGAAGCATTCTCAGAAACTACTTTGTGATGTTTGCATTCAACTCACAGAGTTGAACATACCTCTTCATAGAGCAGTCTTGAAAACCTCTTTTTGTAGAATCTGCAAGTGGATATTCGGACCACTTTGAGGCCTTCATAGGAAACAGTAACATCTTCACATAAAAACTAGATAGAAAACATTGTCAGAAAGTTCTTTGTGATGTGTGAATTCAACTCACAGAGTTGAACCTTCCTTTAATAGAGCAGTTTTGAAACACTCTTTTTCTAGAATCTGCAAGTAGATATTTGGAGCGCTTTGAGGCCTTCGTTGGAAACCGGAATATCTTCACAGGAAAAGTAGATAGAGGCATGCTCAGAAACTTTTTTGTCATATGTAGATTCAACTCACAGCGTTGAACCTTTCTTTTGATAGAGCAGTTTTGAAAAACTCTTTTATCGAATCTGCAAGTAGACATTTGGAGTGCTTTGAGGGCTGTGGTGCAAAAGGAAATGTCTTCCCATAGAAACTAGACTGAAGCATTCTCAGCAACTTCTTTGTGACGTTTGCATTCATCTCACAGTGTTGAACATACCTTTTCATAGAGTAGTTTTGAAACACTATTTTTGTAGAATCTGCAAGTGGATATTTGGACTGCATTGAGGCCTTCATTGGAAACGGGAATGTCTTCACATAAACACTAGACAGAAGCATTCTCAGAAACTACTTTGTGATCTGTCTATTCAACTCACAGAGTTGAACCTTCCTTTTTATGGAGCAGTTTTGAAACACTGTTTTTGGAGAATCTGCAAGTGGATATTTGGAGCGCTTTGAGGCCTATGGTAGAAAAAGAAATATCTGCCTATTACAACTAGACAGAAGCATTCTGAGAAACTTCTTTGTGATGTTTGCATTCAACTACCAGAGTTGAACCTTCCTTTTGATAGGGCAGTTTGGAAACACTCTTTTTGTAGAATCTGCATGTGGATATCTGGAGCGATTTGAGGCCTACGGTCCAAAAGGAAATATCTTCCTGGGAAAAAAAGACGAAAGCATTCTCAGAAAGTGCTTTGTGATATGTGCATTCGACTCACCGAGTTGAAACTTTTTTTTGATAGAGCAGTTTTGAAACACTCTGTAGAATCTGAAAGTGGATAGTTGGAGCTCTTTGACGGCTATGGCGGAAAAGAAAATATATTCACATTAAAGTAGACAGCAGCATTCTCAGAAACTTCTTTAGGATGTTTGCAGTAAACTCACAGAGTTGAACATACCTTTCCGTAGAGCAGTTTTGAAACACTCTGTTTGTGGGATCCGCAAGTGGATATTTGGACCGCTTTGAGACCTTTGCTGGAAATGGGAATATCTTGACGTATAAACTAGACAGAAGCATTCTCAGAAACTTCTTCGTGATGTGTGCAGTCTACTCCCGAATTTGAATCTTCCTTTTCATGAAGCAGTTTTGAAACACTCTGTTTGTGCAATCCACAATTGGATAATTGGAACGCTTTGATGCCCATGTTAGAAAAGGAAATATCCTCATATAAAAACTAGACAGAAGGATTCACAGAAAATGCTTTGTGATGTGTGCATTCGAATCACGGAGTTGAATCTTTCTTTTGTTAGAGCAGTTTTGAAACACGGTTTCTGTGGAATCTGCCAGCGGACACTTGGAGCGCTTTGAGGGCTATGGTGGAGAAGGAAATATCTTCCCATAAAAACTAGAAAGAAGCATTCTCAGAAACATGTATGTGAAGCGTGCATTCAACTCACAGAGTTGAACCTTCCTTTTGATACAACAGTTTTGAAACACTCTTTTGAACAATTGCAGGTGAATCTTTGGAGCGCTTTGAAGCCTTTGTTGGAAATGGGAATATCTTCTCACACAAACTAGTCAGAAGCATTCTCAGAAACTTCTTTGTGATGTGTGCGTTGAACCCAGAGAGATGAACCTTTCCTTGGAAAGAGCAGTTTTGAAACGTGTTTTTGTAAGATCGGCAAGCGGATAATTGGCTTCGCTTTGTGTCCTTTGGTGGAAACGGGAATATCTTCTAATAAAAACTAGACAGAAATATTCTCAGAATCTCCTTTGTGATGTGGGCATTCAACTAACACAGTTGAACATTTCTTTTCACAGAGCAGTTTTGAAACACTCTTTTGGTAGAATCTGCCAGTGGATATTTGGAGCGCTTGGAGGGCTATTGGGCCAATGGAAATATCTGCCCTTGAAAACTAGACAGAAGCATTCTCAGAAACTGCTTTGTGATGTTTGCATTCAACTCACAGAGTTGAACATACCTTTTCATAGAGCAGTTTTGAAAACCTCTTTTTGTAGAATCTGCAAGAGGATATTCGGACCACTTTGAGGCCTTCATAGGAAACAGTAATATCTTCACGTAAAAATTAGATAGAAAGCATTGTCAGAAAGTTCTTTGTGATGTGTGAATTCAACTCACAGAGTTGAACCTTCCTTTAATAGAGCAGTTTTGAAACACTCTTTTTCTAGAATCTGCCAGTAGATATTTGGAGCGCTTTGAGGCCTTCGTTGGAAACCGGAATATCTTCACATAAAAAGTAGATAGAGGCATGCTCAGAAACTTTTTTGTCATATGTAGATTCAACTCACAGCGTTGAACCTTTCTTTTGATAGAGCAGTTTTGAAAAACTCTTTTATCGAATCTGCAAGTAGACATTTGGAGTGCTTTGAGGGCTGTGGGGCAAAAGGAAATGTCTTCCCATAGAAACTAGACTGACGCATTCTCAGCAACTTCTTTGTGACGTTTGCATTCATCTCACAGTGTTGAACATACCTTTCCATAGAGTAGTTTTGAAGCACTATTTTTGTAGAATCTGCAAGTGGATATTTGGACTGCTTTGAGGCCTTCATCGGAAACGGGAATATCTTCACATAAACACTAGACAGAAGCATTCTCAGAAACTTCTTTGTGATCTGTCCATTCACCTCACAGAGTTGAACCTTCCTTTTTATGGAGCAGTTTTGAAACACTGTTTGTGAAGAATCTGCAAGTGGATATTTGGAGCGCCTTGAGGCCAATGGTAGAAAAAGAAATATCTGCCTCTAAATACTAGACTGAAGCATTCTGAGAAACTTCTTTGTGATGTTTGCATTCAACTACCAGAGTTGAACCTTCCTTTTGATAGGGCAGTTTGGAAACACTCTTTTTGTAGAATCTGCATGTGGATATCTGGAGCGATTTGAGGCCTATGGTCAAAAAGGAAATATCTTCCTGGGAAAAATAGACGAAAGCATTCTCAGCAACTGCTTTGTGATATGTGCATTCGACTCACCGAGTTGAAACTTTTTTTTGATAGAGCAGTTTTGAAACACTCTGTAGAATCTGAAAGTGGATATTTGGAGATCTTTGAGGGCTATGGCGGAAAAGAAAATATATTCACATTAAAGTAGACAGCAGCATTCCCAGAAACTTCTTTAGGTTGTTTGCAGTAAACTCACAGAGTTGAACACACCTTTCCGTAGAGCAGTTTTGAAACACTCTGTTTGTGGGATCCGCAAGTGGATATTTGGACCCCTTTGAGACCTTTGCTGGAAATGGGAATATCTTCACATATAAACTAGACAGAAGCATTCTCAGAAACTTCTTCGTGATGTGTGTATTCTACTCCCAAATTTGAATCTTCCTTTTCATGAAGCAGTTTTGAAACACTCTATTTGTGCATTCTACAATTGGATGATTGGAACGCTTTGATGCCCATGGTAGAAAAGGAAATATCCTCATATAAAAACTAGACAGAAGGATTCACAGAAAATGCTTTGTGATGTGTGCATTCAAATCACGGAGTTGAATCTTTCTTTTGTTAGAGCAGTTTTGAAACACTGTTTCTGTGGAATCTGCCAGCGGACCCTTGGAGCGCTTTGAGGGCTACGGTGGAGAAGGAAATATCTTCACATAAAAACTAGAAAGAAGCCTTCTCAGAAACATGTATGTGAAGCGTGCATTCAACTCACAGAGTTGAACCTTCCTTTTGATAGAACAGTTTTGAAACACTCTTTTGAACAATTGCAGGTGAATCTTTGGAGCGCTTTGAAGCCTTTGTTGGAAATGGGAATATCTTCACACACAAACTAGCCAGAAGCATTCTCAGAAACTTCTTTGTGATGTGTGCGTTGAACCCAGAGAGATGAACCTTTCCTTTGATAGAGCAGTTTGGAAACGTGTTTTTGTAAGATCGGCAAGCGGATAATTGGCTTCGCTTTGTGTCCTTTGGTGGAAACGGGAATATCTTCTAATAAAAACTAGACAGAAATATTCTCAGAATCTTCTTTGTGATGTGGGTATTCAACTAACACAGTTGAACCTTTCTTTTGACAGAGCAGTTTTGAAACACACTTTTAGTAGAATCTGCCCGTGGATATTTGGGGCGCTTTGAGGGCTATTGTGCAAATGGAAATATCTTCACCTAAATACTAGACAGAAGCATTCTCAGAAACTGCTTTGTGATGTTTGCATTCAACTGACAGAGTTGAACATACCTCTTCATAGAGCAGTTTTGAAAACCTCTTTTTGTAGAATCTGCAAGTGGATATTCGGACCACTTTGAGGCCTTCATAGGAAACAGTAATATCATCACACAAAAACTAGATAGAAGCATTGTCAGAAAGTTCGTTGTGATGTGTGAATTCAACTCACAGAGTTGTAGCTTCCTTTAATAGAGCAGTTTTGAAACACTCTTTTTCTAGAGTCTGCAAGTAGATATTTGGAGCGCTTTGAGGCCTTCGTTGGAAACCGGAATATCTTCACATAAAAAGTAGATAGAGGCATGCTCAGAAACTTTTTTGTCATATGTAGATTCAACTCACAGCGTTGAACCTTTCTTTTGATAGAGCAGTTTTGAAAAACTCTTTTATCGAATCTGCAAGTAGACATTTGGAGTGCTTTGACGGCTCTGGTGCAAAAGGAAATGTCTTCCCATAGAAACTAGACTGAAGCATTCTCAGCAACTTCTTGGTGACGTTTGCATTCATCTCACAGTGTTGAACATACCTTTCCATAGAGTGGTTTTGAAACACTGTTTTTGTAGAATCGGCAAGTGGGTGTTTGGACTGCTTTGAGGCCTTCATCGGAAACGGGAATATCTTCACATAAACACTAGAGAGAAGCACTCTCAGAAACTTCTTTGTGATCTGTCCATTCAACTCACAGAGTTGAACCTTCCTTTTTCTGGAGCAGTTTTGAAACACTCTTTTTGGAGAATCTGCAAGTGGATATTTGGAGCGCTTTGAGGCCTATGGTAGAAAAAGAAATATCTGCCTCTAAAAACCAGACAGAAGCATTCCGAGAAACTTCTCTGTGATGTTTGCATTCAAGTAGCAGAGTTGAACCTTCCTTTTGATAGGGTAGTTTGGAAACACTCTTTTTGTAGAATCTGCATGTGGATATCTGTAGCGGTTTGAGGCCTACGGTCAAAAAGGAAATATCTTCCTGGGAAAAATAGACGAAAGCATTCTCAGAAAGGGCTTTGTGATATGCGCATTCGACTCACCGAGTTGAAACTTTTTTTTGATAGAGCAGTTTTGAAACACTCTGTAGAACCTGAAAGTGGATATTTGGAGCTCTTTCAGGGCTATGACGGAAAAGAAAATATATTCACATTAAAGTAGACAGCAGCATTCTCAGAAACTTCTTTAGGATGTTTGCAGTAAACTCACAGAGTTGAACCTACCTTTCCGTAGAGCAGTTTTGAAACACTTTGTTTGTGGGATCCGCAAGTGGATATTTGGACCGCTTTGAGACCTTTGCTGGAAATGGGAATATCTTCACATATAAACTAGACAGAAGCATTCTCAGAAACTTCCTCTTGATGTGTGCATTCTACTCCCGAATTTGAATCTTCCTTTTCATGAAGCAGTTTTGAAACACTCTGTTTGTGCAATCCACAATTGGATAATTGGAACGCTTTGATGCCCATGGTAGAAAAGGAAATATCCTCATATAAAAACTAGACAGAAGGATTCACAGAAAATGCTTTGTGATGTGTGCATTCAAATCACCGGAGTTGAATCTTTCTTTTGTTAGAGCAGTTTTGAAACACTGTTTCTGTGGAATCTGCCAGCGGACACTTGGAGCGCTTTGAGGGCTATGGTGGAGAAGGAAATATCTTCACATAAAAACTAGAAAGAAGCATTCTCGGAAACATTTATGTGAAGCGTGCCTTCAACTCACAGAGTTGAACCTTCCTTTTGATAGAACAGTTTTGAAACACTCTTTTGAACAATTGCAGGTGAATCTTTGGAGCGCTTTGAAGGCTTTGTTGGAAATGGGAATATCTTCCCACACAAACTAGCCAGAAGCATTCTCAGAAACTTCTTTGTGATGTGTGCGTTGAACCCAGCAGAGATGAACCTTTCCTTTGATAGAGCAGTTTTGAAACGTGTTTTTGTAAGGTCTGCAAGCGGATAATGGGCTTCGCTTTGTGTCCTTTGGTGGAAACGGGAATATCTTCTAATAAAAACTAGACAGAAATATTCTCAGAATCTCCTTTGTGATGTGGGCATTCAACTTACACAGTTGAACATTTCTTTTCACAGAGCAGTTTTGAAACACTCTTTTGGTAGAATCTGCCAGTGGATATTTGGAGCGCTTGGAGGGCTATTGTGCCAATGGAAATATCTGCCCCTGAAAACTAGACAGAAGCATTCTCAGAAACTGCTTTGTGATGTTTGCATTCAACTCACAGAGTTGAACCTACCTCTTCATAGAGCAGTTTGGAAAACCTCTTCTTGTAGAATCTGCAAGTGGGTATTCGGACCACTTTGAGGCCTTCATAAGAAACAGTAATATCTTCACATAAAAACTAGATAGAAGCATTGTCAGAAAGCTCTTTGTGATGTGTGAATTCAACTCACAGAGTTGAACCTTCCTTTAATAGAGTAGTTTTGAAACACTCTTTTTCTAGAATCTGCAAGTAGATATTTGGAGTGCTTTGAGGCCTTCGTTGGAAACCGGAATATCTTCACAGGAAAAGTAGATAGAGGCATTCTCAGAAACTTTTTTGTGATATGTAGATTCATCTCACAGCGTTGAACCTTTCTTTTGATAGAGTAGTTTGGAAAAACTCTTTTATCGAATCTGCAAGTAGACATTTGGAGTGCTTTGAGGGCTGTGGTGCAAAAGGAAATGTCTTCCCATAGAAACTAGACTGAAGCATTCTCAGCAACTTCTTTGTGACGTTTGCATTGATCTCACAGTGTTGAACATACCTTTGCATAGAGTAGTTTTGAAACACTATTTTTGTAGAATCTGCAAGTGGATATTTGGACTGCTTTGAGGCCTTCATCGGAAACGGGAATATCTTCACATAAACACTGGACAGAAGCATCCTCAGAAACTTCTTTGTCATCTGTCCATTCAACTCACAGAGTTGAACCTTCCTTTTTCTGGAGCAGTTTTGAAACACTCTTTTTGGAGAATCTGCAAGTGGATATTTGGAGCGCTTTGAGGCCTATGGTAGAAAAAGAAATATCTGCCCCTAAACACCAGACAGAAGCATTCCGAGAAACTTCTTTGTGATGTTTGCATTCAACTAGCAGAGTTGAACCTTCCTTTTGATAGGGCAGTTTGGAAACACTCTTTTTGTAGAACCTGCATGTGGATATCTGGAGCGGTTTGAGGCCTACGGTCAAAAAGGAAATATCTTCCTGGGAAAAATAGACGAAAGCATTCTCAGAAACTGCTTTGTGATATGTGCATTCGACTCTCCGAGTTGAAACTTTTTTTTGATAGAGCAGTTTTGAAACACTCTGTAGAATCTGAAAGTGGATATTTGGAGCTCTTCGAGGGCTATGGCGGAAAAGAAAATATATTCACATTAAACTAGACAGCAAGCATTCCCAGAAACTTCTTTAGGTTGTTTGCAGTAAACTCACAGAGTTGAACACACCTTTCCGTAGAGCAGTTTTGAAACACTCTGTTTGTGGGATCCGCAAGTGGATATTTGGACCCCTTTGAGACCTTTGCTGGAAACGGGAATATCTTCACATATAAACTAGACAGAAGCATTCTCAGAAACTTCTTCGGTGATGTGTGCATTGTACTCCCAAATTTGAATCTTCCTTCTCATGGAGCAGTTTTGAAACACTCTGTTTGTGCAATCTACAATTGGAGAATTGGAACGCTTGGATTCCCATGGTAGAAAAGGAAATATCCTCATATAAAAACTAGACAGAAGGATTCACAGAAAATGCTTTGTGATGTGTGCATTCAAATCACGGAGTTGAATCTTTCTTTTGTTAGAGCAGTTTTGAAAGACTGTTTCTGTGGAATCTGCCAGCGGACACTTGGAGCGCTTTGAGGGCTACGGTGGAGAAGGAAATATCTTCACATAAAAACTAGAAAGAAGCATTCTCAGAAACATTTATGTGAAGCGTGCATTCAACTCACAGAGTTGAACCTTCCTTTTGATACAACAGTTTTGAAACACTCTTTTGAACAATTGCAGGTGAATCTTTGGAGCGCTTTGAAGCCTTTGTTGGAAATGGGAATATCTTCACACACAAACTATCCAGAAGCATTCTCGGAAACTTCTTTGTGATGTGTGCGTTGAACCCAGAGAGATGAACCTTTCCTTTGATAGAGCAGTTTTGAAACGTGTTTTTGTAAGATCTGCAAGCGGATAGTTGGCTTCGCTTTGTGTCCTTTGGTGGAAACGGGAATATCTTCTAATAAAAACTAGACAGAAATATTCTCAGAATCTTCTTCGTGATGTGGGCATTCAACTAACACAGTTGAACCTTTCTTTTCACAGAGCAGTTTTGAAACACCCTTTTGGTAGAATCTGCCAGTGGATATTTGGAGCGCTTTGAGGGCTATTGTGCCAACGGAAATATCTGCCCCTAAAAACTAGACAGAAGCATTCTCAGAAACTGCTTCGTGATGTTTGCATTCAACTCACAGGGTTGAACATACCTCTGCATGGAGCAGTTTTGAAAACCTCTTTTTGTAGAATCTGCAAGTGGATATTCGGACCACTTTGAGGCCTTCATAGGAAACAGTAATATCTTCACATAAAAACTAGATAGAAGCATTGTCAGAAAGTTCTTTGTGATGTGTGAATTCAACTCACAGAGTTGAACCTTCCTTCAATAGAGCAGTTGTGAAACATTCTTTTTCTAGAATCTGCAAGTAGATACTTGGAGCGCTTTGAGGCCTTCGTTGGAAACCGGAATATCTTCACAGGAAAAGTAGATAGAGGCATTCTCAGAAACTTTTTTGTGATATGTAGATTCAACTCACAGCGTTGAACCTTTCTTTGGATGGAGCAGTTTTGAAAAACTCTTTTATCGAATCTGCAGGTAGACATTTGGGGTGCTTTGAGGGCTGTGGTGCAAAAGGAAATGTTCTTCCCATAGAAACTAGACTGAAGCATTCTCAGCAACTTCTTGGTGACGTTTGCATTCATCTCACAGTGTTGAACATACCTTTCCATAGAGTGGTTTTGAAGCACTGTTTCTGTAGAATCGGCAAGTGGATATTTGGACTGCTTTGAGGCCTTCATCGGAAACGGGAATATCTTCACATAAACACTAGAGAGAAGCATTCTCAGAAACTTCTTTGTCATCTGTCCATTCAACTCACAGAGTTGAACCTTCCTTTTTATGGAGCAGTTTTGAAACACTCCTTTTGGAGAATCTGCAAGTGGATATTTGGAGCGCTTTGAGGCCTATGGTAGAAAAAGAAATATCTGCCTCTAAAAACCAGACGGAAGCATTCCGAGAAACTTCTGTGTGATGTTTGCATTCAACTAGCAGAGTTGAACCTTCCTTTTGATAGGGCAGTTTGGAAACACTCTTTTTGTAGAATCTGCATGTGGATATCTGGAGCGGTTTGAGGCCTACGGTCAAAAAGGAAATATCTTCCTGGGAAAAATAGACGAAAGCATTCTCAGAAAGTGCTTTGTGATATGTGCATTCGACTCAGCGAGCTGAAACTTTTTTTTGATAGAGCAGTTTTGAAACACTCTGTAGAATCTGAAAGTGGATATTTGGAGCTCTTTGAGGGCTATGGCGGAAAAGAAAATATATTCACATTAAAAAAGTAGACAGCAGCATTCTCAGAAACTTCTTTAGGATGTTTGCAGTAAACTCGCAGAGTTTAACATACCTTTCCGTAGAGCAGTTTTGAAACACTCTGTTTGTGGGATCCGCAAGTGGATATTTGGACCGCTTTGAGACCTTTGCTGGAAATGGGAATATCTTCACGTATAAACTAGACAGAAGCATTCTCAGAAACTTCTTTTTGATGTGTGCATTGTACTCCCAAATTTGAATCTTCCTTCTCATGTAGCAGTTTTGAAACACTCTGTTTGTGCAATCTACAATTGGATAATTGGAACCCTTTGATGCCCATGGTAGAAAAGGAAATATCCTCATATAAAAACTAGACAGAAGGATTCACAGAAAATGCTTTGTGATGTGTGCATTCAAATCACGGAGTTGAATCTTTCTTTTGTTAGAGCAGTTTTGAAACACTCTTTCTGTGGAATCTGCCAGCGGACACTTGGAGTGCTTTGAGGGCTGTGGTGGAGAAGGAAATATCTTCCCATAAAAACTAGAAAGAAGCATTCTCAGAAACATTTATGTGAAGCGTGCATTCAACTCACAGAGTTGAACCTTCCTTTTGATACAACAGTTTTGAAACACGCTTTTGAACAATTGCAGGTGAATCTTTGGAGCGCTTTGAAGCCTTTGTTGGAAATGGGAATATCTTCACACACAAACTAGCCAGAAGCATTCTCAGAAACTTCTTTGTGATGTGTGCGTTGAACCCAGAGAGATGAACCTTTCCTTTGATAGAGCAGTTTTGAAACGTGTTTTTGTAAGATCTGCAAGTGGATAATTGTCTTCGCTTTGTGTCCTTTGGTGGAAACGGGAATATCTTCTAATAAAAACTAGACAGAGATATTCTCAGAAATTTCTTTGTGATGTGGGCATTCATCTAACACAGTCGAAGATTTCTTTTCACAGAGCAGTTTTGAAACACTCTTTTGGTCGAATCTGCCAGTGGATATTTGGAGCGCTTTGAGGGCTATTGTGCCAATGGAAATATCTGCCCCTAAAAACTAGACAGAAGCATTCTCAGAAACTACTTTGTGATGTTTGCATTCAACTCACAGAGTTGAACATACCTCTTCATAGAGCAGTTTTGAAAACCTCTTTTGGTAGAATCTGCAAGTAGATATTCGGACCACTTTGAGGCCTTCATAGGAAACAGTAATACCTTCACATAAAAACTAGATAGAAGCATTGTCAGGAAGTTCTTTGTGATGTGTGAATTAAACTCACAGAGTTGAAACTTCCTTTAATAGAGCAGTGTTGAAACACTCTTTTTCTAGAATCTGCAAGGAGATATTTGGGGCGCTTGGAGGCCTTCGTTGTAAACCGGAATATCTTCACAGGAAATGTAGATAGACGCATTCTCAGAAACTCTTTGTGATATGTAGATTCAACTCACAGCGTTGAACCTTTCTTTGGATGGAGCAGTTTTGAAAAACTCTTTTATCGAATCTGCAGGTAGACATTTGGGGTGCTTTGAGGGCTGTGGTGCAAAAGGAAATGTCTTCCCATAGAAACTAGCCTGAAGCATTCTCAGCAAATTCCTTGTGACGTTTGCATTCATCTCACAGTGTTGAACATACCTTTCCATAGAGTAGTTTTGAAACACTATTTTTGTAGAATCTGCAAGTGGATATTTGGACTGCTTTGAGGCCTTCATCGGAAACGGGAATATCTTCACATAAACACTAGACAGAAGCATTCTCAGAAACTTCTTTGTGATCTCTCCATTCAACTCACAGAGTTGAACCTTCCTTTTTATGGAGCAGTTTTGAAACACTCCTTTTGGAGAATCTGCAAGTGGATATTTGGAGCGCGTTGAGGCCTATGGTAGAAAAAGAAATATCTGCCTCTAAAAACCAGACAGAAGCATTCTGAGAAACTTCTTTGTGATGTTTGCCTTCAACTACCAGAGTTGAACCTTCCTTTTGATAGGGCAGTTTGGAAACACTCTTTTTGTAGAATCTGCATGTGGATATCTGGAACGATTTGAGGCCTACGGTCCAAAAGGAAATATCTTCCTGGGAAAGATAGACGAAAGCATTCTCAGAAAGTGCTTTGTGATATGTGCATTCGACTCACCGAGTTGAAACCTTTTTTTGATAGAGCAGTTTTGAAACACTCTGTAGAATCTGAAAGTGGATATTTGGAGCTCTTTGAGGGCTATGGCGGAAAAGAAAATATATTCACATTAAAGTAGACAGCAGCATTCTCAGAAACTTCTTTAGGATGTTTGCAGTAAACTCACAGAGTTGAACATACCTTTCCGTAGAGCAGTTTTGAAACACTCTGTCTGTGGGATCCGCAAGTGGATATTTGGGCCGCTTTGAGACCTTTGCTGGAAATGGGAATATCTTCACATATAAACTAGACAGAAGCATTCTCAGAAACTTCCTCGTGATGTGTGCATTCTACTCCCGAATTTGAATCTTCCTTTTCATGAAGCAGTTTTGAAACACTCTGTTTGTGCAATCCACAATTGGATAATTGGAACGCTTTGATGCCCATGGTAGAAAAGGAAATATCCTCATATAAAAACTAGACAGAAGGATTCACAGAAAATGCTATGTGATGTGTGCATTCAAATCACGGAGTTGAATCTTTCTTTTGTCAGAGCAGTTTTGAAACACTGTTTCTGTGGAATCTGCCAGCGGACACTTGGAGCGCTTTGAGGGCTATGGTGGAGAAGGAAATATCTTCCCATAAAAACTAGAAAGAAATATTCTCAGAATCTTCTTTGTGATGTGGGCATTCAACTAACACAGTTGAACATTTCTTTTCACAGAACAGTTTTGAAACACTCTTTTGAACAATTGCAGGTGAATCTTTGGAGCGCTTTGAAGCCTTTGTTGGAAATAGGAATATATTCACACACAAACTAGCCAGAAGCATTCTCAGAAACTTCTTTGTGATGTGTGCGTTGAACCCAGAGAGATGAACCTTTCCTTGGATAGAGCAGTTTTGAAACGTGTTTTTGTAAGATCTGCAAGTGGATAATTGGCTTCGCTTTGTGTCCTTTGGTGGAAACGGGAATATCTTCTAATAAAAACTAGACAGAAATATTCTCACAATCGTCTTTGTGATGTGGGCATTCAACTAACACAGTTGAACATTTCTTTTCACAGAGCAGTTTTGAAACACTCTTTTGCTAGAATCTGCCAGTGGATACTTGGAGCGCTTTGAGGGCTATTGTGCCAATGGAGATATCTTCCCCTAAAAACTAGACAGAATCATTCTCAGAAACTGCTTTGTGATGTTTGCATTCAACTCACAGAGTTGAACCTACCTCTTCATAGAGCAGTTTGGAAAACCTCTTCTTGTAGAATCTGCAAGTGGATATTCGGACCACTTTGAGACCTTCATAGGAAACAGTAATATCTTCACATAAAAACTAGATAGAAGAATTGTCAGAAAGTTCTTTGTGATGTGTGAATTCAACTCACAGAGTTGAACCTTCCTTTAATAGAGTAGTTTTGAAACACTCTTTTTCTAGAATCTGCCAGTAGATATTTGGAGCGCTTTGAGGCCTTCGTTGGAAACCGGAATATCTTCACATAAAAAGTAGATAGAGGCATTCTCAGAAACTTTTTCGTGTTATGTGGATTCAACTCACAGCGTTGAACCTTTCTTTTGATAGAGCAGTTTTGTAAAACTCTTTTATCGAATCTGCAAGTAGACATTTGGAGTGCTTTGAGGGCTGTGGTGCAAAAGGAAATGTCTTCCCATAGAAACTAGACTGAAGCATTCTCAGCAACTTCTTGGTGACGTTTGCATTCATCTCACAGTGTTGAACATACGTTTCCATAGAGTGGTTTTGAAACACTGTTTTTGTAGAATCGGCAAGTGGATATTTGGACTGCTTTCAGGCCTTCATCGGAAACGGGAATATTCTTCACATAAACACTAGAGAGAAGCATTCTCAGAAACTTCTTTGTGATCTGTCCATTCAACTCACAGAGTTGAACCTTCCTTTTTATGGAGCAGTTTTGAAACACTGTTTTTGGAGAATCTGCAAGTGGATATTTGGAGCGCTTTGAGGCCTATGGTAGAAAAATAAATATCTGCCTCTAAAAACTAGACAGAAGCATTCTGAGAAACTTCTTTGTGATGTTTGCATTCAACTACCAGGGTTGAACCTTGCTTTTGATAGGTCAGTTTTGAAACACTCTTTTTGTAGAATCTGCATGTGGATATCTGGAGCGATTTGAGGCCTACGGTCCAAAAGGAAATATCTTCCTGGGAAAAATAGACGAAAGCATTCTCAGAAACTGCTTTGTGATATGTGCATTCGACTCTCCGAGTTGAAACTTTTTTTGGATAGAGCAGTTTTGAAACACTCTGTAGAATCTGAAAGTGGATATTTGGAGCTCTTTGAGGGCTATGGCGGAAAAGAAAAGATATTCACATTAAACTAGACAGCAGCATTCTCAGAAACTTCTTTAGGATGTTTGCAGTAAACTCACAGAGTTGAACATACCTTTCCGTAGAGCAGTTTTGAAACACTCTGTTTGTGGGATCCGCAAGTGGATATTTGGACCGCTTTGAGACCTTTGCTGGAAATGGGAATATCTTCACGTATAAAATAGACAGAAGCATTCTCAGAAACTTCTTCGTGATGTGTGCATTCTCCTCCCGAATTTGAATCTTCTTTTTCATGAAGCAGTTTTGAAACACTCTGTTTGTGCAATCCACAATTGGATAATTGGAACGCTTTGATGCCCATGGTAGAAAAGGAAATATCCTCATATAAAAACTAGACAGAAGGATTCACAGAAAATGCTTTGTGAAGTGTGCATTCAAATCACGGAGTTGAATCTTTCTTTTGTTAGAGCAGTTTTGAAACACTGTTTCTGTGGAATCTGCCAGCGGACACTTGGAGCGCTTTGAGGGCTGTGGTGGAGAAGGAAATATCTTCCCATAAAAACTAGAAAGAAGCATTCTCAGAACCATTTATGTGAAGCGTGCATTCAACTCACAGAGTTGAACCTTCCTTTTGATAGAACAGTTTTGAAACACTCTTTTGTACAATTGCAGGTGAATATTTGGAGGGCTTTGAAGCCTTTGTTGGAAATGGGAATATCTTCACACACAAAGTAGCCAGAAGCATTCTCAGAAACTTCTTTGTGATGTGTGCGTTGAACCCAGAGAGATGAACCTTTCCTTTGATAGAGCAGTTTTGAAACGTGTTTTTGTAAGATCTGCAAGGGGATAATGGGCTTCGCTTTGTGTCCTTTGGTGGAAACGGGAATATCTTCTAATAAAAACTAGACAGAAGCATTCTCAGAAACTTCTTTGTGATGTGTCCATTCAACTCACAGAGTTGAACCTTCCTTTTTATGGAGCCGTTTTGAAACACTGTTTTTGTAGAATCTGCAAGTGGATATTTGGAGCGCTTTGAAGCCTATGGTAGAGAAAGAAATATCTGCATATCAAAACTAGACAGAAGCATTCTCAGAAACTGCTTTGTGATGTTTGCATTCAACTACCAGAGTTGAACTTCCCTCTTCATAGAGCAGTTTTGAAATCCTCTTTTTGTAGAATCTGCAAGTGGATATTTGGACCACTTTGAGGCCTTCAGAAGAAATAGTAATATCTTCACATAAAAACTAGATAGTAGCATTCTCAGAAACTTCTTTGTGATGTGTGAATTCAACTCACAGAGTAGAACCTTCCTTCAATAGAGCAGTTTTCAAACACTCTTTTGGTAGAATCTGCAAGTAGATATTTGGAGCACTTTGAGGCCTTCATTGGAAACTGGAATATCTTCACATAAAAAGTAGATAGAGGCATGCTCAGAAACTTTTTTGTCATATGTAGATTCAACTCACAGCGTTGAACCTTTCTTTTGATAGAGCAGTTTCGAAAAACTCTTTTATCGAATCTGCAAGTAGACATTTGGAGTGCTTTGAGGGCTCTGGTGCAAAAGGAAATGTCTTCCCATAGAAACTAGACTGAAGCATTCTCAGCAACTTCTTTGTGACGTTTGCATTCATCTCACAGTGTTGAACATACCTTTCCATAGAGAAGTTTTGAAACACTAATTTTGTAGAATCTGCAAGTGGATATTTGGACTGCTTTGAGGCCTTCATCGGAAACGGGAATATCTTCACATAAACACTAGACAGAAGCATTCTCAGAAACTACTTTGTGATCTGTCCATTCAACTCACAGAGTTGAACCTTCCTTTTTATGGAGCAGTTTTGAAACACTGTTTTTGGAGAATCTGCAAGTGGATATTTAGAGCGCTTTGAGGCCTATGGTAGAAAAAGAAATATCTGCCTCTAAAAACTAGACAGAAGCATTCCGAGAAACTTCTTTGTGATGTTTGCATTCAACTAGCAGAGTTGAACCTTCCTTTTGATAGGGCAGTTTGGAAACACTCTTTTTGTAGAACCCGCATGTGGATATCTGGAGCGGTTTGAGGCCTACGGTCAAAAAGGAAATATCTTCCTGGGAAAAATAGACGAAAGCATTCTCAGAAAGTGCTTTGTGATATGTGCATTCGACTCACCGAGTTGAAACTTTTTTTTGATAGAGCAGTTTTGAAACACTCTGCAGAATCTGAAAGTGGATATTTGGAGCTCTTTGAGGGCTATGGCGGAAAAGAAATTATATTCACATTAAAGTAGACAGCAGCATGCCCAGAAACTTCTTTAGGATGTTTGCAGTAAACTCACAGAGTTGAACATACCTTTCCGTAGAGCAGTTTTGAAACACTCTGTTTGTGGGATCCGCAAGTGGATATTTGGACCGCTTTGAGACCTTTGCTGGAAACGGGAATATCTTCACATATAAACTAGACAGAAGCATTCTCAGAAACTTCCTCGTGATGTGTGCATTCTACTCCCGAATTTGAATCTTCCTTTTCATGAAGCAGTTTTCAAACACTCTGTTTGTGCAATCCACAATTGGATAATTGGAACGCTTTGATGCCCATGGTAGAAAAGGAAATATCCTCATATAAAAACTAGACAGAAGGATTCACAGAAAATGCTTTGTGATGTGTGCTTTCAAATCACGGAGTTGAATCTTTCTTTTGTCAGAGCAGTTTTGAAACACTGTTTCTGTGGAATCTGCCAGCGGACACTTGGAGCGCTTTGAGGGCTGTGGTGGAGAAGGAAATATCTTCCCATAAAAACTAGAAAGAGAAGCATTCTCAGAAACATTTATGTGAAGCGTGCATTCAACTCACAGAGTTGAACCTTCCTTTGGATACAACAGTTTTGAAACACTCTTTTGAACAATTGCAGGTGAATCTTTGGAGCGCTTTGAAGCCTTTGTTGGAAATGGGAATATCTTCACACACAAACTAACCAGAAGCATTCTCAGAAACTTCTTTGTGATGTGTGCGTTGAACCCAGAGAGATGAACCTTTCCGTTGATAGAGCAGTTTTGAAACGTGTTTTTGTAAGATCGGCAAGCGGATAATTGGCTTCGCTTTGTGTCCTTTGGTGGAAACGGGAATATCTTCTAATAAAAACTAGACAGAAATATTCTCAGAATCTCCTTTGTGATGTGGGCATTCAACTAACACAGTTGAACATTTCTTTTCACAGAGCAGTTTTGAAACACACTTTTGGTCGAATCTGCCAGTGGATATTTGGAGCGCTTTGAGGGCTGTTGTGCCAATGGAAATATCTGCCCCTAAAATCTAGACAGAAGCATTCTCAGAAACTACTTCGTGATGTTTGCATTCAACTCAGAGAGTTGAACATACCTCTTCACAGAGCACTTTTGAAAACCTCTTTTTGTAGAATCTGCAAGTGGATATTCGGAGCACTTTGAGGCCTTCATAGGAAACAGTAATATCTTCGCATAAAAACTAGATAGAAGCATTGTCAGAAAGTTCTTTGTGATGTGTGAATTCAACTCACAGAGTTGAACCTTCCTTTAATAGAGCAGTTTTGAAACACTCTTTTTCGAGAATCTGCCAGTAGATATTTGGAGCGCTTTGAGGCCTTCGTTGGAAACCGGAATATCTTCACATAAAAAGTAGATAGAGGCATTCTCAGAAACTTTTTTGTGATATGTAGATTCAACTCACAGCGTTGAATCTTTCTTTGGATGGAGCAGTTTTGAAAAACTCTTTTATCGAATCTGCAGGTAGACATTTGGGGTGCTTTGCGGGCTCTGGTGCAAAAGGAAAAGTCTTCCCATAGAAACTAGACTGAAGCATTCTCAGCAACTTCTTTGTGACGTTTGCATTCATCTCACAGTGTTGAACATACCTTTCCATCGAGTACTTTTGAAACACTGTTTTTGTAGAATCTGCAAGTGGATATGTGGACTGCTTTGAGGCCTTCATCGGAAACGGGAATATCTTCACATAAACACTAGAGAGAAGCATTCTCAGAAACTTCTTTGTGGTCTGTCCATTCAAATCACAGAGTTGAACCTTCCTTTTTATGGAGCAGTTTTGAAACACTGTTTTTGGAGAATCTGCAAGTGGATATTTGGAGCGCTTTGAGGCCTATGGTAGAAAAAGAAATATCTGCCTATGACAAATAGACAGAAGCATTCTGAGAAACTTCTTTGTGATGTTTGCATTCAACTACCAGAGTTGAACCTTCCTTTTGATAGGGCAGTTTGGAAACACTCTTTTTGTAGAATCTGCATGTGGATATCTGGAGTGATTTGAGGCCTACGGTCCAAAAGGAAATATCTTCCTGGGAAAAAAAGACGAAAGAATTCTCAGAAACTGCTTTGTGATATGTGCATTCGACTCACCGAGTTGAAACTTTTTTTTGATAGAGCAGTTTTGAAACACTCTGTAGAATCTGAAAGTGGATATTTGGAGCTCTTTGAGGGCTATGGCGGAAAAGAAAATATATTCACATTAAACTAGACAGCAGCATTCCCAGAAACTTCTTTAGGATGTTTGCAGTAAACTCACAGAGTTGAACATACCTTTCCGTAGAGCAGTTTTGAAACACTCTGTTTGTGGGATCCGCAAGTGGATATTTGGACCGCTTTGAGACCTTTGCTGGAAACGGGAATATCTTCACATATAAACTAGATAGAAGCATTCTCAGAAACGTCTTCGTGATGTGTGCATTGTACTCCCAAATTTGAATCTTCCTTCTCATGGAGCAGTTTTGAAACACTCTGTTTGTGCAATCTACAATTGGAGAATTGGAAGGCTTAGATGACCGTGGTAGAAAAGGAAATATCCTCATATAAAAACTAGACAGAAGGATTCACAGAAAATGCTTTGTGATGTGTGCATTCAAATCACGGAGTTGAATCTTTCTTTTGTTAGAGCAGTTTTGAAACACTGTTTCTGTGGAATCTGCCAGCGGACACTTGGAGCGCTTTGAGGGTTATGGTGGAGAAGGAAATATCTTCACATAAAAACTAGAAAGAAAGCATTCTCAGTAAACATTTATGTGAAGCGTGCATTCAACTCACAGAGTTGAACCTTCCTTTGGATACAACAGTTTTGAAACACTCTTTTGAACAATTGCAGGTGAATCTTTGGAGCGCTTTGAAGCCTTTGTTGGAAATGGGAATATCTTCACACACAAACTAGCCAGAAGCATTCTCAGAAACTTCTTTGTGATGTGTGCGTTGAACCCAGAGAGATGAACCTTTCCTTGGATAGAGCAGTTTTGAAACGTGTTTTTGTAAGATCGGCAAGCGGATAATTGGCTTCGCTTTGTGTCCTTTGGTGGAAACGGGAATATCTTCTAATAAAAACTAGACAGAAATATTCTCACAATCATCTTTGTAATGTGGGCATTCAACTAACACAGTTGAACATTTCTTTTCACAGAGCAGTTTTGAAACACTCTTTTCCTAGAATCTGCCAGTGGATACTTGGAGCGCTTTGAGGGCTATTGTGCCAATGGAGATATCTTCCCCTAAAAACTAGACAGAAGCATTCTCAGAAACTGCTTCGTGATGTTTGCATTCAACTCACAGGGTTGAACATACCTCTGCATAGAGCAGTTTTGAAAACCTCTTTTTGTAGAATCTGCCAGTGGATATTCGGACCACTTTGAGGCCTTCATAGGAAACAGTAATATCTTCACATAAAAACTAGATAGAAGCATTGTCAGAAAGTTCTTTGTGATGTGTGAATTCAACTCACAGAGTTGAACCTTCCTTTAGTAGAGCAGTTTTGAAACACTCTTTTTCTAGAATATGCAAGTAGATATTTGGAGCGCTTTGAGGCCTTCGTTGAAAACCGGAATATCTTCACATAGAAAGTAGATAGAGGCATTCTCAGAAACTTTTTTGTGATATGTTGATTCATCTGACAGCGTTGAACCTTTCTTTTGATAGAGCAGTTTTGAAAAACTCTTTTGTTGAATCTGCAAGTAGACATTTGGAGTGCTTTGAGGGCTGTGGTGCCAAAGGAAATGTCTTCCCATGGAAACTAGACTGAAAGCATTCTCAGCAACTTCTTTGTGACGTTTGCATTGATCTCACAGTGTTGAACATACCTTTGCATAGAGTAGTTTTGAAACACTATTTTTGTAGAATCTGCAAGTGGATATTTGGACTGCTTTGAGGCCTCCATCGGAAACGGGAATATCTTCACATAAACACTGGACAGAAGCATTCTCAGAAACTTCTTTGTGATCTGTCCATTCAACTCACAGAGTTGAACCTTCCTTTTTATGGAGCAGTTTTGAATCACTGTGTTTGGAGAATCTGCAAGTGGATATTTCGAGCGCTTTGAGGCCTATGGTAGAAAAAGAAATATCTGCCTCTAAAAACCAGACAGAAGCATTCCGAGAAACTTCTTTGTGATGTTTGCATTCAACTAGCAGAGTTGAACCTTCCTTTTGATAGGGCAGTTTGGAAACACTCTTTTTGTAGAATCTGCATGTGGATATCTGGAGCGGTTTGAGGCCTACGGTCAAAAAGGAAATATCTTCCTGGGAAAAATTGACGAAAGCATTCTCAGAAAGTGCTTTGTGATATGTGCATTCGACTCACCGAGTTGAAACTTTTTTTTGATACAGCAGTTTTGAAACACTCTGTAGAATCTGAAAGTGGATATTTGGAGCTCTTTGAGGGCTATGGCGGAAAAGAAAATATATTCACATTAAAGTAGACAGCAGCATTCTCAGAAACTTCTTTAGGATGTTTGCAGTAAACTCACAGAGTTGAACCTACCTTTCTGTAGAGCAGTTTTGAAACACTCTGTTTGTGGGATCCGCAAGGGGATATTTGGACCGCTTTGAGACCTTTGCTGGAAATGGGAATATCTTCACATATAAACTAGACAGAAGCATTCTCAGAAACTTCTTCGTGTTGTGTGCATTCTCCTCCCGAATTTGAATCTTCCTTTTCATGAAGCAGTTTTGAAACACTCTGTTTGTGCAATCCACAATTGGATAATTGGAACGCTTTGATGCCCATGGTAGAAAAGGAAATATCCTCATATAAAAACTAGACAGAAGGATTCACAGAAAATGCTTTGTGATGTGTGCATTCAAATCACGGAGTTGAATCTTTCTTTTGTCAGAGCAGTTTTGAAACACTGTTTCTGTGGAATCTGCCAGGGGACACTTGGAGCGCTTTGAGGGCTATGGTGGAGAAGGAAATATCTTCCCATAAAAACTAGAGAGAAGCATTCTCAGAAACATTTATGTGAAGCGTGCATTCAACTCACAGAGTTGAACCTTCCTTTTGATAGAACAGTTTTGAAACACTCTTTTGAACAATTGCAGGTGAATCTTTGGAGCGCTTTGAAGCCTTTGTTGGAATTGGGAATATCTTCACACACAAACTAGCCAGAAGCATTCTCAGAAACTTCTTTGTGATGCGTGCGTTGAACCCAGAGAGATGAACCTTTCCTTTGATAGAGCAGTTTTGAAACGTGTTTTTGTAAGGTCTGCAAGCGGATAATCGGCTTCGCTTTGTGTCCTTTGGTGGAAACGGGAATATCTTCTAATAAAAACTAGACAGAAATATTCTCAGAATCTCCTTTGTGATGTGGGCATTCAACTAACACAGTTGAACATTTCTTTTCACAGAGCAGTTTTGAAACACTCTTTTGGTAGAATCTGCCAGTGGATATTTGGAGCGCTTGGAGGGCTACTGTGCCAATGGAAATATCTGCCCCTGAAAACTAGACAGAAGCATTCTCAGAAACTACTTCGTGATGTTTGCATTCAACACACAGAGTTGAACATACCTCTTCACAGAGCAGTTTTGAAAACCTCTTTCTGGAGAATCTGCAAGTGGATATTCGGACCACTTTGAGGCCTTCATAGGAAACAGTAATATCTTCACATAAAAACTAGATAGAAGCATGGTCAGAAAGTTCTTTGTGATGTGTGAATTCAACTCACAGAGTTGAACCTTCCTTTAATAGAGCAGTTTTGAAACACTCTTTTTCTAGAATCTGCAAGTAGATATTTGGAGCGCTTTGAGGCCTTCGTTGGAAACCGGAATATCTTCACAGGAAAAGTAGATAGAGGCATTCTCAGAAGCTTTTTTGTGATATGTAGATTCAACTCACAGTGTTGAACCTTTCTTTGGATGGAGCAGTTTTGAAAAACTCTTTTATCGAATCTGCAGGTAGACATTCGGGGTGCTTTGAGGGCTGTGGTGCAAAAGGAAATGTCTTCCCATAGAAACTAGACTGAAGCATTCTCAGCAACTTCTTGGTGACGTTTGCATTCATCTCACAGTGTTGAACATACCTTTCCATAGAGTGGTTTTGAAACACTGTTTTTGTAGAATCGGCAAGTGGATATTTGGACTGCTTTGAGGCCTTCATCGGAAACGGGAATATCTTCAAATAAACACTAGAGAGAAGCATTCTCAGAAACTTCTTTGTGGTCTGTCCATTCAACTCACAGAGTTGAACCTTCCTTTTTATGGAGCAGTTTTGAAACACTGTTTTCGGAGGATCTGCAAGTGGATATTTGGAGCACTTTGAGGCCTATGGTAGAAAAAGAAATATCTGCCTATGACAACTAGACAGAAGCATTCCGAGAAACTTCTCTGTGATGTTTGAATTCAAGTAGCAGAGTTGAACCTTCCTTTTGATAGGGTAGTTTGGAAACACTCTTTTTGTAGAATCTGCATGTGGATATCTGGAGCGGTTTGAGGCCTACGGTCAAAAAGGAAATATCTTCCTGGGAAAAATAGACGAAAGAATTCTCAGAAACTGCTTTGTGATATGTGCATTCGACTCACCGAGTTGAAACTTTTTTTTTGATAGAGCAGTTTTGAAACACTCTGTAGAATCTGAAAGTGGATATTTGGAGCTCTTTGAGGGCTATGGCGGAAAAGAAAATATATTCACATTAAACTAGACAGCAGCATTCCCAGAAACTTCTTTAGGATGTTTGCAGTAAACTCACAGAGTTGAACATACCTTTCCGTAGAGCAGTATTGAAACACTCTGTTTGTGGGATCCGCAAGTGGATATTTGGACCGCTTTGAGACCTTTGCTGGAAACGGGAATATCTTCACATATAAACTAGACAGAAGCATTCTCAGAAACTTCTTCGTGATGTGTGCATTCTCCTCGCGAATTTGAATCTTCCTTTTCATGAAGCAGTTTTGAAACACTCTGTTTGTGCAATCCACAATTGGATAATTGGAACGCTTTGATGCCCATGGTAGAAAAGGAAGTATCCTCATATAAAAACTAGACAGAAGGATTCACAGAAAATGCTTTGTGTTGTGTGCATTCAAATCACGGAGTTGAATCTTTCTTTTGTCAGAGCAGTTTTGAAACACTGTTTCTGTGGAATCTGCCAGCGGACACTTGGAGCGCTTTGAGGGCTATGGTGGAGAAGGAAATATCTTCCCATAAAAACTAGAAAGAAGCATTCTCGGAATCATTTATGTGAAGCGTGCCTTCAACTCACAGAGTTGAACCTTCCTTTTGATAGAACAGTTTTGAAACACTCTTTTGAACAATTGCAGGTGAATCTTTGGAGCGCTTTGAAGCCTTTGTTGGAAATGGGAATATCTTCACACACAAACTAGCCAGAAGCATTCTCAGAAACTTCTTTGTGATGTGTGCGTTGAACCCAGAGAGATGAACCTTTCCTTTGATAGAGCAGTTTTGAAACGTGTTTTTGTAAGATGCTGCAAGCGGATAATTGGCTTCGCTTTGTGTCCTTTGGTGGAAACGGGAATATCTTCTAATAAAAACTAGACAGAAATATTCTCAGAATCTTCTTTGTGATGTGGGCATTCAACAAACACAGTTGAACATTTCTTTTCACAGAGCAGTTTTGAAACACTCTTTTGGTAGAATCTGCCAGTGGATATTTGGAGCGCTTTGAGGGCTATTGTGCCAATGGAAATATCTTCCCCTAAAAACTAGACAGAAGCATTCTCAGAAACTACTTCGTGATGTCTGCATTCAACACACAGAGTTGAACATACCTCTTCAGAGAGCAGTTTTGAAAACCTCTTTCTGTAGAATCTGCAAGTGGATATTCGGGCCACTTTGAGGCCTTCATAGGAAACAGTAATATCTTCACATAAAAACTAGATAGAAGCATTGTCAGAAAGTTCTTTGTGATGTGTGAATTCAACTCACAGAGTTGAACCTTCCTTCAATAGAGCAGTTTTGAAACACTCTTTTTCTAGAATCTGCAAGTAGATATTTCGAGCGCTTTGAGGCCTTCGTTGGAAACCGGAATATCTTCACAGGAAAAGTAGATAGAGGCATTCTCAGAAACATTTTTGTGATATGTAGATTCAACTCACAGCGTTGAACCTTTCTTTGGATGGAGCAGTTTTGAAAAACTCTTTTATCGAATCTGCAGGTAGACATTTGGGGTGCTTTGAGGGCTGTGGTGCAAAAGGAAATGTCTTCCCATAGAAACTAGACTGAATCATTCTCAGCAACTTCTTGGTGACGTTTGCATTCATCTCACAGTGTTGAACATACCTTTGCATAGAGTAGTTTCGAAACACTATTTTTGTAGAATCTGCAAGTGGACATTTGGACTGCTTTGAGGCCTTCATCGGAAACGGGAATATCTTCACATAAACACTAGACAGAAGCATTCTCAGAAACTTCTTTGTGGTCTGTCCATTCAACTCACAGAGTTGAACCTTCCTTTTTATGGAGCAGTTTTGAAACACTGTTTTTGGAGGATCTGCAAGTGGATATTTGGAGCGCTTTGAGGCCCATCGTAGAAAAAGAAATATCTGCCTATGACAACTAGACAGAAGCATTCTGAGTAAACTTCTTTGTGATGTTTGCATTCAACTACCAGAGTTGAATCTTCCTTTTGATAGGGCAGTTTGGAAACACTCTTTTTGTAGAATCTGCATGTGGATATCTGGAGCGATTTGAGGCCTACGGTCCAAAAGGAAATATCTTCCTGGGAAAAATAGAGGAAAGCATTCTCAGAAAGTGCTTTGTGATATGTGCATTCGACTCACCGATTTGAAACCTTTTTTTGATAGAGCAGTTTTAAAACACACTGTAGAATCTGAAAGTGGATATTTGGAGCTCTTTGAGGGCTATGGCGGAAAAGAAAATATATTCACATTAAAGTAGACAGCAGCATTCCCAGAAACTTCTTTAGGATGTTTGCAGTAAACTCACAGAGTTGAACATACCTTTCCGTAGAGCAGCTTTGAAACACTCTGTTTGTGGGATCCGCAAGTGGATATTTGGACCGCTTTGAGACCTTTGCTGGAAACGGGAATATCTTCACATATAAACTGGACAGAAGCATTCTCAGAAACTTCTTCGTGATGTGTGCATTCTACTCCCGAATTTGAATCTTCCTTTTCATGAAGCAGTTTTGAAACACTCTGTTTGTGCAATCCACAATTGGATAATTGGAACGCTTTGATGTCCATGGTAGAAAAGGAAATATCCTCATATAAAAACTAGACAGAAGGATTCACAGAAAATGCTTTGTGATGTGTGCATTCAGATCACGGAGTTGAATCTTTCTTTTGTGAGAGCAGTTTTGAAACACTGTTTCTGTGCAATCTGCCAGCGGACACTTGGAGCGCTTTGAGGGCTATGGTGGAGAAGGAAATATCTTCACATAAAAACTAGAAAGAAGCATTCTCAGAAACATTTATGTGAAGCGTGCCTTCAACTCACAGAGTTGAACCTTCCTTTTGATACAACAGTTTTGAAACACTCTTTGGAACAATTGCAGGTGAATCTTTGGAGCGCTTTGAAGCCTTTGTTGGAAATGGGAATATCTTCACACACAAACTAGCCAGAAGCATTCCCAGAAACTTCTTTGTGATGTGTGCGTTGAACCCAGAGAGATGAACCTTTCCTTTGATAGAGCAGGTTTGAAACGTGTTTTTGTAAGATCTGCAAGCGGATAATTGGCTTTGCTTTGTGTCCCTTGGTGAAAACGGGAATATCTTCTAATAAAAACTAGACAGAAATATTCTCACAATCATCTTTGTGATGTGGGCATTCAACTAACACAGTTGAAGATTTCTTTTCACAGAGCAGTTTTGAAACACTCTTTTGCTAGAATCTGCCAGTGGATACTTGGAGCGCTTTGAGGGATATTGTGCCAATGGAAATATCTTCCCCTAATAACTAGACAGAAGCATTCTCAGAAACTACTTCGTGATGTTTGCATTCAACTCACAGCGTTGAACATACCTCTTCATAGAGCAGTTTTGAAAACCTCTTTCTGTAGAATCTGCAAGTGGATATTCGGACCACTTTGAGGCCTTCATAGGAAACAGTAATATCTTCACATAAAAACTAGATAGAAGCATTGTCAGAAAGTTCTTGGTGATGTGTGAATTAAACTCACAGAGTTGAACCTTCCTTTAATAGAGCAGTTTTGAAACACTCTTTTTCTAGAATCTGCAAGTAGATATTTGGAGCGCTTTGAGGCCTTCGTTGGAAACCGGAATATCTTCACAGGAAAAGTAGATAGAGGCATTCTCAGAAACTTTTTTGTGATATGTAGATTCAACTCACAGCGTTGAACCTTTCTTTGCATGGAGCAGTTTTGAAAAACTCTTTTATCGAATCTGCAGGTAGACATTTGGGGTGCTTTGAGGGCTCTGGTGCAAAAGGAAAAGTCTTCCCATAGAAACTAGACTGAAGCATTCTCAGCAACTTCTTGGTGACGTTTGCATTCATCTCACAGTGTTGAACATACCTTTCCATAGAGTGGTTTTGAAACACTGTTTTTGTAGAATCGGCAAGTGGATATTTGGACTGCTTTGAGGCCTTCATCGGAAACGGGAATATCTTCACATAAACACTACAGAGAAGCATTCTCAGAAACTTCTTTGTCATCTGTCCATTCAACTCACAGAGTTGCACCTTCTTTTTTATGGAGCAGTTTTGAAACACTCCTTTTGGAGAATCTGCAAGTGGATATTTGGAGCGCTTTGAGGCCTATGGTAGAAAAAGAAATATCTGCCTCTAAAAACCAGACAGAAGCATTCCGAGAAACTCCTTTGTGATGTTTGCATTCAACTAGCAGAGTTGAACCTTCCTTTTGATAGGGCAGTTTGGAAACACTCTTTTTGTAGAATCTGCATGTGGATATCTGGAGCGGTTTGAGGCCTACGGTCAGAAAGGAAATATCTTCCTGGGAAAAATAGACGAAAGCATTCTCAGAAAGTGCTTTGTGATATGTGCATTCGACTCACCGAGTTGAAACTTTTTTTTGATAGAGCAGTTTTGAAACACTCTGCAGAATCTGAAAGTGGATATTTGGAGCTCTTTGAGGGCTATGGCGGAAAAGAAAATATATTCACAGTAAAGTAGACAGCAGCATTCCCAGAAACTTCTTTAGGATGTTTGCAGTAAACTCACAGAGTTGAACATACCTTTCCGTAGAGCAGCTTTGAAAAACTCTGTGTGTGGGATCCGCAAGTGGATATTTGGACCGCTTTGAGACCTTTGCTGGAAACGGGAATATCTTCACATATAAACTGGACAGAAGCATTCTCAGAAAATTCTTCGTGATGTGTGCATTGTACTCCCAAATTTGAATCTTCCTTCTCATGGAGCAGTTTTGAAACACTCTGTTTGTGCAATCTACAATTGGAGAATTGGAACGCTTGGATGCCCGTGGTAGAAAAGGAAATATCCTCATATAAAAACTAGACAGAAGGATTCACAGAAAATGCTTTGTGATGTGTGCATTCAAATCACGGAGTTAAATCTTTCTTTTGTTAGAGCAGTTTTGAAACACTGTTTCTGTGGAATCTGCCAGCGGACCCTTGGAGCGCTTTGAGGGCTACGGTGGAGAAGGAAATATCTTCACATAAAAACTAGAAAGAAGCATTCTCGGAAACATTTATGTGAAGCGTGCATTCAACTCACAGAGTTGAACCTTCCTTTTGATAGAACAGTTTTGAAACACTCTTTTGAACAATTGCAGGTGAATCTTTGGAGCGCTTTGAAGCCTTTGTTGGAAATGGGAATATCTTCACACACAAACTAGCCAGAAGCATTCTCAGAAACTTCTTTGTAATGTGTGCGTTGAACCCAGAGAGATGAACCTTTCCTTCGATAGAGCAGTTTTGAAACGTGTTTTTGTAAGATCGGCAAGCGGATAATTGGCTTCGCTTTGTGTCCTTTGGTGGAAACGGGAATATACTTCTAATAAAAACTAGACAGAAATATTCTCAGAATCTCCTTTGTGATGTGGGCATTCAACTAACACAGTTGAACATTTCTTTTCACAGAGCAGTTTTGAAACACTCTTTTGGTAGAATCTGCATGTGGATATTTGGAGCGCTTGGAGGGCTATTGTGCCAATGGAAATATCTGCCCCTGAAAACTAGACAGAAGCATTCTCAGAAACTGCTTCAGGATGTTTGCATTCAACTCACAGAGTTGAACATACCTCTGCATAGAGCAGTTTTGAAAACCTCTTTTTGTAGAATCTGCAAGTGGATATTCGGACCACTTTGAGGCCTTCATGGGAAACAGTAATATCTTCACATAAAAACTAGATAGAAGCATTGTCAGAAAGTTCTTTGTGATGTGTGAATTCAACTCACAGAGTTGAACCTTCCTTTAATAGAGCAGTCTTGAAACACTCTTTTTCTAGAATCTGCAAGTAGATATTTGGAGCGCTTTGAGGCCTTCGTTGGAAACCGGAATATCTTCACATAAAACGTAGATAGAGGCATTCTCAGAAACTTTTTTTGTGATATGTAGATTCAACTCACAGCGTTGAACCTTTCTTTGGGTGGAGCAGTTTTGAAAACCTCTTTTATCGAATCTGCAGGTAGACATTTGGGGTGCTTTGAGGGCTGTGGTGCAAAAGGAAATGTCTTCCCATAGAAACTAGACTGAAGCATTCTCAGCAACTTCTTTTTGACGTTTGCATTCATCTCACAGTGTTGAACATACCTTTCCATAGAGTAGTTTTGAAGCACTATTTTTGTAGAATCTGCAAGTGGATATTTGGACTGCTTTGAGACCTTCATCGGAAACGGGAATATCTTCACATAAACACTAGACAGAAGCATTCTCGGAAATTACTTTGTGGTCTGTCCATTCAAATCACAGAGTTGAACCTTCCTTTTTATGGAGCAGTTTTGAAACACTGTTTTCGGAGAATCTGCAAGTGGATATTTGGAGCGCTTTGAGGCCTATGGTAGAAAAAGAAATATCTGCCTATGACAACTAGACAGAAGCATTCCGAGAAACTTCTTTGTGATGTTTGCATTCAACTAGCAGAGTTGAACCTTTCTTTTGATAGGGCAGTTTGGAAAAACTCTTTTTGTAGAATCTGCATGTGGATATCTGGAGCGGTTTGAGGCCTACAGTCAAAAAGGAAATATCTTCCTGGGAAAAATAGACGAAAGCATTCTCAGAAACTGCTTTGTGATATGTGCATTCGACTCACCGAGTTGAAACTTTTTTTGGATAGAGCAGTTTTGAAACACTCTGTAGAATCTGAAAGTGGATATTTGGAGCTCTTTGAGGGCTATGGAGAAAAGAAAATATATTCACATTAAACTAGACAGCAGCATTCCCAGAAACTTCTTTAGGATGTTTGCAGTAAACTCACAGAGTTGAACACACCTTTCCGTAGAGCAGTTTTGAAACACTCTGTTTGTGGAATCCGCAAGTGGATATTTGGACCGCTTTGAGACCTTTGCTGGAAACGGGAATATCTTCACATATAAACTGGACAGAAGAATTCTCAGAAACTTCTTCGTGATGTGTGCATTCTACTCCCAAATTTGAATCTTCCTTTTCATGAAGCAGTTTTGAAACACTCTATTTGTGCATTCTACAATTGGATGATTGGAACGCTTTGATGCCCATGGTGGGAAAAGGAAATATCCTCATATAAAAACTAGACAGAAGGATTCACAGAAAATGCTTTGTGATGTGTGCATTCAAATCACGGAGTTGAATCTTTCTTTTGTTAGAGCAGTTTTGAAACACTGTTTCTGTGGAATCTGCCAGCGGACACTTGGAGCGCTTTGAGGGCTGTGGTGGAGAAGGAAATATCTTCCCATAAAAACTAGAAAGTAGCATTCTCGGAAACATTTATGTGAAGCGTGCATTCAACTCACAGAGTTGAACCTTCCTTTTGATAGAAGAGTTTTGAAACACTCTTTTGAACAATTGCAGGTGAATCTTTGGAGCGCTTTGAAGCCTTTGTTGGAAATGGGAATATCTTCACACACAAACTAGCCAGAAGCATTCTCAGAAACTTCTTTGTGATGTGTGCGTTGAACCCAGAGAGATGAACCTTTCCTTTGATAGAGCAGTTTTGAAACGTGTTTTTGTAAGATCGGCAAGCGGATAACTGGCTTCGCTTTGGGTCCTTTGGTGGAAACGGGAATATCTTCTAATAAAAACTAGACAAAAATATTCTCAGAATCTTCTTTGTGATGTGGGCATTCAACTAACACAGTTGAACGTTTCTTTTCACAGAGCAGTTTTGAAACACTCTTTTGGTAGAATCTGCCAGTGGATATTTGGAGCGCTTTGAGGGCTATTGTGCCAATGGAAATATCTGCCCTTAAAACTAGACAGAAGCATTCTCAGAAACTGCTTTGTGATGTTTGCATTCCACTCACAGAGTTGAACATACCTTTTCATAGAGCAGTTTTGAAAACCTCTTTTTGTAGAATCTGCAAGTGGATATTCGGACCAGTTTGAGGCCTTCATAGGAATCAGTAATATCTTCACATAAAAACTAGATAGAAGCATTGTCAGAAAGTTGTTGGTGATGTGTGAATTCAACTCACAGAGTTGAACCTTCCTTTAATAGAGCAGTTTTGAAACACTCTTTTTCTAGAATCTGCAAGTAGATATTTGGAGCGCTTTGAGGCCTTCGTTGGAAACCGGAATATCTTCACAGGAAAAGTAGATAGAGGCATTCTCAGAAAATTTTCGTGATATGTGGATTCAACTCACAGCGTTGAACCTTTCTTTTGATAGAGCAGTTTTGTAAAACTCTTTTATCGAATCTGCAAGTAGACATTTGGAGTGCTTTGAGGGCTGTGGTGCAAAAGGAAATGTCTTCCCATAGAAACTAGACTGAAGCATTCTCAGCAACTTCTTTGTGACGTTTGCATTCATCTCACAGTGTTGAACATACCTTTCCATAGAGTAGTTTTCAAACACTATTTTTGTAGAATCTGCAAGTGGATATTTGGACTGCTTTGAGGCCTTCATCGGAAACGGGAATATCTTCACATCAACACTAGAGAGAAGCATTCTCAGAAACTACTTTGTGATCTGTCCATTCAACTCACAGAGTTGAACCTTCCTTTTTATGGAGCAGTTTTGAAACAATGTTTTTGGAGAATCTGCAAGTGGATATTTGGAGCGCTTTGAGGCCTATGGTAGAAAAAGAAATATCTGCCTCTAAAAACTAGACAGAAGCATTCTGAGAAACTTCTTTGTGATGTTTGCATTCAACTAGCAGAGTTGAACCTTCCTTTTGATAGGGCAGTTTGGAAACACCCTTTTGTAGAATCTGCATGTGGATATCTGGAGCGATTTGAGGCCTACGGTCAAAAAGGAAATATCTTCCTGGGAAAAATAGACGAAAGCATTCTCAGTAAACTGCTTTGTGATATGTGCATTCGACTCTCCGAGTTGAAACTTTTTTTTGATAGAGCAGTTTTGAAACACTCTGTAGAATCTGAAAGTGGATATTTGGAGCTCTTCGAGGGCTATGGCGGAAAAGAAAATATATTCACATTAAACTAGACAGCAGCATTCTCAGAAACCTCTTTAGGATGTTTGCAGTAAACTCACAGAGTTGAACATACCTTTCCGTAGAGCAGTTTTGAAACACTCTGTTTGTGGGATCCGCAAGTGGATATTTGGACCGCTTTGAGACCTTTGCTGGAAATGGGAATATCTTCACATATAAACTAGACAGAAGCATTCTCAGAAACTTCTTCATGATGTGTGCATTCTACTCCCAAATTTGAATCTTCCTTTTCATGAAGCAGTTTTGAAACACTCTGTTTGTGCAATCCACAATTGGATAATTGGAACGCTTTGATGCCCATGGTAGAAAAGGAAATATCCTCATATAAAAACTAGACAGAAGGATTCACAGAAAATGCTTTGTGATGTGTGCATTCAAATCACGGAGTTGAATCTTTCTTTTGTCAGAGCAGTTTTGAAACACTGTTTCTGTGGAATCTGCCAGCGGACACTTGGAGCGCTTTGAGGGCTATGGTGGAGAAGGAAATGTCTTCCCATAAAAACTAGAAAGAAGCATTCTCAGAAACATTTATGTGAAGCGTGCATTCAACTCACAGAGTTGAACCTTCCTTTTGATAGAAGAGTTTTGAAACACTCTTTTGAACAATTGCAGGTGAATATTTGGAGCGCTTTGAAGCCTTTGTTGGAAATGGGAATATCTTCACACACAAACTAGCCAGAAGCATTCTCAGAAACTTCTTTGTGATGTGTGCATTGAACCCAGAGAGATGAACCTTTCCTTTGATAGAGCAGTTTTGAAACGTGTTTTTGTAAGATCTGCAAGCGGATAGTTGGCTTCGCTTTGTGTCCTTTGGTGGAAACGGGAATATCTTCTAATAAAAACTAGACAGAGATATTCTCAGCAAACTTCTTTGTGATGTGGGCATTCAACTGACACAGTTGAACATTTCTTTTCACAGAGCAGTTTTGAAACACTCTTTTGGTCGAATCTGCCAGTGGATATTTGGAGCGCTTTGAGGGCTATTGTGCCAATGGAAATATCTGCCCCTAAAAACTAGACAGAAGCATTCTCAGAAACTACTTCGTGATGTTTGCATTCAACTCACAGAGTTGAACATACCTCTTCACAGAGCAGTATTGAAAACCTCTTTTTGTAGAATCTGCAAGTGGATATTCGGAGCACTTTGAGGCCTTCATAGGAAACAGTAATATCTTCGCATAAAAACTAGATAGAAGCATTGTCAGAAAGTTCTTTGTGATGTGTGAATTCAACTCACAGAGTTGAACCTTCCTTTAATAGAGCAGTTTTGAAACACTCTTTTTCTAGAATCTGCAAGTAGATATTTGGAGCGCTTGGAGGCCTTCGTTGGAAACCGGAACATCTTCACAGGAAATGTAGATAGAGGCATTCTCAGAAACTTTTTCGTGATATGTGGATTCAACTCACAGCGTTGAACCTTTCTTTTGATAGAGCAGTTTTGTAAAACTCTTTTATCGAATCTGCAAGTAGACATTTGGAGTGCGTTGAAGGCTGTGGTGCAAAAGGAAATGTCTTCCCATAGAAACTAGACTGAAGCATTCTCAGCAACTTCTTTGTGACGTTTGCCTTCATCTCACAGTGTTGAGCATACCTTTCCATAGAGTTGTTTTGAAGCACTATTTTTGTAGAATCTGCAAGTGGATATTTGGACTACTTTGAGGCCTTCATCGGAAACGGGAATATCTTCACATAAACACTAGACAGAAGCATTCTCAGAAACTTCTTTGTCATCTGTCCATTCAACTCACAGAGTTGAACCTTCCTTTTTATGGAGCAGTTTTGAATCACTGTTTTTGGGGAATCTGCAAGTGGATATTTCGAGCGCTTTGAGGCCTATGGTAGAAAAAGAAATATCTGCCTCTAAAAACCAGACAGAAGCATTCTGAGAAACTTCTTTGTGATGTTTGCATTCAACTAGCAGAGTTGAACCTTCCTTTTGATAGGGCAGTTTGGAAACACTCTTTTTGTAGAATCTGCATGTGGTTATCTGGAGCGGTTTTAGGCCTACGGTCAAAAAGGAAATATCTTCCTGGGAAAAATAGACGAAAGCATTCTCAGAAACTGCTTTGTGATATGTGCATTCGACTCACCGAGTTGAAACTTTGTTTTGATAGAGCAGTTTTGAAACACTCTGTAGAATCTGAAAGTGGATATTTGGAGCTCTTTGAGGGCTATGGCGGAAAAGAAAATATATTCACATTAAACTAGACAGCAGCATTCCCAGAAACTTCTTTAGGATGTTTGCAGTAAACTCACAGTAGTTGAACATACCTTTCCGTAGAGCAGTTTTGAAACACTCTGTTTGTGGGATCCGCAAGTGGATATTTGGACCGCTTTGAGACCTTTGCTGGAAACGGGAATATCTTCACATATAAACTAGACAGAAACATTCTCAGAAACTTCTTCGTGATGTGTGCATTCTACTCCCGAATTTGAATCTTCCTTTTCATGAAGCAGTTTAGAAACACTCTGTTTGTGCAATCCACAATTGGATAATTGGAACGCTTTGATGCCCATGGTAGAAAAGGAAATATCCTCATATAAAAACTAGACAGAAGGATTCACAGAAAATGCTTTGTGATGTGTGCATTCAAATCACGGAGTTGAATCTTTCTTTTGTTAGAGCAGTTTTGAAACACTGTTTCTGTGGAATCTGCCAGCGGACACTTGGAGCACTTTGAGGGCTATGGTGGAGAAGGAAATATCTTCCCATAAAAACTAGAAAGAAGCATTCTCAGAACCATTTATGTGAAGCGTGCGTTCAACTCACAGAGTTGAACCTTCCTTTTGATAGAACAGTTTTGAAACACTCTTTTGAACAATTGCAGGTGAATATTTGGAGGGCTTTGAAGCCTTTGTTGGAAATGGGAATATCTTCACACACAAACTAGACAGAAGCATTCTCAGAAACTTCTTTGTGATGTGTGCGTTGAACCCAGGGAGATGAACCTTTCCTTTGATAGAGCAGTTTTGAAACGTGTTTTTGTAAGATCTGCAAGCGGATAATTTGTCTCGCTTTGTGTCCTTTGGTGGAAACGGGAATATCTTCTAATAAAAACTAGACAGAAATATTCTCAGAATCTTCTTTGTGATGTGGGCATTCAACTAACACAGTTGAACCTTTCTTTTCACAGAGCAGTTTGGAAACACCCTTTTGGTAGAATCTGCCAGTGGATATTTGGAGCGCTTTGAGGGCTATTGTGCCAACGGAAATATCTGCCCCTAAAAACTAGACAGAAGCATGCTCAGAAACTGCTTTGTGATGTTGGCATTCAACTCACAGAGTTGAACATACCTCTTCATAGAGCAGTTTTGAAAACCTCTTTTTGTAGAATCTGCAAGTGGATATTCGGACCACTTTGAGGCCTTCATAGGAAACAGTAATATCTTCACATAAAAACTAGATAGAAGCATTGTCAGAAAGTTCTTTGTGATGTGTGAATTCAACTCACAGAGTTGAACCTTCCTTTAATAGAGCAGTTTTGAAACACTCTTCTTCTAGAATCTGTAAGTAGATATTTGGAGCGCTTTGAGGCCTTCGTTGGAAACCGAAATATCTTCACAGAAAAAGTAGATAGAGGCATTCTCAGAAACTTTTTTGTGATATGTTGATTCCACTCACAGCGTTGAACCTTTCTTTTGATAGAGCAGTTTTGAAAAACTCTTTTATCGAATCTGCAGGTAGACATTTGGTGTGCTTTGAGGGCTGTGGTGCAAAAGGAAATGTCTTCCCATAGAAACTAGACTGAAACATTCTCAGCAACTTCTTTGTGACGTTTGCATTCATCTCACAGCGTTGAACATACCTTTCCAAAGAGTAGTTTTGAAACACTATTTTTGTAGAATCTGCAAGTGGATATTTGGACTGCTTTGAGGCCTTCATCGGAAACGGGAATATCTTCACATAAACACTAGAGAGAAGCATTCTCAGAAACTTCTTTGTGATCTGTCCATTCAACTCACAGAGTTGAACCTTCCTTTTTATGGAACAGTTTTGAAACACTCCTTTTGGAGAATCTGCAAGTGGATATTTGGAGCGCTTTGAGGCCTATGGTAGAAAAAGAAATATCTGCCTCTAAAAACCAGACAGAAGCATTCCGAGAAACTTCTTTGTGATGTTTGCATTCAACTAGCAGAGTTGAACCTTCCTTTTCATAGGGCAGTTTGGAAACACTCTTTTTGTAGAATCTGCATGTGGATATCTGGAGCGGTTTGAGGCCTACGGTCAAAAAGGAAATATCTTCCTGGGAAAAATAGACGAAAGCATTCTCAGAAACTGCTTTGTGATATGGGCATTCGACTCACCGAGTTGAAACTTTTTTTTGATAGAGCAGTTTTGAAACACTCTGTAGAGATCTGAAAGTGGATATTTGGAGCTCTTTGAGGGCTATGGCGGAAAAGAAAATATATTCACATTAAACTAGAGAGGAGCATTCCCAGAAACTTCTTTAGGATGTTTGCAGTAAACTCACAGAGTTGAACATACCTTTCCGTAGAGCAGTTTTGAAACACTCTGTTTGTGGGATCCGCAAGTGTATATTTGGACCGCTTTGAGACCTTTGCTGGAAACGGGAATATCTTCACATATAAACTAGACAGAAGCATTCTCAGAAACTTCTTCGTGATGTGTGCATTCTCCTCGCGAATTTGAATCTTCCTTTTCATGAAGCAGTTTTGAAACACTCTGTTTGTGCAATCCACAATTGGATAATTGGAACGCTTTGATGCCCATGGTAGAAAAGGAAATATCCTCATATAAAAACTAGACAGAAGGATTCACAGAAAATGCTTTGTGATGTGTGCATTCAAATCACGGAGTTGAATCTTTCTTTTGTTAGAGCAGTTTTGAAACACTGTTTCTGTGGAATCTGCCAGCGGACACTTGGAGCACTTTGAGGGCTGTGGTGGAGAAGGAAATATCTTCCCATAAAAACTAGAAAGAAGCATTCTCAGAAACATTTATGTGAAGCGTGCATTCAACTCACAGAGTTGAACCTTCCTTTTGATACAACAGTTTTGAAACACCCTTTTGAACAATTGCAGGTGAATCTATGGAGCGCTTTGAAGCCTTTGTTGGAAATGGGAATATCTTCACACACAAACTAGCCAGAAGCATTCTCAGAAACTTCTTTGTGATGTGTGCGTTGAACCCAGAGAGGTGAACCTTTCCTTTGATAGAGCAGTTTTGAAACGTGTTTTGGTAAGATCTGCAAACGGATAATTGACTTCGCTTTGTGTATTTTGGTGGAAACGGGAATATCTTCTAATAAAAACTAGACAGAAATATTCTCAGAATCTCCTTTGTGATGTGGGCATTCAACTAACACAGTTGAACATTTCTTTTCACAGAGCAGTTTTGTAACACACTTTTGGTAGAATCTGCCAGTGGATATTTTGAGCGCTTTGAGGGCTGTTGTGCCAATGGAAATATCTGCCCCTAAAATCTAGACAGAAGCATTCTCAGAAACTGCTTCGGGATGTTTGCATTCAACTCACAGAGTTGAACATACCTCTGCATAGAGCAGTTTTGAAAACCTCTTTTTGTAGAATCTGCAAGTGGATATTCGGACCACTTTGAGGCCTTCATGGGAAACAGTAATATCTTAACATAAAAACTAGATAGAAGCATTGTCAGAAAGTTCTTTGTGATGTGTGAATTCAACTCACAGAGTTGAACCTTCCTTCAATAGAGCAGTTTTGAAACACTCTTTTTCTAGAATCTGCAAGTAGATATTTGGAGTGCTTGGAGGCCTTCGTTGGAAACCGGAATATCTTCACAGGAAAAGTAGATAGAGGCATTGTCAGAAACTTTTTTGTGATATGTAGATTCAACTCACAGCGTTGAACCTTTCTTTGGATGGAGCAGTTTTGAAAAACCCTTTTATCGAATCTGCAGGTAGACATTCGGGGTGCTTTGAGGGCTGTGGTGCAAAAGGAAATGTCTTCCCATAGAAACTAGACTGAAGCATTCTCAGCAACTTCTTTGTGATGTTTGCATTCATCTCACAGTGTTGAACATACCTTTGCATAGAGTAGTTTTGAAACACTATTTTTGTAGAATCTGCAAGTGGATATTTGGACTGCTTTGAGGCCTTCATCGGAAACGGGAATATCTTCACATAAACACTGGACAGAAGCATTCTCAGAAACTTCTTTGTGATCTGTCCGTTCAACACACAGAGTTGAACCTTCCTTTTTATGGAGCAGTTTTGAAACACTGTTTGTGGAGAATCTGCAAGTGGATATTTGGAGCGCCTTGAGGCCAATGGTAGAAAAAGAAATATCTGCCTCTAAATACTAGACTGAAGCATTCTGAGAAACTTCTTTGTGATGTTTGCCTTCAACTACCAGAGTTGAACCTTCCTTTTGATAGGGCAGTTTGGAAACACTCTTTTTGTAGAATCTGCATGTGGATATCTGGAGCGATTTGAGGCCTACGGTCCAAAAGGAAATATCTTCCTGTGAAAGATAGACGAAAGCATTCTCAGAAAGTACTTTGTGATATGCGCATTCGACTCACCGAGTTGAAACTTTTTTTTGATAGAGCAGTTTTGAAACACTCTGTAGAATCTGAAAGTGGATATTTGGAGCTCTTTGAGGGCTATGGCGGAAAAGAAAATATATTCACATTAAAGTAGACAGCAGCATTCTCAGAAACTTCTTTAGGATGTTTGCAGTAAACTCACAGAGTTGAACATACCTTTCCGTAGAGCAGTTTTGAAACACTCTGTTTGTGGGATCCGCAAGTGGATATTTGGACCGCTTTGAGACCTTTGCTGGAAATGGGGATATCTTCACGTATAAACTAGACAGAAGCATTCTCAGAAACTTCTTCGTGATGTGTGCATTGTACTCCCAAATTTGAATCTTCCTTCTCATGGAGCAGTTTTGAAACACTCTGTTTGTGCAATCTACAATTGGAGAATTGGAACGCTTGGATGACCGTGGTAGAAAAGGAAATATCCTCATATAAAAACTAGACAGAAGGATTCACAGAAAATGCTTTGTGATGTGTACATTCAAATCACGGAGTTGAATCTTTCTTTTGTCAGAGCAGTTTTGAAACACTGTTTCTGTGGAATCTGCCAGCGGACACTTGGAGCGCTTTGAGGGCTATGGTGGAGAAGGAAATATCTTCCCATAAAAACTAGAGAGAAGCATTCTCAGAAACATTTATGTGAAGCTTGCATTCAACTCACAGAGTTGAACCTTCCCTTTGATACAACAGTTTTGAAACACCCTTTTGAACAATTGCAGGTGAATCTTTGGAGCGCTTTGAAGCCTTTGTTGGAAATGGGAATATCTTCACACACAAACTAGCCAGAAGCATTCTCAGAAACTTCTTTGTGATGTGTGCGTTGAACCCAGAGAGATGAACCTTTCCTTTGATAGAGCAGTTTTGAAACGTGTTTTTGTAAGGTCGGCAAGTGGATAATTGGCTTCGCTTTGTGTCCTTTGGTGGAAACGGGAATATCTTCTAATAAAAACTAGACAGAAATATTCTCAGAATCTCCTTTGTGATGTGGGCATTCAACTAACACAGTTGAACATTTCTTTTCACAGAGCAGTTTTGAAACACTCTTTTGGTCGAATCTGCCAGTGGATATTTGGAGCGCTTGGAGGGCTATTGTGCCAATGGAAATATCTGCCCCCGAAAACTAGACAGAAGCATTCTCAGAAACTGCTTCGTGATGTTTGCATTCAACTCACAGGGTTGAACATACCTCTGCATAGAGCAGTTTTGAAAACCTCTTTTTGTAGAATCTGCAAGTGGATATTCGGACCACTTTGAGGCCTTCATAGGAAACAGTAATATCTTCACATAAAAACTAGACAGAAGCATTGTCAGAAAGTTCTTTGTGATGTGTGAATTCAACTCACAGAGTTGAACCTTCCTTTAATAGAGCAGTTTTGAAACACTCTTTTTCTAGAATCTGCCAGTAGATATTTGGAGCGCTTTGAGGCCTTCGTTGGAAACCAGAATATCTTCACATAAAAAGTAGATAGATGCATTCTCAGAAACTTTTTCGTGATATGTAGATTCAACTCACAGCGTTGAGCCTTTCTTTTGATAGAGCAGTTTCGTAAAACTCTTTTATCGAATCTGCAGGTAGACATTTGGAGTGCTTTGAGGGCTGTGGTGCAAAAGGAAATGTCTTCCCATAGAAACTAGACTGAAGCATTCTCAGCAACTTCTTGGTGACGTTTGCATTCATCTCACAGTGTTGAACATACCTTTCCCTAGAGTGGTTTTAAAACACTGTTTTTGTAGAATCGGCAAGTGGATATTTGGACTGCTTTGAGGCCTTCATCGGAAAAGGGAATATCTTCACATAAACACTAGAGAGAAGCATTCTCAGAAACTTCTTTGTCATCTGTCCATTCAACTCACAGAGTTGAACCTTCCTTTTTATGGAGCAGTTTTGAAACACTCCTTTTGGAGAATCTGCAGGTGGATATTTGGAGTGCTTTGAGGCCTATGGTAGAAAAAGAAATATCTGCCTCTAAAAAAAAGACAGAAGCATTCCGAGAAACTTCTTTGTGATGTTTGCATTCAACTCGCAGAGTTGAACCTTCCTTTTGATAGGGCAGTTTGGAAACACTCTTTTTGTAGAATCTGCATGTGGATATCTGGAGCGGTTTGAGGCCTACGGTCAAAAAGGAAATATCTTCCTGGGAAAAATAGACGAAAGCATTCTCAGAAAGTGCTTTGTGATATGCGCATTCGACTCACCGAGTTGAAACTTTTTTTTGATACAGCAGTTTTGAAACACTCTGTAGAATCTGAAAGTGGATATTTGGAGCTCTTTGAGGGCTATGGCGGAAAAGAAAATATATTCACGTTAAAAAAGTAGACAGCAGCATTCCCAGAAACTTCTTTAGGATGTTTGCTGTAAACTCACAGAGTTGAACATACCTTTCCGTAGAGCAGTTTTGAAACACTCTGTTTGTGGGATCCGCAAGTGGATATTTGGACCGCTTTGAGACCTTTGCTGGAAACGGGAATATCTTCACATATAAACTAGACAGAAGCATTCTCAGAAACTTCTTCGTGATGTGTGCATTCTACTCCCAAATTTGAATCTTCCTTCTCATGAAGCAGTTTTATAACTCTCTATTTGTGCAATTTACAATTGGATAATTGGAACCCTTTGATGCCCATGGTAGAAAAGGAAATATCCTCATATAAAAACTAGACAGAAGGATTCACAGAAAATGCTTTGTGATGTGTGCATTCAAATCACGGAGTTGAATCTTTCTTTTGTTAGAGCAGTTTTGAAACACTGCTTCTGTGGAATCTGCCAGCGGACACTTGGAGCGCTTTGAGGGCTATGGTGGAGAAGGAAATATCTTCACATAAAAACTAGAAAGAAGCATTCTCAGAACCATTTATGTGAAGCGTGCATTCAACTCACAGAGTTGAACCTTCCTTTTGATAGAACAGTTTTGAAACACTCTTTTGAACAATTGCAGGTGAATATTTGGAGGGCTTTGAAGCCTTTGTTGGAAATGGGAATATCTTCACACACAAACTAGCCAGAAGCATTCTCAGAAACTTCTTTGTGATGTGTGCGTTGAACCCAGAGAGATGAACCTTTCCTTTGATAAAGCAGTTTTGAAACGCGTTTTTGTAAGATCGGCAAGCGGATAATTGGCTTCGCTTTGTGTCCTTTGGTGGAAACGGGAATATCTTCTAATAAAAACTAGACAGAGATATTCTCAGAAATTTCTTTGTGATGTGGGCATTCATCTAACACAGTCGAAGATTTCTTTTCACAGAGCAGTTTTGAAATACTCTTTTGGTCGAATCTGCCAGTGGATATTTGGAGCGCTTTGAGGGCTATTGTGCCAATGGAAATATCTGCCCCTAAAAACTAGACAGAAGCATTCTCAGAAACTACTTCATGATGTTTGCATTCAACTCAGAGAGTTGAACATACCTCTTCACAGAGCAGTTTTGAAAACCTCTTTTTGTAGAATCTGCAAGTGGATATTCGGAGCACTTTGAGGCCTTCATAGGAAACAGTAATATACTTCGCATAAAAACTAGATAGAAGTATTGTCAGAAAGTTCTTTGTGATGTGTGAATTCAACTCACAGAGTTGAACCTTCCTTCAATAGAGCAGTTGTGAAACACTCTTTTTCTAGAATCTGCAAGTAGATACTTGGAGCGCTTTGAGGCCTTCGTTGGAAACCGGAATATCTTCACAGGAAAAGTAGATAGAGGCATTCTCAGAAACTTTTTTGTGATATGTAGATTCAACTCACAGCGTTGAACCTTTCTTTGGATGGAGCAGTTTTGAAAAACTCTTTTATCGAATCTGCAGGTAGACATTCGGCGTGCTTTGAGGGCTGTGGTGCAAAAGGAAATGTCTTCCCATAGAAACTAGACTGAAGCATTCTCAGCAACTTCTTGGTGACGTTTGCATTTATCTCACAGTGTTGAACATACCTTTCCATAGAGTGGTTTTGAAACACTGTTTTTGTAGAATCGGCAATTGGATATTTGGACTGCTTTGAGGCCTTCATCGGAAACGGGAATATCTTCACATAAACACTAGAGAGAAGCATTCTCAGAAACTTCTTTGTGATCTGTCCATTCAACTCACAGAGTTGAACCTTCCTTTTTATGGAGCAGTTTTGAAACACTCCTTTTGGAGAATCTGCAAGTGGATATTTGGAGCGCTTTGAGGCCTATGGTAGAAAAAGAAATATCTGCCTCTAAAAACCAGACAGAAGCATTCTGAGAAACTTCTTTGTGATGTTTGGCATTCAACTACCAGAGTTGAACCTTCCTTTTGATAGGGCAGTTTGGAAACACTCTTTTTGTAGAATCTGCATGTGGATATCTGGAGCGATTTGAGGCCTACGGTCCAAAAGGAAATATCTTCCTGGGAAAAATAGACGAAAGCATTCTCAGAAAGTGCTTTGTGATATGTGCATTCGACTCACCGAGTTGAAACTTTTTTTTGATAGAGCAGTTTTGAAACACTCTGTAGAATCTGAAAGTGGATAGTTGGAGCTCTTTGAGGGCTATGGCGGAAAAGAAAATATATTCACATTAAAGTAGACAGCAGCATTCTCAGAAACTTCTTTAGGATGTTTGCAGTAAACTCACAGAGTTGAACCTACCTTTCCGTAGAGCAGTTTTGAAACACTCTGTTTGTGGGATCCGCAAGGGGATATTTGGACCGCTTTGAGACCTTTGCTGGAAATGGGAATATCTTCACATATAAACTAGACAGAAGCATTCTCAGAAGCTTCTTCGTGATGTGTGCATTCTACTCCCAAATTTGAATCTTCCTTTTCATGAAGCAGTTTTGAAACACTCTGTTTGTGCAATCCACAATTGGATAATTGGAACGCTTTGATGCCCATGGTAGAAAAGGAAATATCCTCATATAAAAACTAGACAGAAGGATTCACAGAAAATGCTTTGTGATGTGTGCATTCAAATCACGCAGTTGAATCTTTCTTTTGTTAGAGCAGTTTTGAAACACTGTTTCTGTGGAATCTGCCAGCGGACACTTGGAGCGCTTTGAGGGCTATGGTGGAGAAGGAAATATCTTCACATAAAAACTAGAAAGAAAGCATTCTCAGAACCATTTATGTGAAGCGTGCATTCAACTCTCAGTAGTTGAACCTTCCTTTTGTTAGAACAGTTTTGAAACACTCTTTTGAACAATTGCAGGTGAATATTTGGAGCGCTTTGAAGCCTTTGCTGGAAATGGGAATATCTTCACGCACAAAGTAGCCAGAGCATTCTCAGAAACTTCTTTGTGATGTGTGCGTTGAACCCAGAGAGATGAACCTTTCCTTTGATAGAGCAGTTTTGAAACGTGTTTTTGTAAGATCTGCAAGCGGATAATTGGCTTCTCTTTGTGTCCTTTGGTGGAAACGGGAATATCTTCTAATAAAAACTAGACAGAAATATTCTCAGAATCTCCTTTGTGATGTGGGCATTCAACTAACACAGTTGAACATTTCTTTTCACAGAGCAGTTTTGAAACACCCTTTTGGTAGAATCTGCCAGTGGATATTTGGAGCGCTTGGAGGGCTATTGTGCCAATGGAAATATCTGCCCCTGAAAACTAGACAGAAGCATTCTCAGAAACTGCTTCGTGATGTTTGCATTCAACTCACAGACTTGAACATACCTCTGCATAGAGCACTTTTGGAAACCTCTTTTTGTAGAATCTGCAAGTGGATATTCGGAACACTCTGAGGCCTTCATAGGAAACAGTAATATCTTCACATAAAAACTAGATAAAAGCATTGTCAGAAAGTTCTTTGTGATGTGTGAATTCAACTCACAGAGTTGAACCTTCCTTTAATAGAGCAGTTTTGAAACACTCTTTTTCTAGAATCTGCAAGTAGATATTTGGAGCGCTTTGAGGCCTTCGTTGGAAACCAGAATATCTTCACAGGAAAAGTAGATAGAGGCATTCTCAGAAAACTTTTTTGTGATATGTAGATTCAACTCACAGCGTTGAACCTTTCTTTGGATGGAGCAGTTTTGAAAAACTCTTTTATCGAATCTGCAGGTAGACATTCGGGGTGCTTTGAGGGCTGTGGTGCAAAAGGAAATGTCTTCCCATAGAAACTAGACTGAAGCATTCTCAGCAACTTCTTTGTGATGTTTGCATTCATCTCACAGTGTTGAACATACCTTTCCATAGGGTAGCTTTGAAGCACTATTTTTGTAGAATCTGCAAGTGGATATTTGGACTGCTTTGAGGCCTTCATCGGAAACGGGAATATCTTCACATAAACACTAGACAGAAGCATTCTCAGAAACTTCTTTGTCATCTGTCCATTCAACTCACAGAGTTGAACCTTCCTTATTCTGGAGCAGTTTTGAAACACTCTTTTTGGAGAATCTGCAAGTGGATATTTGGAGCGCTTTGAGGCCTATGGTAGAAAAAGAAATATCTGCCCCTAAACACCAGACAGAAGCATTCTGAGAAACTTCTTTGTGATGTTTGCATTCAACTACCAGATTTGAACCTTCCTTTTGATAGGGCAGTTTGGAAACACTCTTTTTGTAGAATCTGCATGTGGACATCTGGAGCGATTTGAGGCCTACGGTCAAAAAGGAAATATCTTCCTGGGAAAAATAGACGAAAGCATTCTCAGAAAGTGCTGTGTGATATGTGCATTCGACTCCCCGAGTTGAAACTTTTTTTTGATAGAGCAGTTTTGAAACACTCTGTAGAATCTGAAAGTGGATATTTGGAGCTCTTTGAGGGCTATGGCGGAAAAGAAAATATATTCACATTAAAGTAGACAGCAGCATTCCCAGAAACTTCTTTAGGATGTTTTTCAAGTTAAACTCACAGAGTTGAACATACCTTTCCGTAGAGCAGTTTTGAAACACTCTGTTTGTGGGATCCGCAAGTGGATATTTGGACCCCTTTGAGACCTTTGCTGGAAACGGGAATATCTTCACATATAAACTAGACAGAAGCATTCTCAGTAAACTTCTTCGTGATGTGTGCATTCTACTCCCGAATTTGAATCTTCCTTTTCATGAAGCAGTTTTGAAACACTCTGTTTGTGCAATCCACAATTGGATAAATGGAACGCTTTGATGCCCATGGTAGAAAAGGAAATATCCTCATATAAAAACTAGACAGAAGGATTCACAGAAAATGCTTTGTGATGTGTGCATTCAAATCACGGAGTTGAATCTTTCTTTTGTGAGAGCAGTTTTGAAACACTGTTTCTTTGGAATCTGCCAGCGGACTCTTGGAGCTCTTTGAGGGCTATGGTGGAGAAGGAAATATCTTCCCATAAAAACTAGAAAGAAGCATTCTCAGAACCATTTATGTGAAGCGTGCGTTCAACTCACAGAGTTGAACCTTCCTTTTGATAGAACAGTTTTGAAACACTCTTTTGAACAATTGCAGGTGAATATTTGGAGGGCTTTGAAGCCTTTGTTGGAAATGGGAATATCTTCACACACGAACTAGCCAGAAGCATTCTCAGAAACTTCTTTGTGATGTGTGCGTTGAACCCAGAGAGATGAACCTTTCCTTTGATAGAGCAGTTTTGAAACGTGTTTTTGTAAGGTCTGCAAGCGGATAATGGGCTTCGCTTTGTGTCCTTTGGTGGAAACGGGAATATCTTCTAATAAAAACTAGACAGAAATATTCTCACAATCATCTTTGTGATGTGGGCATTCAACTAACACAGTTGAACATTTCTTTTCACAGAGCAGTTTTGAAACACTCTTTTGCTAGAATCTGCCAGTGGATACTTGGAGCGCTTTGAGGGCTATTGTGCCAATGGAGATATCTTCCCCTAAAAACTAGACAGAAGCATTCTCAGAAACTACTTTGTGATGTTTGCATTCAACTCACAGAGTTGAACATACCTCTTCATAGAGCAGTTTTGAAATCCTCTTTTTGTAGAATCTGCAAGTGGATATTCAGACCACTTTAAGGCCTTCATAGGAAACAGTAATACCTTCACGTAAAAACTAGATAGAAGCATTGTCAGAAAGTTCTTTGTGATGTGTGAATTCAACTCACAGAGTTGAACCTTCCTTTAATAGAGCAGTTTTGAAACACTCTTCTTCTAGAATCTGCAAGTAGATATTTGGAGCGCTTTGAGGCCTTTGTTGGAAACCGGAATATCTTCACAGAAAAAGTAGATAGAGGCATTCTCAGAAACTTTTTTGTGATATGTAGATTCAACTCACAACGTTGAACCTTTCTTTTGATAGAGCAGTTTTGAAAAACTCTTTTATCGAATCTGCCCGTAGACCTTTTGAGTGCTTTGAGGGCTGTGGTGCAAAAGGAAATGTCTTCCCATAGAAACTAGACTGAAGCATTGTCAGCAACTTCTTGGTGACGTTTGCATTCATCTCACAGCGTTGAACATACCTTTCCATAGAGTGGTTTTGAAACACTGTTTTTGTAGAATCGGCAAGTGGATATTTGGACTGCTTTGAGGCCTTCATCGGAAACGGGAATATCTTCACATAAACACTAGAGAGAAGCATTCTCAGAAACTTCTTTGTGATCTGTCCATTCAACTCACAGAGTTGAACCTTCCTTTTTATGGAGCAGTTTTGAAACACTGTTCTTGGAGAATCTGCACGTGGATATTTGGAGCGCTTTGAGGCCTGTGGTAGAAAAAGAAATATCTGCCTCTAAAAACTAGACAGAAGCATTCTGAGAAACTTCTTTGTGATGTTTGCATTCAAGTACCAGAGTTGAACCTTCCTTTTGATAGGGCAGTTTGGAAACACTCTTTTTGTAGAATCTGCATGTGGATATCTGGAGCGATTTGAGGCCTACGGTCAAAAAGGAAATATCTTCCTGGGAAAAATAGACGAAAGCATTCTCAGAAACTGCTTTGTGATATGCGCATTCGACTCACCGAGTTGAAACTTTTTTTTGATAGAGCAGTTTTGAAACACTCTGTAGAATCTGAAAGTGGATATTTGGAGCTCTTTGAGGGCTATGGCGGAAAAGAAAATATATTCACATTAAAGTAGACAGCAGCATTCCCAGAAACTTCTTTAGGATGTTTGCAGTAAACTCACAGAGTTGAACATACCTTTCCGTAGAGCAGTTTTGAAACACTCTGTTTTTGGGATCCGCAAGTGGATATTTGGACCACTTTGAGACCTTTGCTGGAAACGGGAATATCTTCACATATAAACTAGACAGAAGCATTCTCAGAAACTTCTTCATGATGTGTGCATTCTAATCCCAAATTTGAATCTTCCTTTTCATGAAGCAGTTTTGAAACACTCTATTTGTGCATTCTACAATTGGATGATTGGAACGCTTTGATGCCCATGGTAGAAAAGGAAATATCCTCATATAAAAACTAGACAGAAGGATTCACAGAAAATGCTTTGTGATGTGTGCATTCAAATCACGGAGTTGAATCTTTCTTTTGTGAGAGCAGTTTTGAAACACTGTTTCTGTGGAATCTGCCAGCGGACACTTGGTTCGCTTTGAGGGCTATGGTGGAGAAGGAAATATCTTCCCATAAAAACTAGAAAGAAGCATTCTCAGAAACATTTATGTGAAGCGTGCATTCAACTCACAGAGTTGAACCTTCCTTTTGATACAACAGTTTTGAAACACTCTTTTGAACAATTGCAGGTGAATCTTTGGAGCGCTTTGAAGCCTTTGTTGGAAAAGGGAATATCTTCACACACAAACTAGCCAGAAGCATTCTCAGAAACTTCTTTGTGATGTGTGCGTTGAACCCAGAGAGATGAACCTTTCCTTTGATAGAGCAGTATTGAAACGTGTTTTTGTAAGATCTGCAAGCGGATAGTTGGCTTCGCTTTGTGTCCTTTGGTGGAAACGGGAATATCTTCTAATAAAAACTAGACAGAAATATTCTCAGAATCTTCTTTGTGATGTGGGCATTCAACTAACACAGTTGAACGTTTCTTTTCACAGAGCAGTTTTGAAACACTCTTTTGGTAGAATCTGCCAGTGGATATTTGGAGCGCTATGAGGGCTCTTGTGCCAACGGAAATATCTGCCCCTAAAAACTAGACAGAAGCATTCTCAGAAACTGCTTTGTGATGTTTGCATTCAACTCACAGAGTTGAACATACCTTTTCATAGAGCAGTTTTGAAAACCTCTTTTTGTAGAATCTGCAAGAGGATATTCGGACCACTTTGAGGCCTTCATAGGAAACAGTAATATCTTCACGTAAAAACTAGATAGAAGCATTGTCAGAAAGTTCTTTGTGATGTGTGAATTCAACTCACAGAGTTGAACCTTCCTTTAATAGAGCAGTTTTGAAACACTCTTTTTCTAGAATCTGCAAGTAGATATTTGGAGCGCTTTGAGGCCATCGTTGGAAACTGGAATATCTTCACATAAAAAGTAGACAGAGGCATTCTCAGAAACTTTTTTGTGATATGTAGATTCAACTCACAGTGTTGAACCTTTCTTTGGATGGAGCAGTTTTGAAAAACCCTTTTATCGAATCTGCAGGTAGACATTTGGGGTGCTTTGAGGGCTGTGGTGCAAAAGGAAATGTCTTCCCATAGAAACTAGACTGAAGCATTCTCAGCAACTTCTGTGTGACGTTTGCATTCATCTCACAGTGTTGAACATACCTTTCCATAGAGTAGTTTTGAAACACTGTTTTTGTAGAATCGGCAAGTGGATATTTGGACTGCTTTGAGGCCTTCATCGGAAACGGGAATATCTTCACATAAACACTAGAGAGAAGCATTCTCAGAAACTTCTTTGTGGTCTGTCCATTCAACTCACAGAGTTGAACCTTCCTTTTTATGGAGCAGTTTTGAAACACTGTTTTTGGAGGATCTGCAAGTGGATATTTGGAGCGCTTTGAGGCCTACGGTAGAAAAAGAACTATCTGCCTATGACAACTAGACAGAAGCATTCTGAGAAACTTCTTTGTGATGTTTGCATTCAACTACCAGAGTTGAACCTTCCTTTTGATAGGGCAGTTTGGAAACACTCTTTTTGTAGAATCTGCATGTGGATATCTGGAGCGATTTGAGGCCTACGGTCCAAAAGGAAATATCTTCCTGGGAAAAATAGAGGAAAGCATTCTCAGAAACTGCTTTGTGATATGTGCATTCGACTCAACGAGTTGAAACTTTTTTTTGATAGAGCAGTTTTGAAACACTCTGTAGAATCTGAAAGTGGATATTTGGAGCTCTTTGAGGGCTATGGCGGAAAAGAAAACATATTCACATTAAACTGGACAGCAGCATACTCAGAAACTTCTTTAGGATGTTTGCAGTAAACTCACAGAGTTGAACATACCTTTCCGTAGAGCAGTTTTGAAACACTCTGTTTGTGGGATCCGCAAGTGGATATTTGGACCGCTTTGAGACCTTTGCTGGAAATGGGAATATCTTCACATATAAACTAGACAGAAGCATTCTAAGAAACTTCTTCTTGATGTGTGCATTCTACTCCCGAATTTGAATCTTCCTTCTCATGAAGCAGTTTTGAAACACTCTATTTGCGCAATCTACTATTGGATAATTGGAACGCTTTGATGCCCATGGTAGAAAAGAAAATATCCTCATATAAAAACTAGACAGAAGGATTCACAGAAAATGCTTTGTGATGTGTGCATTCAAATCACGGAGTTGAATCTTTCTTTTGTTAGAGCAGTTTTGAAACACTGTTTCTGTGGAATCTGCCAGCGGACACTTGGAGCGCTTTGAGGGCTACGATGGAGAAGGAAATATCTTCACATAAAAACTAGAAAGAAGCATTCTCAGAAACATTTATGTGAAGCGTGCATTCAACTCACAGAGTTGAACCTTCCTTTGGATACAACAGTTTTGAAACACTCTTTTGAACAATTGCAGGTGAATCTTTGGAGCGCTTTGAAGCCTTTGTTGGAAATGGGAATATCTTCACACACAAACTAGCCAGAAGCATTCTCAGAAACTTCTTTGTGATGTGTGAGTTGAACCCAGAGAGATGAACCTTTCCTTGGATAGAGCAGTTTTGAAACGTGTTTTTGTAAGATCTGCAAGTGGATAATTGGCTTCGCTTTGTGTCCTTTGGTGGAAACGGGAATATCTTCTAATAAAAACTAGACAGAAATATTCTCAGAATCTCCTTTGTGATGTGGGCATTCAACTAACACAGTTGAACATTTCTTTTCACAGAGCAGTTTTGAAACACTCTTTTGGTAGAATCTGCCAGTGGATATTTGGAGCGCTTTGAGGGCTGTTGTGCCAATGGAAATATCTGCCCCTGAAATCTAGACAGAAGCATTCTCAGAAACTACTTCGTGATGTTTGCATTCAACTCAGAGAGTTGAACATACCTCTTCACAGAGCAGTTTTGAAAACCTCTTTTTGTAGAATCTGCAAGTGGATATTCGGAGCACTTTGAGGCCTTCATAGGAAACAGTAATATCTTCGCATAAAAACTAGATAGAAGCATTGTCAGAAAGTTCTTTGTGATGTGTGAATTCAACTCACAGAGTTGAACCTTCCTTTAATAGAGCAGTTTTGAAACACTCTTTTTCTAGAATCTGCAAGTAGATATTTGGAGCGCTTTGAGGCCATCGTTGGAAACCGGAATATCTTCACATAAAAAGTAGACAGAGGCATTGTCAGAAACTTTTTTGGTGATATGTAGATTCAACTCACAGCGTTGAACCTTTCTTTGGATGGAGCAGTTTTGAAAAACCCTTTTATCGAATCTGCAGGTAGACATTCGGGGTGCTTTGAGGGCTGTGGTGCAAAAGGAAATGTCTTCCCATAGAAACTAGACTGAAGCATTCTCAGCAACTTCTTGGTGACGTTTGCATTCATCTCACAGTGTTGAACATACCTTTCCATAGAGTGGTTTTGAAACACTGTTTTTGTAGAATCGGCAAGTGGATATTTGGACTGCTTTCAGGCCTTCATCGGAAACGGGAATATCTTCACATAAACACCAGAGAGAAGCATCCTCAGAAACTTCTTTGTCATCTGTCCATTCAACTCACAGATTTGAACCTTCCTTTTTCTGCAGCAGTTTTGAAACACTGTTTTTGGAGAATCTGCAAGTGGATATTTGGAGCGATTTGAGGCCTATGGTAGAAAAAGAAATATCTGCCTCTAAAAACCAGACAGAAGCATTCCGAGAAACTTCTTTGTGATGTTTGCATTCAACTAGCAGAGTTGAACCTTCCTTTTGATAGGGCAGTTTGGAAACACTCTTTTTGTAGAATCTGCATGTGGATATACTGGAGTGGTTTGAGGCCTACGGTCAAAAAGGAAATATCTTCCTGGGAAAAATAGACGAAAGCATTCTCAGAAACTGCTTTGTGATATGTGCATTCGACTCACCGATTTGAAACTTTTTTTTGATAGAGCAGTTTTGAAACACTCTGTAGAATCTGAAAGTGGATATTTGGAGCTCTTTGAGGGCTATGGCGGAAAAGAAAATATATTCACATTAAACTACACAGCAGCATTCTCAGAAACTTCTTTAGGATGTTTGCAGTAAACTCACAGAGTTGAACCTACCTTTCCATAGAGCAGTTTTGAAACACTCTGTTTGTGGGATCCGCAGGTGGATATTTGGACCGCTTTGAGGCCTTTGCTGGAAATGGGAATATCTTCACATATAAACTAGACAGAAGCATTCTCAGAAACTTCCTCGTGATGTGTGCATTCTACTCCCGAATTTGAATCTTCCTTTTCCTGAAGCAGTTTTGAAACACTCTGTTTGTGCAATCCACAATTGGATAATTGGAACGCTTTGATGCCCATGGTAGAAAAGGAAATATCCTCATATGAAAACTAGACAGAAGGATTCACAGAAAATGCTTTGTGATGTGTGCATTCAAATCACGGAGTTGAATCTTTCTTTTGACAGAGCAGTTTTGAAACACTGTTTCTGTGGAATCTGCCAGCGGACACTTGGAGCGCTTTGAGGGCTACGGTGGAGAAGGAAATATCTTCCCATAAAAACTAGAAAGAAGTATTCTCAGAACCATTTATGTGAAGCGTGCGTTCAACTCACAGAGTTGAACCTTCCTTTTGATAGAACAGTTTTGAAACACTCTTTTGAACAATTGCAGGTGAATATTTGGAGGGCTTTGAAGCCTTTGTTGGAAATGGGAATATCTTCACACACAAACTAGCCAGAAGCATTCTCAGAAACTTCTTTGTAATGTGTGCGTTGAACCCAGAGAGATGAACCTTTCCTTCGATAGAGCAGTTTTGAAACGTGTTTTTGTAAGATCGGCAAGCGGATAATTGGCTTCGCTTTGTGTCCTTTGGTGGAAACGGGAATATCTTCTAATAAAAACTAGACAGAAATATTCTCAGAATCTTCTTTGTGATGTGGGCATTCAACTAACACATTTGAACATTTCTTTTCACAGAGCAGTTTTGAAACACTCTTTTGGTGGAATCTGCCAGTGGATATTTGGAGCGCTTTGAGGGCGATTGTGCCTATGGAAATATCTGCCCCTAAAAACTAGACAGAAGCATTCTCAGAAACTGCTTCGTGATGTTTGCATTCAACTCACAGGGTTGAACATACCTCTGCATAGAGCAGTTTTGAAAACCTCTTTTTGTAGAATCTGCAAGTGGATATTCGGACCACTTTGAGGCCTTCATAGGAAATAGTAATATCTTCACATAAAAATTAGATAGAAGCATTGTCAGAAAGTTCTTTGTGATGTGTGAATTCAACTCACAGAGTTGAACCTTCCTTTAATAGAGCAGTTTTGAAACACTCTTTTTCTAGAATCTGCAAGTAGATATTTGGAGCGCTTTGAGGCCTTCTTTGGAAACCGGAATATCTTCACAGGAAAAGTAGATAGAGGCATTCTCAGAAACTTTTTTGTGATATGTAGATTCAACTCACAGCGTTGAACCTTTCTTTGGATGGAGCAGTTTTGAAAAACCCTTTTATCGAATCTGCAGGTGGACATTTGGGGTGCTTTGAGGGCTGTGGTGCAAAAGGAAATGTCTTCCCATAGAAACTAGACTGAAGCATTCTCAGCCACTTATTTGTGACGTTTGCATTCATCTCACAGTGTTGAACATACCTTTCCATAGAGTAGTTTTGAAGCACTATTTTTGTAGAATCTGCAAGTGGATATTTGGACTGCTTTGAGGCCTTCATCGGAAACGGGAATACCTTCACATAAACACTAGACAGAAGCATTCTCAGAAACCTCTTTGTGGTCTGTCCATTCAACTCACAGAGTTGAACCTTCCTTTTTATGGAGCAGTATTGAAACACAGTTTTTGGAGAATCTGCAAGTGGATATTTGGAGCGCTTTGAGGCCTATGGTAGAAAAAGAAATATCTGCCTATGACAACTAGACAGAAGCATTCTGAGAAACTTCTTTGTGATGGGTGCATGCAACTACAAGAGTTGAACCTTCCTTTTGATAGGGCAGTTTGGAAACACTCTTTTTGTAGAATCTGCATGTGGATATCTGGAGCGATTTGAGGCCTATGGTCAAAAAGGAAATATTTTCCTGGGAAAAATAGACGAAAGCATTCTCAGAAACTGCTTTGTGACATGTGCATTCGACTCACCGTGTTGAAACTGTTTTTCGATAGAGCAGTTTTGAAACACTCTGTAGAATCTGAAAGTGGATATTTGGAGCTCTTTGAGGGCTATGGCGGAAAAGAAAATATATTCACATTAAACTAGACAGCAGCATTCTCAGAGACTTCTTTAGGATGTTTGCAGTAAACTCACAGAAGTTGAACATACCTTTCCGTAAAGCAGTTTTGAAACCCTCTGTTTGTGGGATCTGCAAGTGGATATTTGGACCGCTTTGAGACCTTTGCTGGAAATGGGAATATCTTCACATATAAACTAGACAGAAGCATTCTCAGAAACTTCTTCGTGATGTGTGCATTCTCCTCCCAAATTTGAATCTTCCTTTTCATGAAGCAGTTTTGAAACACTCCGTTTGTGTAATCTACAATTGGATAACTGGAAGGCTTTGATGCCCATGGTAGAAAAGGAAATAACCTCATATAAAAACTAGACAGAAGGATTCACAGAAAATGCTTTGTGATGTGTGCATTCAAATCACGGAGTTGAATCTTTCTTTTGTTAGAGCAGTTTTGAAACACTGTTTCTGTGGAATCTGCCAGCGGACACTTGGAGCGCTTTGAGGGCTATGGTGGAGAAGGAAATAACTTCCCATAAAAACTAGAAAGAAGCATTCTCAGAACCATTTATGTGAAGCGTGCATTCAACTCACAGAGTTGAACCTTCCTTTTGATAGAACAGTTTTGAAACACTCTTTTGAACAATTGCAGGTGAATATTTGGAGGGCTTTGAAGCCTTTGTTGGAAACGGGAATATCTTCACACACGAACTAGCCAGAAGCATTCCCAGAAACTTCTTTGTGATGTGTGCGTTGAACCCAGAGAGATGAACCTTTCTTTGATAGAGCAGTTTTGAAACGTGTTTTTGTAAGATCGGCAAGCGGATAATTGGCTTCGCTTTGTGTCCTTTGGTGGAAACGGGAATATCTTCTAATAAAAACTAGACAGAAATATTCTCAGAATCTCCTTTGTGATGTGGGCATTCAACTAACACAGTTGAACATTTCTTTTGACACAGCAGTTTTGAAACACACTTTTGGTAGAATCTGCCAGTGGATATTTGGAGCGCTTGGAGGGCTATTGTGCCAATGGAAATATCTGCCCCTGAAATCTGGACAGAAGCATTCTCAGAAACTGCTTCGTGATGTTTGCATTCAACTCACAGAGTTGAACATACGTGTGCATAGAGCAGTTTTGAAAACCTCTTTTTGTAGAATCTGCAAGTGGATATTCGGACCACTTTGAGGCCTTCATAGGAAACAGTAATATCTTCACATAAAAACTAGATAGAAGCATTCTCAGAAAGTTCTTTGTGATGTGTAAATTCAACTCACAGAGTTGAACCTTCGTTTAATAGAGCAGTTTTGAAACACTCTTTTTCTAGAATCTGCAAGTAGATATTTGGAGCGCTTTGAGGCCTTCGTTGGAAACCGGAATATCTTCACACAAAAAGTAGATAGAGGCATGCTCAGAAACTTTTTTGTCATATGTAGATTCAACTCACAGCGTTGAACCTTTCTTTTGATAGAGCAGTTTTGAAAAACTCTTTTATCGAATCTGCAAGTAGACATTTGGAGTGCTTTGAGGGCTTCTGGTGCAAAAGGAAATGTCTTCCCATAGAAACTAGACTGAAAGCATTCTCAGCAACTTCTTGGTGACGTTTGCATTCATCTCACAGTTTTGAACATACCTTTCCATAGAGTGGTTTTGAAACACTGTTTTTGTATAATCGGCAAGTGGATATTTGGACTGCTTTCAGGCCTTCATCGGAAACGGGAATATCTTCACATAAACACTAGAGAGAAGCATTCTCAGAAACTTCTTTGTGGTCTGTCCATTCAACTCACAGAGTTGAACCTTCCTTTTTATGGAGCAGTTTTGAAACCCTGTTTTTGGAGAATCTGCAAGTGGATATTTGGAGCGCTTTGAGGCCTATGGTAGAAAAAGAAATATCTGCCTATGACAACTAGACAGAAGCATTCTGAGAAACTTCTTTGTGATGTTTGCCTTCAACTACCGGAGTTGAACCTTCCTTTTGATAGGGCAGTTTGGAAACACTCTTTTTGTAGAATCTGCATGTGGATATCTGGAGCGATTTGAGGCCTACGGTCCAAAAGGAAATATCTTCCTGGGAAAGATAGACGAAAGCATTCTCAGCAACTGCTTTGTGATATGTGCATTCGACTCACCGAGTTGAAACTTTTTTTTGATAGAGCAGTTTTGAAACACTCTGTAGAATCTGAAAGTGGATATTTGGAGATCTTTGAGGGCTATGGCGGAAAAGAAAGTATATTCACATTAAAGTAGACAGCAGCATTCCAAGAAACTTCCTTAGGATGTTTGCAGTAAACTCACAGAGTTGAGCATTCCTTTCCGTAGAGCAGTTTTGAAACACTCTGTTTGTGGGATCCGCAAGTGGACATTTGGACCGCTTTGAGACCTTTGCTGGAAATGGGAATATCTTCACATATAAACTGGACAGAAGCATTCTCAGAAACTTCTTCATGATGTGTGCATTCTCCTCGCGAATTTGAATCTTCCTTTTCATGAAGCAGTTTTGAAACACTCTGTTTGTGCAATCCACAATTGGATAATTGGAACGCTTTGATGCCCATGGTAGAAAAGGAAATATCCTCATATAAAAACTAGACAGAAGGATTCACAGAAAATGCTTTGTGATGTGTGCATTCAAATCACGGAGTTCAATCTTTCTTTTGTTAGAGCAGTTTTGAAACACTGTTTCTGTGGAATCTGCCATCGGACACTTGGAGCGCTTTGAGGGCTGTGGTGGAGAAGGAAATATCTTCCCATAAAAACTAGAAAGAAGCATTCTCATAAACATTTATGTGAAGCGTGCATTCAACTCACAGAGTTGAACCTTCGTTTTGATAGAACAGTTTGGAAACACTCTTTTGAACAATTGCAGGTGAATCTTTGGAGCGCTTTGAAGCCTTTGTTGGAAATGGGAATATCTTCACACACAAACTAGCCAGAAGCATTCTCAGAAAGTTCTTTGTGATGTGTGCGTTGAACCCAGAGAGATGAACCTTTCCTTGGATAGAGCAGTTTTGAAACGTGTTTTTGTAAGATCTGCAAGTGGATAATTGGCTTCGCTTTGTGTCCTTTGGTGGAAACGGGAATATCTTCTAATAAAAACTAGACAGAAATATTCTCAGAATCTCCTTTGTGATGTGGGCATTCAACTAACACAGTTGAACATTTCTTTTCACAGAGCAGTTTTGAAACACTCTTTTGGGAGAATCTGCCAGTGGATATTTGGAGCGCTTGGAGGGCTATTGTGCCAATGGAAATATCTGCCCCTGAAAACTAGACAGAAGCTTTCTCAGAAACTACATAGTGATGTTCGCATTCGACTCACAGAGTTGAACATACCTCTTCATAGAGCAGTTTTTAAAACCTTTTTTGTAGAACCTGAAAGTGGATATTCGGACCACTTTGAAGCCTTCATAGGAAACAGTAATATCTTCACATAAAACCTAGATAGAAGCATTGTCAGAAACTTCTTTGTGATGTGTGAATTCAACTCACAGAGTTGAACCTTCCTTTAATAGAGCAGTTGTGAAACACTCTTTTTCTAGAATCTGCAAGTAGATATTTGGAGCGCTTTGAGGCCTTCGTTGGAAACCGGAATATCTTCACAGGAAAAGTAGATAGAGGCATTCTCAGAAACTTGTTTTGTGATATGTAGATTCAACTCACAGCGTTGAACCTTTCTTTGGATGGAGCAGTTTTGAAAACCTCTTTTATCGAATCTGCAGGTAAACATTTGGGGTGCTTTGAGGGCTGCGGTGCAAAAGGAAATGTCTTCCCATAGAAACTAGACTGAAGCATTCTCAGCAACTTCTTCGTGAGGTTTGCATTCATTTCACAGTGTTGAGCATACCTTTCCACAGAGTAGTTTTGAAACACTATTTTTGTAGAATTTGCAACTGGATATTTGGACTGCTTTGAGGCCTTCATCGGAAACGGGAATATCTTCACATAAACACTAGACAGAAGCATTCTCAGAAACTTCTTTGTGATCTGTCCATTCAACTCACAGAGTTGAACCTTCCTTTTTATGGAGCAGCTTTGAAACACTGTTTTTGGAGAATCTGCAAGTGGATATTCGGAGCGGTTTGAGGCCTATGGTAGAAAAAGAAACATCTGCCTCTAAAAACTAGACTGAAGCATTCTGAGAAACTTCTTTGTGATGTTTGCATTCAACTACCAGAGTTGAACCTTCCTTTTGATTGCGCAGTTTGGAAACACTCTTTTTGTAGAATCTGCATGTGGATATCTGGAGCGATTTGAGGCCTACGGTCAAAAAGGAAATATCTTCCTGGGAAAAATAGACGAAATCATTCTCAGAAACTACTTTGTGTTATGAGCATTCAACTCACAGAGTTGAACCTTTTTTTTGATAGAGCAGTTTTGAAACACTCTGTAGAATCTGAAAGTGGATATTTGGAGCTCTTTGAGGGCTATGGTGGAAAAGAAAATATATTCACATTAAACTAGACAGCAGCATTCTCAGTAACTTCTTTAGGATGTTTGCAGTAAACTCACAGAGTTGAACATAACTTTCCGTAGAGCAGTTTTGAAACACTCTGTTTGTGGGATCCGCAAGGGGATATTTGGACCGCTTTGAGACCTTTGCTGGAAATGGGAATATCTTCACATATAAACTAGACAGAAGCATTCTCAGAAACTTCTTCGTGATGTGTGCATTCTACTCCCAAATTTGAAACTTCCTTTTCATGAAGCAGTTTTGAAACACTCTATTTGTGCATTCTACAATTGGATGATTGGAACGCTTTGATGCCCATGGTAGAAAAGGAAATATCCTCATATAAAAACTAGACAGAAGGATTCACAAAAAATGCTTTGTGATGTGTGCATTCAAATCACGGAGTTGAATCTTTCTTTTGTTAGAGCAGTTTTGAAACACTGTTTCTGTGGAATCTGCCAGCGGACACTTGGAGCGCTTTGAGGGCTGTGGTGGAGAAGGAAATATCTTCCCATAAAAACTAGAAAGAAGCATTCTCAGAAACATTTATGTGAAGCGTGCTTTCAACTCACAGAGTTGAACCTTCCTTTTGATACAACAGTTTTGAAACACCCTTTTGAACAATTGCAGGTGAATCTTTGGAGCGCTTTGAAGCCTTTGTTGGAAATGGGAATATCTTCACACACAAACTAGCCAGAAGCATTCTCAGAAACTTCTTTGTGATGTGTGCGTTGAACCCAGAGAGATGAACCTTTCCTTGGATAGAGCACTTTTGAAACGTGTTTTTGTAAGATCTGCAAGCGGATAATTGGCTTCGCTTTGTGTCCTTTGGTGGAAACGGGAATATCTTCTAATAAAAACTAGACAGAAATATTCTCAGAATCTCCTTTGTGATGTGGGCATTCAACTAACACAGTTGAACATTTCTTTTCACAGAGCAGTTTTGAGACACTCTTTTGGTAGAATCTGCCAGTGGATATTTGGAGCGCTTTGAGGGCTGTTGTGCCAATGGAAATATCTGCCCCTAAAATCTAGACAGAAGCATTCTCAGAAACTACTTCGTGATGTTTGCATTCAACACACAGAGTTGAACATACCTCTTCACAGAGCAGTTTTGAAAACCTCTTTCTGTAGAATCTGCAAGTGATATTCGGACCACTTTGAGGCCTTCATAGGAAACAGTAATATCTTCACATAAAAACTAGATAGAAGCATTGTCAGAAAGTTCTTTGTGATGTGTGAATTGAAATCACAGAGTTGAACCTTCCTTTAATAGAGCAGTTTTGAAACACTCTTTTTCTAGAATCTGCAAGTAGATATTTGGAGAGCTTTGAGGCCTTCGTTGGAAACCGGAATATCTTCACATAAAAAGTAGATAGAGGCATTCTCAGAAACTTTTTTGTGATATGTAGATTCAACTCACAGCGTTGAACCTTTCTTTGGATGGAGCAGTTTTGAAAAACTCTTTTATCGAATCTGCAGGTAGACATTTGGGGTGCTTTGAGGGCTGTGGCGCAAAGGGAAATGTCTTCCCATAGAAACTAGACTGAAGCATTCTCAGCAACTTCTTTGTGACGTTTGCATTCATCTCACAGTGTTGAACATACCTTTCCATAGAGTAGTTTTGAAACACTGTTTTTGTAGAATCGGCCAGTGGATATTTGGACTGCTTTGAGGCCTTCATCGGAAACGGGAATATCTTCACATAAACACTAGAGAGAAGCATTCTCAGAAACTTCTTTGTCATCTGTCCATTCAACTCACAGAGTTGAACCTTCCTTTTTATGGAGCAGTTTTGAAACACTCCTTTTGGAGAATCTGCAAGTGGATATTTGGAGCGCTTTGAGGCCTATGGTAGAAAAAGGAATATCTGCCTCTGAAAACCAGACAGAAGCATTCCGAGAAACTTCTTTGTGATGTTTGCATTCAACTAGCAGAGGTGAACCTTCCTTTTGATAGGGCAGTTTGGAAACACTCTTTTTGTAGAATCTGCATGTGGATATCTTGAGCGGTTTGAGGCCTACGGTCAAAAAGGAAATATCTTCCTGGGAAAAATAGACGAAAGCATTCTCAGAAAGGGCTTTGTGATATGCGCATTCGACTCACCGAGTTGAAACTTTTTTTTGATACAGCAGTTTTGAAACACTCTGTAGAACCTGAAAGTGGATATTTGGAACTCTTTGAGGGCTATGACGGAAAAGAAAATATATTCACATTAAAGTAGACAGCAGCATTCTCAGAAACTTCTTTAGGATGTTTGCAGTAAACTCACAGAGTTGAACATACCTTTCCGAAGAGCAGTTTTGAAACACTCTGTTTGTGGGATCCGCAAGTGGATATTTGGACCGCTTTGAGACCTTTGCTGGAAATGGGAATATCTTCACATATAAACTAGACAGAAGCATTCTCAAAAACTTCTTCGTGATGTGTGCATTCTACTCCCAAATTTGAATCTTCCTTTTCATGAAGCAGTTTTGAAACACTCTATTTCTGCAATCTACAATTGGATAATTGGAACGCTTTGATGCCCAAGGTAGAAAAGGAAATATCCTCATATAAAAACTTGACAGAAGGATTCACAGAAAATGCTTTGTGATGTGTGCATTCAAATCACGGGGTTGAATCTTTCTTTTGTTAGAGCCGTTTTGAAACACTGTTTCTGTGGAATCTGCCAGCGGACACTTGGAGCGCTTTGAGGGCCATGGTGGAGAAGGAAATATCTTTCCATAAAAACTAAAAAGAAGCATTCTCAGAAACATTTATGTGAAGCGTGTATTCAACTCACAGAGTTGAACCTTCCTTTTGATAGAACAGTTTTGAAACACTCTTTTGAACAATTGCAGGTGAATCTTTGGAGCGCTTTGAAGCCTTTGTTGGAAATGGGAATATCTTCACACACAAACTAGCCAGAAGCATTCTGAGAAACTTCTTTGTGATGTGTGCGTTGAACCCAGAGAGATGAACGTTTCCTTTGATAGAGCAGTTTTGAAACGTGTTTTTTTAAGATCTGCAAGCGGATAATTGGCTTCGCTTTGTGTCCTTTGGTGGAAACGGGAATATCTTCTAATAAAAACTAGACAGAAATATTCTCAGAATCTCCTTTGTGATGTGGGCATTTAACTAACACAGTTGAACATTTCTTTTCACAGAGCAGTTTTGAGACACTCTTTTGGTAGAATCTGCCAGTGGATATTTGGAGCGCTTTGAGGGCTGTTGTGCCAATGGAAATATCTGCCCCTAAAATCTAGACAGAAGCATTCTCAGAAACTACTTCGTGATGTTTGCATTCAACACACAGAGTTGAACATACCTCTTCACAGAGCAGTTTTGAAAACCTCTTTCTGTAGAATCTGCAAGTGGATATTCGGACCACTTTGAGGTCATCATAGGAAACAGTAATATCTTCACATAAAAACTAGATAGAAGCATTGTCAGAAAGTACTTTGTGATGTGTGAATTCAACTCACAGAGTTGAACCTTCCTTTAATAGAGCAGTTGTGAAACACTCTTTTTCTAGAATCTGCAAGTAGATATTTGGAGCGCTTTGAGGCCTTCGTTGGAAACCGGAATATCTTCACAGGAAAATTAGATAGAGGCATTCTCAGAAACTTTTTTGTGATATGTAGATTCAACTCACAGTGTTGAACCTTTCTTTGGATGGAGCAGTTTTGAAAAACTCTTTTATCGAATCTGCAGGTAGACATTTGGGGTGCTTTGAGGGCTCTGGTGCAAAAGGAAAAGTCTTCCCATAGAAACTAGACTGAAGCATTCTCAGCAACTTCTTGGTGACGTTTGCATTCATCTCACAGTGTTGAACATACCTCTCCATAGAGTGGTTTTGAAACACTGTTTTTGTAGTATCGGCAAGTGGATATTTGGACTGCTTTGAGGCCTTCATCGGAAACGGGAATATCTTCACATAAACACTAGAGAGAAGCATTCTCAGAAACTTCTTTGTCATCTGTCCATTCAACTCACAGAGTTGAACCTTCCTTTTTATGGAGCAGATTTGAAACACTCCTTTTGGAGAATCTGCAAGTGGATATTTGGAGCGCTTTGAGGCCTATGGTAGAAAAAGAAATATCTGCTTCTAAAAACCAGACAGAAGCATTCCGAGAAACTTCTCTGTGATGTTTGCATTCAAGTAGCAGAGTTGAACCTTCCTTTTGATAGGGCAGTTTGGAAACACTCTTTTTGTAGAATCTGCATGTGGATATCTGGAGCGGTTTGAGGCCTACGGTCAAAAAGGAAATATCTTCCTGGGAAAAATAGACGAAAGCATTCTCAGAAAGGGCTTTGTGATATGCGCATTCGACTCACCGAGTTGAAACTTTTTTTTGATACAGCAGTTTTGTAACACTCTGTAGAATCTGAAAGTGGATATTTGGAGCTCTTTGAGGGCTATGGCGGAAAAGAAAATATATTCACATTAAAGTTGACAGCAGCATTCTCAGAAACTTCTTTAGGATGTTTGCAGTAAACTCAAGGAATTGAACATACCTTTCCGTAGAGCAGTTTTGAAACACTCTGTTTGTGGGATCCGCAAGTGGATATTTGGACAGCTTTGAGACCTTTGCTGGAAATGGGAAAATCTTCACATATAAACTAGACAGAAGCATTCTCAGAAACTTCTTCGTGATGTGTGCATTCTCCTCCCGAATTTGAATCTTCCTTTTCCTGAAGCAGTTTTGAAACACTCTGTTTGTGCAATCCACAATTGGATAATTGGAACGCTTTGATGCCCATGGTAGAAAAGGAAATATCCTCATATAAAAACTAGACAGAAGGATTCACAGAAAATGCTTTGTGATGTGTGCATTCAAATCACGGAGGTGAATCTTTGTTTTGTTAGAGCAGTTTTGAAACACTGTTTCTGTGGAATCTGCCAGCGGACACTTGGAGCGCTTTGAGGGCTATGGTGGAGAAGGAAATGTCTTCACATAAAAACTAGAAAGAAGCATTCTCAGAAACATGTATGTGAAGCGTGCATTCAACTCACAGAGTTGAACCTTCCTTTTGATACAACAGTTTTGAAACACTCTTTTGAACAATTGCAGGTGAATCTTTGGAGCGCTTTGAAGCCTTTGTTGGAAATGGGAATATCTTCACACACAAACTAGCCAGAAGCATTCTCAGAAACTTCTTTGTGATGTGTGCGTTGAACCCAGAGAGATGAACCTTTCCTTTGATAGAGCAGTTTTGAAACGTGTTTTTGTAAGATCTGCAAGGGGATAATGGGCTTCGCTTTGTGTCCTTTGGTGGAAACGGGAATATCTTCTAATAAAAACTAGACAGAAAATATTCTCAGTATCTCCTTTGTGATGTGGGCATTCAACTAACACAGTTGAACATTTCTTTTCACAGAGCAGTTTTGAAACACTCTTTTGGTAGAATCTGCCAGTGGATATTTGGAGCGCTTGGAGGGCTATTGTGCCAATGGAAATATCTGCCCCTGAAAACTAGACAGAAGCATTCTCAGAAACTACTTCGTCATGTCTGCATTCAACACACAGAGTTGAACATACCTCTTCACAGAGCAGTTTTGAAAACCTCTTTCTGTAGAATCTGCAAGTGGATATTCGGACCACTTTGAGGCCTTCATAGGAAACAGTAATATCTTCACATAAAAACTAGATAGAGGCATTCTCAGAAAGTTTTTTGTGATATGTAGATTCAACTCACAGCATTGAACCTTTCTTTGGATGGAGCAGTTTTGAAAAACCCTTTTATCGAATCTGCAGGTAGACATTTGGGGTGCTTTGAGGGCTGTGGTGCAAAAGGAAATGTCTTCCCATAGAAACTAGACTGAAAGCATTCTCAGCAACTTCTTTGTGACGTTTGCATTCATCTCACAGTGTTGAACATACCTTTCCATAGAGTAGTTTTGAGACACTATTTTTGTAGAATCTGCAAGTGGATATTTGGACTGCTTTGAGGCCTTCATCGGAGACGGGAATATCTTCACATAAACACTAGGCAGAAGCATTCTCAGAAACTACTTTGTGATCTGTCCATTCAACTCACAGAGTTGAACCTTCCTTTTTATGGAGCAGTTTTGAAACACTGTTTTTGGAGAATCTGCAAGTGGATATTTGGAGCGCTTTGAGGCTTATGGTAGAAAAAGAAATATCTGCCTCTAAAAACTAGACAGAAGCATTCTGAGAAACTTCTTTGTGATGTTTGCATTCAACTACCAGAGTTGAATCTTCCTTTTGATAGGGCAGTTTGGAAACACTCTTTTTGTAGAATCTGCATGTGGATATCTGGAGCGATTTGAGGCCTATGGTCAAAAAGGAAATATCTTGCCTGGGAAAAATAGACGAAAGCATTCTCAGAAACTGCTTCGTGATATGTGCATTCGACTCACCGAGTTGAAACTTTTTTTTGATAGAGCAGTTTTGAAACACCCTGTAGAATCTGAAAGTGGATATTTGGAGCTCTTTGAGGGCTATGGCGGAAAAGAAAAGATATTCACATTAAGCTAGACAGCAGCATTCTCAGAAACCTCTTTAGGATGTTTGCAGTAAACTCACAGAGTTGAACATACCTTTCCTTAGAGCAGTTTTGAAACACTCTGTTTGTGGGATCCGCAAGTGGATATTTGGACCGCTTTGAGACCTTTGCTGGAAATGGGAATATCTTCACATATAAACTAGACAGAAGCATTCTCAGAAACTTCTTCGTGATGTGTGCATTCTCCTCCCGAATTTGAATCTTCCTTTTCATGAAGCAGTTTTGAAACACTCTGTTTGTGCAATCCACAATTGGATAATTGGAACGCTTTGATGCCCATGGTAGAAAAGGAAATATCCTCATATAAAAATTAGACAGAAGGATTCACAGAAAATGCTTTGTGATGTGTGCATTCAGATCACGGAGTTGAATCTTTCTTTTGTTAGAGCAGTTTTGAAACACCGTTTCTGTGGAATCTGCCAGCGGACACTTGGAGCGCTTTGAGGGCTATGGTGGAGAAGGAAATATCTTCACATAAAAACTAGAAAGAAGCATTCTCAGAAACATTTATGTGAAGCGTGCATTCAACTCACAGAGTTGAACCTTCGTTTTGATAGAACAGTTTTGAAACACTCTTTTGAACAATTACAGGTGAATCTTTGGAGCGCTTTGAAGCCTTTGTTGGAAATGGGAATATCTTCACACACAAACTAGCCAGAAGCATTCTCAGAAACTTCTTTGTGATGTGTGCGTTGAACCCAGAGAGATGAACCTTTCCTTGGATAGAGCAGTTTTGAAACGTGTTTTTGTAAGATCTGCAAGCGGATAATTGGCTTCGCTTTGTGTCCTTTGGTGGAAACAGGAATATCTTCTAATAAAAGCTAGACAGAAATATTCTCAGAATCTCCTTTGTGATGTGGGCATTCAACTAACACAATTGAACATTTCTTTTCACAGAGCAGTTTTGAAACACAGTTTTGGTAGAATCTGCCAGTGGATATTTGGAGCACTTGGAGGGCTACTGTGCCAATGGAAATATCTGCCCCTGAAAATTAGACAGAAGCATTCTCAGAAACTACATTCTGATGTTTGCATTCGACTCACAGAGTTGAACATACCTCTTCATAGAGCCGTTTTGAAAACCTTTTTTGTAGAATCTGAAAGTGGATATTCGGACCACTTTGAGGCCTTCATAGGAAACAGTAATATCTTCACATAAAAACTAGATAGAAGCATTGTCAGAAAGTTCTTGGTGATGTGTGAATTCAACTCACAGAGTTGAACCTTCCTTTAATAGAGCAGTTTTGAAACACTCTTTTTCTAGAATCTGCAAGTAGATACTTGGAGCGCTTTGAGGCCTTCGTTGGAAACCGGAATATCTTCACAGGAAAAGTAGATAGAGGCATTCTCAGAAACTTTTTTGTGATATGTAGATTCAACTCACAGCGTTGAACCTTTCTTTTGATAGAGCAGTTTTGAAAAACTCTTTTATCGAATCTGCAAGTAGACATTTGGAGTGCTTTGAGGGCTGTGGTGCAAAAGGAAATGTCTTCCCATAGAAACTAGACTGAAGCATTCTCAGCAACTTCTTTGTGACGTTTGCATTCATCTCACAGGGTTGAACATACCTTTGCATAGAGTAGTTTTGAAACACTGTTTTTGTAGAATCTGCAAGTGGATATTTGGACTGCTTTGAGGCCTTCATCGGAAACGGGAATATCTTCACATAAACACTAGACAGAAGCATTCTCAGAAACTTCTTTGTGATCTGTCCATTCAACTCACAGAGTTGAACCTTCCTTTTTATGGAGCAGTTTTGAATCACTGTTTTTGGAGAATCTGCAAGTGGATATTTCGAGCGCTTTGAGGCCTATGGTAGAAAAAGAAATATCTGCCTCTAAAAACCAGACAGAAGCATTCCGAGAAACTTCTCTGTGATGTTTGCATTGAACTAGCAGAGTTGAACCTTCCTTTTGATAGGGCAGTTTGGAAACACTCTTTTTGTAGAATCTGCATGTGGATATCTGGAGCGGTTTGAGGCCTACGGTCAAAAAGGAAATATCTTCCTGGGAAAAATAGACGAAATCATTCTCAGAAACTACTTTGTGTTATGTGCATTCAACTCACAGAGTTGAACCTTTTTTTTGATAGAGCAGTTTTGAAACACTCTGTAGAATCTGAAAGTGGATATTTGGAGCTCTTTGAGGGCTATGGTGGAAAAGAAAATATATTCACATTAAACTAGACAGAAGCATTCTCAGTAACTTCTTTAGGATGTTTGCAGTAAACTCACAGAGTTGAACATACCTTTCCGTAGAGCAGTTTTGAAACACTCTGTTTGTGGGATCCGCAAGGGGATATTTGGACCGCTTTGAGACCTTTGCTGGAAATGGGAATATCTTCACATATAAACTAGACAGAAGCATTCTCAGAAACTTCTTCGTGATGTGTGCATTCTCCTCCCAAATTTGAATCTTCCTTTTCATGAAGCAGTTTTGAAACACTCTGTTTGTGCAATCCACAATTGGATAATTGGAACGCTTTGATGCCCATGGTAGAAAAGGAAATATCCTCATATAAAAACTAGACAGAAGGATTCACAGAAAATGCTTTGTGATGTGTGCATTCAAATCATGGAGTTGAATCTTTCTTTTGTCAGAGCAGTTTTGAAACACTGTTTCTGTGGAATCTGCCAGCGAACACTTGGAGCGCTTTGAGGGCTATGGTGGAGAAGGAAATATCTTCCCATAAAAACTAGAAAGAAGCATTCTCAGAAACATTTATGTGAAGCATGCATTCAACTCACAGAGTTGAACCTTCCTTTTGATAGAACAGTTTTGAAACACTCTTTTGAACAATTGCAGGTGAATCTTTGGAGCGCTTTGAAGCCTTTGTTGGAAATGGGAATATCTTCACACACAAACTAGCCAGAAGCATTCTCAGAAACTTCTTTGTGATGTGTGCGTTGAACCCAGCAGAGATGAACCTTTCCTTGGATAGAGCAGTTTTGAAACGTGTTTTTGTAAGATCTGCAAGCGGATAATTGGCTTCGCTTTGTGTCCTTTGGTGGAAACGGGAATATCTTCTAATAAAAACTAGACAGAAATATTCTCAGAATCTTCTTTGTGATGTGGGCATTCAACTAACACAGTTGAACATTTCTTTTCACAGAGCAGTTTTGAAACACTCTTTTGGTAGAATCTGCCAGTGGATATTTGGAGCGCTTTGAAGACTATTGTGCCAATGGAAATATCTGCCCCTAAAAACTAGACAGAAGCATTCTCAGAAACTACTTCGTGATGTTTGCATTCAACACACAGAGTTGAACATACCTCTTCACAGAGCAGTTTTGAAAACCTCTTTCTGTAGAATCTGCAAGTGGATATTCGGACCACTTTGAGGCCTTCATAGGAAACAGTAATATCTTCACATAAAAACTACATAGAAGCATTGTCAGAAAGTTCTTTGTGATGTGTGAATTCAACTCACAGAGTTGAACCTTCCTTTAATAGAGCAGTTTTGAAACACTCTTTTTCTAGAATCTGCAAGTAGATATTTGGAGCGCTTTGAGGCCTTCGATGGAAACCGGAATATCTTCACAGGAAAAGTAGATAGAGGCATTCTCACGAAACTTTTTTGTGATATGTAGATTCAACTCACAGCGTTGAACCTTTCTTTGGATGGAGCAGTTTTGAAAAACTCTTTTATCGAATCTGCAGGTAGACATTTGGGGTGCTTTGAGGGCTGTGGTGCAAAAGGAAATGTCTTCCAATAGAAACTAGACTGAAGCATTCTCAGCAACTTCTTTGTGACGTTTGCATTCATCTCACAGTGTTGAACATACCTTTCCATCGAGTACTTTTGAAACACTGTTTTTGTAGAATCTGCAAGTGGATATTTGGACTGCTTTGAGGCCTTCATCGGAAACGGGAATATCTTCACATAAACACTAGAGAGAAGCATTCTCAGAAACTTCTTTGTGGTCTGTCCATTCAACTCACAGTGTTGAACCTTCCTTTTTATGGAGCAGTTTTGAAACCCTGTTTTTGGAGAATCTGCAAGTGGATATTTGGAGCGCTTTGAGGCCTATGGTAGAAAAAGAAATATCTGCCTATGACAACTAGACAGAAGCATTCTGAGAAACTTCTTTGTGATGTTTGCATTCAACTAGCAGAGTTGAACCTTCCTTTTGATAGGGCAGTTTGGAAACACTCTTTTTGTAGAATCTGCATGTGGATATCTGGAGCGGTTTGAGGCCTACGGTCAAAAAGGAAATATCTTCCTGGGAAAAATAGACGAAAGCATTCTCAGAAAGTGCTTTGTGATATGTGCATTCGACTCACCGAGTTGAAACTTTTTTTTGATAGAGCAGTTTTGAAACACTCTGTAGAATCTGAAAGTGGATATTTGGAGCTCTTTGAGGGCTATGGCAGAAAAGAAAATATATTCACATTAAAGTAGACAGCAGCATTCTCAGAAACTTCTTTAGGATGTTTGCAGTAAACTCACAGAGTTGAACATACCTTTCCAAAGAGCAGTTTTGAAACACTCTGTTTGTGGGATCCGCAAGTGGATATTTGGGCCGCTTTGAGACCTTTGCTGGAAATGGGAATATCTTCACATATAAACTACACAGAAGCATTCTCAGAAACTTCTTCGTGATGTGTGCATTCTACTCCCAAATTTGAATCTTCCTTCTCATGAAGCAGTTTTGAAACACTCTGTTTGTGCAATCTACAATTGGATAATTGGAACGCTTTGATGCCCATGGTAGAAAAGGAAATATCCTCATATAAAAACTAGACAGAAGGATTCACAGAAAATGCTTTGTGATGTGTGCATTCAAATCACGGTGTTGAATCTTATTTTGTTAGAGCAGTTTTGAAACACTGTTTCTGTGGAATCTGCCCGCGGACACTTGGAGCGCTTTGAGGGCTGTGGTGGAGAAGGGAATATCTTCCCATAAAAACTAGAAAGAAGCATTCTCAGAAACATTTATGTGAAGCGTGCATTCAACTCACAGAGTTGAACCTTCCTTTTGATACAACAGTTTTGAAACACTCTTTGGAACAATTGCAGGTGAATCTTTGGAGCGCTTTGAAGCCTTTGTTGGAAATGGGAATATCTTCACACACAAACTAGCCAGAAGCATTCTCAGAAAATTCTTTGTGATGTGTGCGTTGAACCCAGAGAGATGAACCTTTCCTTTGATAGAGCAGTTTTGAAGCGTGTTTTTGTAAGATCGGCAAGCGGATAATTGGCTTCGCTTTGTGTCCTTTGGTGGAAACGGGAATATCTTCTAATAAAAACTAGACAGAAATATTCTCAGAATCTTCTTTGTGATGTGGGCATTCAACTAACACAGTTGAACCTTTCTTTTCACAGAGCAGTTTTGAAACAACCTTTTGGTAGAATCTGCCAGTGGATATTTGGAGCGCTTTGAGGGCTATTGTGCCAACGGAAATATCTGCCCCTAAAAACTAGACAGAAGCATTCTCTGAAACTACTTTGTGATGTTTGCATTCAACTCACAGAGTTGAACATACCTCTTCATAGAGCAGTTTTGAAAACCTCTTTTTGTAGAATCTGCAAGTGGATATTCGGACCACTTTGAGGCCTTCATAGGAAACAGTAATACCTTCACATAAAAACTAGATAGAAGCATAGTCAGAAAGTTCTTTGTGATGTGTGAATTCAAATCACAGAGTTGAACCTTCCTTTAATAGAGCAGTTTTGAAACACTCTTTTTCTAGAATCTGCAAGTAGATATTTGGAGCGCTTTGAGGCCTTCGTTGGAAACCGGAATATCCTCACATAAAAAGCAGATAGAGGCATTCTCAGAAACTTTTTCGTGATATGTGGATTCAACTCACAGCGTTGAACCTTTCTTTTGATAGAGCAGTTTTGTAAAACTCTTTTATCGAATCTGCAAGTAGACATTTGGAGTGCTTTGAGGGTTGTGGTGCAAAAGGAAATGTCTTCCCATAGGAACTAGACTGAAGCATTCTCAGCAACTTCTTGGTGACGTTTGCATTCATCTCACAGTGTTGAACATACCTTTCCATAGAGTGGTTTTGAAACACTGTTTCTGTAGAATCGGCAAGTGGATATTTGGACTGCTTTGAGGCCTTCATCGGAAATGGGAATATCTTCACATAAACACTAGAGAGAAGCATTCTCAGAAACTTCTTTGTGATCTGTCCATTCAACTCACAGAGTTGAACCTTCCTTTTTATGGAGCAGTTTTGAAACACTCTTTTTGGAGAATCTGCAAGTGGATATTTGGAGCGCTTTGAGGCCTATGGTAGAAAAAGAAATATCTGCCTCTAAAAACCAGACAGAAGCATTCCGAGAAACTTCTCTGTGATGTTTGCATTCAACTAGCAGAGTTGAACCTTCCTTTTGATAGGGCAGTTTGGAAACACTCTTTTGTAGAATCTGCATGTGGATATCTGGAGCGGTTTGAGGCCTACGGTCAAAAAGGCAATATCTTCCTGGGAAAAATAGACGAAAGCATTCTCAGAAACTGCTTTGTGATATGTGCATTCCAGTCACCGAGTTGAAACTTTTTTTTGATAGAGCAGTTTTGAAACACTCTGTAGAATCTGAAAGTGGATATTTGGATCTCTTTGAGGGCTATGGCGGAAAAGAAAATATATTCACATTAAAGTAGACAGCAGCATTCCCAGAAACTTCTTTAGGATGTTTGCAGTAAACTCACAGAGTTGAACATACCTTTCCGTAGAGCAGTTTTGAAACACTCTGTTTGTGGGATCCGCAAGTGGATATTTGGACCGCTTTGAGACCTTTGCTGGAAACGGGAATATCTTCACATATCAACTAGACAGAAGCATTCTCAGAAACTTCTTCGTGATGTGTGCATTCTACTCCCGAATTTGAATCTTCCTTTTCATGAAGCAGTTTTGAAACACTCTGTTTGTGCAATCCACAAGTGGATAATTGGAACGCTTTGATGCCCATGGTAGAAAAGGAAATATCCTCATATAAAAATTAGACAGAAGGATTCACAGAAAATGCTTTGTGATGTGTGCATTCGAATCACGGAGTTGAATCTTTCTTTTGTTAGAGCAGTTTTGAAACACAGTTTCTGTGGAATCTGCCAGCGGACACTTGGAGCGCTTTGAGGTCTATGGTGGAGAAGGAAATATCTTCCCATAAAAACTAGAAAGAAGCATTCTCAGAACCATTTATGTGAAGCGTGCATTCAACTCACAGAGTTGAACCTTCCTTTTGATAGAACAGTTTTGAAACACTCTTTTGAACAATTGCAGGTGAATATTTGGAGGGCTTTGAAGCCTTTGTTGGAAACGGGAATATTCTTCACACACGAACTAGCCAGAAGCATTCTCAGAAACTTCTTTGTGATGTGTGCGTTGAACCCAGAGAGATGAACCTTTCCTTTGATAGAGCAGTTTTGAAACGTGTTTTTGTAAGATCTGCAAGCGGATAATTGGCTTCGCATTGTGTCCTTTGGTGGAAACGGGAATATCTTCTAATAAAAACTAGACAGAGATATTCTCAGAAACTTCTTTGTGATGTGGGCATTCAACTAACACAGTTGAACATTTCTTTTCACAGAGCAGTTTTGAAACACTCTTTTGGTCGAATCTGCCAGTGGATATTTGGAGCGCTTTGAGGGCTATTGTGCCAATGGAAATATCTGCCCCTAAAAACTAGACAGAAGCATTCTCAGAAACTACTTCGTGATGTTTGCATTCAACACACAGAGTTGAACATACCTCTTCACAGAGCAGTTTTGAAAACCTCTTTCTGTAGAATCTGCAAGTGGATATTTGGACCACTTTGAGGCCTTCTTAGGAAACAGTAATATCTTCACATAAAAACTAGATAGAAGCATTGTCAGAAAGTTCTTTGTGATGTGTGAATTCAACTCACAGAATTGAACCTTCCTTTAATAGAGCAGTTTTGAAACACTCTTTTTCTAGAATCTGCCAGTAGATATTTGGAGCGCTTTGAGGCCTTCGTTGGAAACCGGAATATCTTCACATAAAACGTAGATAGAGGCATTCTCAGAAACTTTTTCGTGATATGTGGATTCAACTCACAGCGTTGAACCTTTCTTTTGATAGAGCAGTTTTGTAAAACTCTTTTATCGAATCTGCAAGTAGACATTTAGAGTGCTTTGAGGGCTGTGGTGCAAAAGGAAATGTCTTCCCATAGAAACTAGACTGAAGCATTCTCAGCAACTTCTTTGTGACGTTTGCATTCATCTCACAGTGTTGAACATACCTTTCCATACAGTAGTTTTGAAGCACTATTTTTGTAGAATCTCCAAGTGGATATTTGGACTGCTTTGAGGCCTTCATCGGAAACGGGAATATCTTCACATAAACACTAGACAGAAGCATTCTCAGAAACTTCTTTGTGATCTGTCCATTCAACTCACAGAGTTGAACCTTCCTTTTTATGGAGCAGTTTTGAAACACTGTTTTTGGAGAATCTTCAAGTAGATATTTGGAGCGCTTTGTGGCCTATGGTAGAAAAAGAAATATCTGCCTATAACAACTAGACAGAGGCATTCTCAGAAACTTCTTTGTGATGTTTGCATTCAACTCACAGAGTTGAACATACCTCTTCATAGAGCAGTTTTGAAAACCTCTTTTTGTAGAATCTGCAAGTGGATATTTGGACCACTTTGAGGCCTTCATAGAAAACAGTAATATCTTCACATAAAAACTAGATGGAAGCATTCTCAGAAACTGCTTTGTGATATGTGCATTCGACTCACCGAGTTGAAACTTTTTTTGGATAGAGCACTTTTGAAACACTCTGTAGAATCTGAAAGTGGATATTTGGAGCTCTTTGAGGGCTATGGCGGAAAAGAAAAGATATTCACATTAAACTAGACAGCAGCATTCCCAGAAACTTCTTTAGGATGTTTGCAGTAAACTCACAGAGTTGAACATACCTTTCCGTAGAGCAGTTTTGAAACACTCTGTTTGTGGGATCCGCAAGTGGATATTTGGACCCCTTTGAGACCTTTGCTGGAAACGGGAATATCTTCACACATAAACTAGACAGAAGCATTCTCAGAAACTTCTTCGTGATTTGTGCATTGTACTCCCAAATTTGAATCTTCCTTCCCAAGGAGCAGTTTTGAAACACTCTGTTTGTGCAATCTACAATTGGAGAATTGGAACGCTTGGATGCCCGTGGTAGAAAAGGAAATATCCTCATATAAAAACTAGACAGAAGGATTCACAGAAAATGCTTTGTGATGTGTGCATTCAGATCACGGAGTTGAATCTTTCTTTTGTTAGAGCAGTTTTGAAACACTGTTTCTGTGGAATCTGTCAGCAGACACTTGGAGTGCTTTGAGGGCTATGGTGGAGAAGGAAATATCTTCACATAAAAACTAGAAAGAAGCATTCTCAGAAACATTTATGTGAAGCTTGCATTCAACTCACAGAGTTGAACCTTCCCTTTGATACAACAGTTTTGAAACACCCTTTTGAACAATTGCAGGTGAATCTTTGGAGCGCTTTGAAGCCTTTGTTGGAAATGGGAATATCTTCACACACAAACTAGCCAGAAGCATTCTCAGAAACTTCTCGTGATGTGTGCGTTGAACCCAGAGAGATGAACCTTTCCTATGATAGAGCAGTTTTGAAACGTGTTTTTGTAAGATCTGCAAGCGGATAATTGGCTTCGCTTTGTGTCCTTTGGTGGAAACGGGAATATCTTCTAATAAAAACTAGACAGAGATATTCTCAGAAACTTCTTTGTGATGTGGGCATTCAACTAACACAGTTGAACATTGCTTTTCACAGAGCAGTTTTGAAACACTCTTTTGGTCGAATCTGCCAGTGGATATTTGGAGCGCTTTGAGGGCTATTGTGCCAATGGAAATATCTGCCCCTAAAAACTAGACAGAAGCATTCTCAGAAACTGCTTTGTGATGTTTGCATTCAACTCACAGAGTTGAACATACCTCTTCATAGAGCAGTTTTGAAAACCTCTTTTTGTAGAATCTGCAAGTGGATATTTGGACCACTTTGAGGCCTTCATAGATACAGTAATATCTTCACATAAAAACTAGATGGAAGCATTGTCAGAAAGTTCTTTGTGATGTGTGAATTCAACTCACAGAGTTGAACCTTCCTTTAATAGAGCAGTTTTGAAACACTCTTTTTCTAGAATCTGCCAGTAGATATTTGGAGCGCTTTGAGGCCTTCGTTGGAAACCGGAATATCTTCACATAAAACGTAGATAGAGGCATTCTCAGAAACTTTTTTTGTGATATGTAGATTCAACTCACAGCGTTGAACCTTTCTTTGGATGGAGCAGTTTTGAAAAACCCTTTTATCGAATCTGCAGGTAGACATTCGGGGTGCTTTGAGGGCTGTGGTGCAAAAGGAAATGTCTTCCCATAGAAACTAGACTGAAGCATTCTCAGCAACTTCTTTGTGACGTTTGCATTCATCTCACAGTGTTGAACATACCTTTCCATAGAGTAGTTTTGAAGCACTATTTTTGTAGAATCTGCAAGTGGATATTTGGACTGCTTTCAGGCCTTCATCGGAAACGGGAATATCTTCACATAAACACTAGACAGAAGCATTCTCAGAAACTTCTTTGTGGTCTGTCCATTCAACTCACAGAGTTGAACCTTCCTTTTTATGGAGCAGTTTTGAAACCCTGTTTTTGGAGAATCTGCAAGTGGATATTTGGAGTGCTTTGAGGCCTATGGTAGAAAAAGAAATATCTGCCTATGACAGCTAGACAGAAGCATTCCGAGAAACTTCTTTGTGATGTTTGCATTCAACTAGCAGAGTTGAACCTTCCTTTTGATAGGGCAGTTTGGAAACACTCTTTTTGTAGAATCTGCATGTGGATATCTGGAGCGGTTTGAGGCCTACGTTCAAAAAGGAAATATCTTCCTGGGAAAAATAGACGAAAGCATTCTCAGAAAGTGCTTTGTGATATGTGCATTCGACTCACCGAGCTGAAACTTTTTTTTGATAGAGCAGTTTTGAAACACTCTGTAGAATCTGAAAGTGGATATTTGGAGCTCTTTGAGGGCTATGGCGGAAAAGAAAATATATTCACATTAAAAAAGTAGACAGCAGCATTCTCAGAAACTTCTTTAGGATGTTTGCAGTAAACTCACAGAGTTGAACATACCTTTCCGTAGAGCAGTTTTGAAACACTCTGTTTGTGGGATCCGCAAGTGGATATTTGGACCGCTTTGAGACCTTTGCTGGAAATGGGAATAACTTCACATATAAACTAGACAGAAGCATTCTCAGAAACTTCTTCGTGATGTGTGCATTCTACTCCCAAATTTGAATCTTCCTTTTCATGAAGCAGTTTTGAAACACTCTGTTTCTGCCATCTACAATTGGATAATTGGAACGCTTTGATGCCCAAGGTAGAAAAGGAAATATCCTCATATAGAAACTAGACAGAAGGATTCACAGAAAATGCTTTGTGATGTGTGCATTCAAATCACCGGAGTTGAATCTTTCTTTTGTTAGAGCAGTTTTGAAACACTGTTTCTGTGGAATCTGCCAGCGGACACTTGGAGCGCTTTGAGGGCTGTGGTGGAGAAGGAAATATCTTCCCATAAAAACTAGAAAGAAGCATTCTCAGAAACATTTATGTGAAGCGTGCATTCAACTCACAGAGTTGAACCTTCCTTTTGATACAACAGTTTTGAAACACTCTTTTGTACAATTGCATGTGAATCTTTGGAGCGCTTTGAAGCCTTTGTTGGAAATGGGAATATCTTCACACACAAACTAGCCAGAAGCATTCTCAGAAACTTCTTTGTGATGTGTGCGTTGAACCCAGAGAGATGAACCTTTCCTTTGATAGAGCAGTTTTCAAACGTGTTTTTGTAAGATCGGCAAGCGGATAATTGGCTTCGCTTTGTGTCCTTTGGTGGAAACGGGAATATCTTCTAATAAAAACTAGACAGAAATATTCTCAGAATCTCCTTTGTGATGTGGGCATTCAACTAACACAGTTGAACATTTCTTTTCACAGAGCAGTTTTGAAACACTCTTTTGGTAGAATCTGCCAGTGGATATTTGGAGCGATTTGAGGGCTATTGTGCCAATGGAAATTTCTGCCCCTGAAAACTAGACAGAAGCATTCTCAGAAACTGCTTTGTGATGTTTGCATTCAACTACCAGAGTTGAACTTCCCTCTTCATAGAGCAGTTTTGAAATCCTCTTTTTGTAGAATCTGCAAGTGGATATTTGGACCACTTTGAGGCCTTCAGAGTAAATAGTAATATCTTCACATAAAAACTAGATAGAAGCATTCTCAGAAACTTCTTTGTGATGTGTGAATTCAACTCACAGAGTTGAACCTTCCTTTAATAGTGCAGTTTTCAAACACTCTTTTTGTAGAATCTGCAAGTAGATATTTGGAGCACTTTGAGGCCTTCATTGGAAACTGGAATATCTTCACATAAATAGTAGATAGAGGCATTCTCAGAAACTTTTTTGTTATATGTAGATTCAACTCACAGTGTTGAAGCTTTCTTTTGATTGAACAGTTTTGAAGAACTCTTTTATCGAATCTGCAAGTAGACATTTGGAGTTCTTTGAGGGCTGTAGTCGAAAAGGAAATATCATCACATAGAAACTAGACTGAAGCATTCTCAGCAACTTCTTGGTGACGTTTGCATTCATCTCACAGTGTTGAACATACCTTTCCATAGAGTGGTTTTGAAACACTGTTTTTGTAGAATCGGCAAGTGGATATTTGGACTGCTTTGAGGCCTTCATCGGAAACGGGAATATACTTCACATAAACACTAGAGAGAAGCATTCTCAGAAACTTCTTTGTCATCTGTCCATTCAACTCACAGAGTTGAACCTTCCTTTTTCTGGAGCAGTTTTGAAACACTCCTTTTGGAGAATCTGCAAGTGGATATTTGGAGCGCTTTGAGGCCTATGGTAGAAAAAGAAATATCTGCCTCTAAAAACCAGACAGAAGCATTCCAAGTAAACTTCTCTGTGTTGTTTGCATTCAACTAGCAGAGTTGAACCTTCCTTTTGATAGGGCAGTTTGGAAACACTCTTTTTGTAGAATCTGCATGTGGATATCTGGAGCGGTTTGAGGCCTACGGTCAAAAAGGAAATATCTTCCTGGGATAAATAGACGAAAGCATTCTCAGAAACTGCTTTGTGATATGGGCATTCGACTCACCGAGTTGAAACTTTTTTTTGATAGAGCAGTTTTGAAACACTCTATAGAATCTGAAAGTGGATATTTGGAGCTCTTTGAGGGCTATGGCGGAAAAGAAAATATATTCACATTAAAGTAGACAGCAGCACTCCCAGAAACTTCTTTAGGATGTTTACAGTAAACTCACAGAGTTGAACATACCTTTCTGTAGAGCAGTTTTGAAACACTCTGTTTGCGGGATCCGCAAGTGGATATTTGGACCGCTTTGAGACCTTTGCTGGAAATGGGAATATCTTCACATATGAACTAGACAGAAGCATTCTCAGAAACTTCTTCGTGATGTGTGCATTCTACTCCCAAATTTGAATCTTCCTTTTCATGAAGCAGTTTTGAAACACTCTGTTTGTGCAATCCACAATTGGATAATTGGAAAGCTTTGATGCCCATGGTAGAAAAGGAAATATCCTCATATAAAAACTAGACAGAAGGATTCACAGAAAATTCTTTGTGATGTGTGCATTCAAATCACGGAGTTGAATCTTTCTTTTGTTAGAGCAGTTTTGAAACACTGTTTCTGTGGAATCTGCCAGCGGACACTTGGAGCGCTTTGAGGGCTATGGTGGAGAAGGAAATATCTTCACATAAAAACTAGAAAGAAATATTCTCAGAATCTTCTTTGTGATGTGGGCATTCAACTAACACAGTTGAACATTTCTTTTCACAGAACAGTTTTGAAACACTCTTTTGAACAATTGCAGGTGAATCTTTGGAACGCTTTGAAGCCTTTGTTGGAAATAGGAATATATTCACACACAAACTAGCCAGAAGCATTCTCAGAAATTTCTTTGTGATGTGTGCGTTGAACCCAGAGAGATGAACCTTTCCTTCGATAGAGCAGTTTTGAAACGTGTTTTTGTAAGATCGGCAAGCGGATAATTGGCTTCGCTTTGTGTCCTTTGGTGGAAACGGGAATATCTTCTAATAAAAACTAGACAGAAATATTCTCAGAATCTCCTTTGTGATGTGGGCATTCAACTAACACAGTTGAACATTTCTTTTCACAGAGCAGCTTTGAAACACTCTTTGGTAGAATCTGCCGGTGGATATTTGGAGCGCTTGGAGGGCTATTGTGCCAGTGGAGATATCTGCCCCTGAAAACTAGACAGAAGCATTCTCAGAAACTACTTCGTGATGTTTGCATTCAACACACAGAGTTGAACATACCTCTTCACAGAGCAGTTTTGAAAACCTCTTTCTGTAGAATCTGCAAGTGGATATTCGGACCACTTTGAGGACTTCATAGGAAACAGTAATATCTTCACATAAAAACTAGATAGAAGCATTGTCAGAAAGTTCTTTGTGATGTGTGAATTCAACTCACAGAGTTGAACCTTCCTTTAATAGAGCAGTTTTGAAACACTTTTTTTCTGGAATCTGCAAGTAGATATTTGGAGCGCTTTGAGGCCTTCGTTGGAAACCGGAGTATCTTCACAGGAAAAGTAGATAGAGGCATGCTCAGAAACTTTTTTGTCATATGTAGATTCAACTCACAGCGTTGAACCTTTCTTTTGATAGAGCAGTTTTGAAAAACTCTTTTATCGAATCTGCAAGTAGACATTTGGAGTGCTTTGACGGCTCTGGTGCAAAAGGAAATGTCTTCCCATAGAAAGTAGACTGAAGCATTCTCAGCAACTTCTTGGTGACGTTTGCATTCATCTCACAGTGTTGAACATACCTTTCCATAGAGTGGTTTTGAAACACTGTTTTTGTAGAATCGGCAACTGGATATTTGGACTGCTTTGAGGCCTTCATCGGAAACGGGAATATCTTCACATAAACACTAGAGAGAAGCATTCTCAGAAACTTCTTTGTCATCTGTCCATTCAACTCACAGAGTTGAACCTTCCTTTTTATAGAGCAGTTTTGAAACACTCCTTTTGGAGAATCCGCAAGTGGATATTTGGAGCGCTTTGAGGCCTATGGTAGAAAAAGAAATATCTGCCTCTAAAAACCAGACAGAAGCATTCTGAGAAACTTCTTTGTGATGTTTGCATTCAACTACCAGAGTTGAACCTTCCTTTTCATAGGGCAGTTTGGAAACACTCTTTTTGTAGAATCTGCATGTGGATATCTGGAGCGATTTGAGGCCTACGGTCAAAAAGGAAATATCTTCCTGGGAAAAATAGACGAAAGCATTCTCAGAAAGTGCTTTGTGATATGTGCATTCGACTCACCGAGTTGAAACTTTTTTTTGATAGAGCAGTTTTGAAACACTCTGCAGAATCTGAAAGTGGATATTTGGAGCTCTTTGAGGGCTTAGGCGGAAAAGAAAATATATTCACATTAAAGTAGACAGCAGCATTCTCAGAGACTTCTTTAGGATGTTTGCAGTAAACTCACAGAGTTGAACATACCTTTCCGTAAAGCAGTTTTGAAACCCTCTGTTTGTGGGATCTGCAAGTGGATATTTGGACCGCTCCGAGACCTTTGCTGGAAATGGGAATATCTTCACATATAAACTAGACAGAAGCATTCTCAGAAACTTCTTGGTGATGTGTGCATTGTACTCCCAAATTTGAATCTTCCTTCTCATGGAGCAGTTTTGAAACACTCTGTGCAATCTACAATTGGAGAATTGGAACGCTTGGATGCCCGTGGTAGAAAAGGAAATATCCTCATATAAAAACTAGACAGAAGGATTCACAGAAAATGCTTTGTGATGTGTGCATTCAGATCACGGAGTTGAATCTTTCTTTTGTTAGAGCAGTTTTGAAACACTGTTTCTGTGGAATCTGCCAGCGGACACTTGGAGCGCTTTTAGGGCTATGGTGGAGAAGGAAATATCTTCACATAAAAACTAGAAAGAAGCATTCTCAGAACCATTTATGTGAAGCGTGCATTCAACTCACAGAGTTGAACCTTCCTTTTGATAGAACAGTTTTGAAACACTCTTTTGAACAATTGCAGGTGAATATTTGGAGGGCTTTGAAGCCTTTGTTGGAAACGGGAATATCTTCACACACGAACTAGCCAGAAGCATTCTCAGAAACTTCTTTGTGATGTGTGCGTTGAACCCAGAGAGATGAACCATTCCTTTGATAGAGCAGTTTTGAAACGTGTTTTTGTAAGATCTGCAAGCGGATAGTTGGCTTCGCTTTGTGTCCTTTGGTGGAAACGGGAATATCTTCTAATAAAAACTAGACAGAAATATTCTCACAATCTCCTTTGTGATGTGGGCATTCAACTAACACAGTTGAACATTTCTTTTCACAGAGCAGTTTTGAGACACTCTTTTGGTAGAATCTGTCAGTGGATATTTGGAGCGCTTTGAGGGTTGTTGTGCCAATGGAAATATCTGCCCCTAAAATCTAGACAGAAGCATTCTCAGAAACTGCTTCGTGATGTTTGCATTCAACTCACAGACTTGAACATACCTCTTCATAGAGCAGTTTTGAAAACCTCTTTTTGTAGAATCTGCAAGTGGATATTCGGACCACATTGAGGCCTTCATAGGAAACAGTAATATCTTCACATAAAAACTAGATAGAAGCATTGTCAGAAAGTTCTTTGTGATGTGTGAATTCAACTCACAGATTTGAACCTTCCTTTAATAGAGCAGTTTTGAAACACACTTTTTCTAGAATCTGCAAGTAGATATTTGGAGCGCTTTGAGGCCTTCGTTGGAAACCGGAATATCTTCACAGGAAAAGTAGATAGAGGCATTCTCAGAAACTTTTTCGTGATATGTGGATTCAACTCACAGCGTTGAACCTTTCTTTTGATAGAGCAGTTTTGTAAAACTCTTTTATCGAATCTGCAAGTAGACATTTGGAGTGCTTTGAGGGCTGTGGTGCAAAAGGAAATGTCTTCCCATAGAAACTAGACTGAAGCATTCTCAGCAACTTCTTGGTGACGTTTGCATTCATCTCACAGTGTTGAACATACCTTTCCATAGAGTGGTTTTGAAACACTGTTTTTGTAGAATCGGCAAGTGGATATTTGGACTGCTTTGAGGCCTTCATCGGAAACGGGAATATCTTCTCATAAACACTAGAGAGAAGCATTCTCAGAAACTTCTTTGTGATCTGCCCATTCAACTCACAGAGTTGAACCTTCCTTTTTATGGAGCAGTTTTGAAACACTGTTTTTGGAGAATCTGCAAGTGGATATTTGGAGCGCTTTGAGGCCTATGGTAGAAAAAGAAATATCTGCCTCTAAAAACTAGACAGAAGCATTCCGAGAAACTTCTTTGTGATGTTTGCATTCAACTAGCAGAGTTGAACCTTCCTTTTGATAGGGCAGTTTGGAAACACTCTTTTTGTAGAAGCTGCATGTGGATATCTGGAGCGGTTTGAGGCCTACGGTCAAAAAGGAAATATCTTCCTGGGAAAAATAGACGAAAGCATTCTCAGAAAGTGCTTTGTGATATGTGCATTCGACTCACCGAGTTGAAATTTTTTTTTGATAGAGCAGTTTTGAAACACTCTGTAGAATCTGAAAGTGGATATTTGGAGCTCTTTGAGGGCTATGGCGGCAAAGAAACTATATTCACATTAAAGTAGACAGCAGCATTCTCAGAAACTTCTTTAGGATGTTTGCAGTAAAGTCACAGAGTTGAACATACCTTTCCGTAGAGCAGTTTTGAAACACTCTGTTTGTGGGATCCGCAAGTGGATATTTGGACCGCTTTGAGACCTTTGCTGGAAATGGGAATATCTTCACATATAAACTAGACAGAAGCATTCTCAGAAACTTCTTCGTGATGTGTGCATTGTACTCCCAAATTTGAATCTTCCTTCTCATGGAGCAGTTTTGAAACACACTGTTTGTGCAATCTACAATTGGAGAATTGGAACGCTTGGATGCCCGTGGTAGAAAAGGAAATATCCTCATATAAAAACTAGACAGAAGGATTCACAGAAAATGCTTTGTGATGTGTGCATTCAAATCACGGAGTTGAATCTTTCTTTTGTCAGAGCAGTTTTGAAACACTGTTTCTGTGGGATCTGCCAGCGGACACTTGGAGCGCTTTGAGGGCTGTGGTGGAGAAGGAAATATCTTCCCATAAAAACTAGAAAGAAGCATTCTCAGAAACATTTATGTGAAGCGTGCATTCAACTCACAGAGTTGAACCTTCCTTTGGATACAACAGTTTTGAAACACTCTTTTGAACAATTGCAGGTGAATCTTTGGAGCGCTTTGAAGCCTTTGTTGGAAATGGGAATATCTTCACACACAAACTAACCAGAAGCATTCTCAGAAACTTCTTTGTGATGCGTGCGTTGAACCCAGAGAGATGAACCTTTCCTTTGATAGAGCAGTTTTGAAACGTGTTTTTGTAAGATCTGCAAGCGGATAATTGGCTTCGCTTTGTGTCCTTTGGTGGGAACGGGAATATCTTCTAATAAAAATTAGACAGAAATATTCTCAGAATCTTCTTTGTGATGTGGGCATTCAACTAACACAGTTGAACATTTCTTTTCACAGAACAGTTTTGAAACACTCTTTTGAACAATTGCAGGTGAATCTTTGGAGCGCTTTGAAGCCTTTGTTGGAAATAGGAATATATTCACAAACAAACTAGCCAGAAGCATGCTCAGAAACTACTTCGTGATGTCTGCATTCAACACACAGAGTTGAACATACCTCTTCACAGAGCAGTTTTGAAAACCTCTTTCTGTAGAATCTGCAAGTGGATATTCGGACCACTTTGAGGCCTTCATAGGAAACAGTAATATCTTCACATAAAAACTAGATAGAAAGCATTGTCAGAAAGTTCTTTGTGATGTGTGAATTCAACTCACAGAGTTGAACCTTCCTTTAATAGAGCAGTTTTGAAACACTCTTTTTCTAGAATCTGCAAGTAGATATTTGGAGCGCTTTGAGGCCTTCTTTGGAAACCGGAATATCTTCACATAAAAAGTAGATAGGGCATTCTCAGAAACTTTTTCGTGATATGTGGATTCAACTCACAGCGTTGAACCTTTCTTTTGATAGAGCAGTTTTGTAAAACTCCTTTATCGAATCTGCAAGTAGACATTTGGAGTGCTTTGGGGGCTGTGGTGCAAAAGGAAATGTCTTCCCATAGAAACTAGACTGAAGCATTCTCAGCAACTTCTTTGTGACGTTTGCTTTCATCTCACAGTGTTGAACATACCTTTCCATAGAGTAGTTTTGAAGCACTATTTTTGTAGAATCTGCAAGTGGATATTTGGACTGCTTTGAGGCCTTCATCGGAAACGGGAATATCTTCACATAAACACTAGACAGAAGCATTCTCAGAAACTTCTTTGTGGTCTGTCCATTCAACTCACAGAGTTGAACCTTCCTTTTTATGGAGCAGTTTTGAAACACTGTTTTCGGAGGATCTGCAAGTGGATATTTGGAGCACTTTGAGGCCTACGGTAGAAAAAGAAATATCTGCCTATGACAACTAGACAGAAGCATTCCGAGAAAAGTTCTTTGTGATGTTTGCATTCAACTAGCAGAGTTGAACCTTCCTTTTGATAGGGCAGTTTGGAAACACTCTTTTTGTAGAATCTGCATGTGGATATCTGGAGCGGTTTGAGGCCTACAGTCAAAAAGGAAATATCTTCCTGGGAAAAATAGACGAAAGCATTCTCAGAAACTGCTTTGTGATATGCGCATTCGACTCACCGAGTTGAAACTTTTTTTTGATACAGCAGTTTTGAAACACTCTGTAGAATCTGAAAGTGGATATTTGGAGCTCTTTGAGGGCTATGGCGGAAAAGAAAATATATTCACATTAAAGTAGACAGCAGCATTCTCAGAAACTTCTTTAGGATGTTTGCAGTAAACTCACAGAGTTGAACATACCTTTCCGTAGAGCAGTTTTGAAACACTCTGTTTGTGGGATCCGCAAGTGGATATTTGGACCGCTTTGAGACCTTTGCTGGAAATGGGAATATCTTCACGTATAAACTAGACAGAAGCATTTTCAGAAACTTCTTCGTGATGTGTGCATTCTACTCCCAAATTTGAATCTTCCTTCTCATGAAGCAGTTTTGAAACACTCTGTTTGTGCAATCCACAATTGGATATTTGGAACGCTTTGATGCCCGTTGTAGAAAAGGTAATATCCTCATATAAAAACTAGACAGAAGGATTCACAGAAAATGCTTTGTGATGTGTGCATTCAAATCACGGAGTTGAATCTTTCTTTTGTTAGAGCAGTTTTGAAACACTCTTTCTGTGGAATCTGCCAGCGGACACTTGGAGCGCTTTGAGGGCTGTGGTGGAGAAGGAAATATCTTCCCATAAAAACTAGAAAGAAGCATACTCAGAAACATTTATGTGAAGCGTGCATTCAACTCACAGAGTTGAACCTTCCTTTTGATACAACAGTTTTGAAACACTCTTTTGAACAATTGCAGGTGAATCTTTGGAGCGCTTTGAAGCCTTTGTTGGAAATGGGAATATCTTCACACACAAACTAGCCAGAAGCATTCTCAGAAACTTCTTTGTGATGTGTGCGTTGAACCCAGAGAGATGAACCTTTCCTTTGATAGAGCAGTTTTGAAACGTGTTTTTGTAAGATCGGCAAGCGGATAATTGGCTTCGCTTTGTGTCCTTTGGTGGAAACGCGAATATCTTCTAATAAAAACTAGACAGAAATATTCTCAGAATCTCCTTTGTGATGTGGGCATTCAACTAACACAGTTGAACATTTCTTTTCACAGAGCAGTTTTGAAACACTCTTTTGGTAGAATCTGCCAGTGGATATTTGGAGCGCTTGGAGGGCTATTGTGCCAATGGAAGTATCTGCCCCTGAAAACTATACAGAAGCATTCTCAGAAACTACTTCGTGATGTTTGCATTCAACTCACAGAGTTGAACATACCTCTTCATAGAGCAGTTTTGAAAACCTCTTTCTGTAGAATCTGTAAGTGGATATTCGGACCACTTTGAGGCCTTCATAGGAAACAGTAATATCTTCACATAAAAACTAGATAGAAGCATTGTCAGAAAGTTCTTTGTGATGTGTGAATTCAACTCACAGAGTTGAACTTTCCTTTAATAGAGCAGTTTTGAAACACTCTTTTTCTAGAATCTGCAAGTAGATATTTGGAGCGCTTTGAGGCCTTCGTTGGAATCCGGAATATCTTCACATAAAACGTAGATAGAGGCATGCTCAGAAACTTTTTTGTCATATGTAGATTCAACTCACAGCGTTGAACCTTTCTTTTGATAGAGCAGTTTTGAAAAACTCTTTTATCGAATCTGCAAGTAGACATTTGGAGTGCTTTGAGGGCTCAGGTGCAAAAGGAAATGTCTTCCCATAGAAACTAGACTGAAGCTTTCTCAGCAACTTCTTGGTGACGTTTGCATTCATCTCACAGTGTTGAACATACCTTTCCATAGAGTAGTTTTGAAACACTGTTTTTGTAGAATCGGCAAGTGGATATTTGGACTGCTTTGAGGCCTTCATCGGAAACGGGAATATCTTCACATAAACACTAGAGAGAAGCATTCTCAGAAACTTCTTTGTCATCTGTCCATTCAACTCACAGAGTTGAACCTTCCTTTTTATGGAGCAGTTTTGAAACACTCCTTTTGGAGAATCTGCAAGTGGATATTTGGAGCGATTTGAGGCCTATGGTAGAAAAAGAAATATCTGCCTCTAAAAACCAGACAGAAGCATTCCGAGAAACTTCTTTGTGATGTTTGCATTCAACTAGCAGAGTTAAAACTTCCTTTTGATAGGGCAGTTTGGAAACACTCTTTTTGTAGAATCTGCATGTGGATATCTGGAGCGGTTTGAGGCCTACGGTCAAAAAGGAAATATCTTCCTGGGAAAAATAGACGAAAGCATTCTCAGAAAGTGCTTTGTGATATGCGCATTCGACTCACCGAGTTGAAACTTTTTTTTGATAGAGCAGTTTTGAAACACTCTGTAGAATCTGAAAGTGGATATTTGGAGCACTTTGAGGGCTATGGCGGAAAAGAAAATATATTCACATTAAAGTAGACAGCAGCATTCTCAGAAACTTCTTTAGGATGTTTGCAGTAAACTCACAGAGTTGAACCTACCTTTCCGTAGAGCAGTTTTGAAACACTCTGTTTGTGGGATCCGCAAGGGGATATTTGGAACGCTTTGAGACCTTTGCTGGAAATGGGAATATCTTCACATATAAACTAGACAGAAGCATTCTCAGTAAACTTCTTCGTGATGTGTGCATTCTACTCCCAAATTTGAATCTTCCTTTTCATGAAGCAGTTTTGAAACACTCTGTTTGTGCAATCCACAATTGGATAATTGGAACGCTTTGATGCCCATGGTAGAAAAGGAAATATCCTCATATAAAAACTAGACAGAAGGATTCACAGAAAATGCTTTGTGATGTGTACATTCAAATCACGGAGTTGAATCTTTCTTTTGTCAGAGCAGTTTTGAAACACTGTTTCTGTGGAATCTGCCAGCGGACACTTGGAGCGCTTTGAGGGCTGTGGTGGAGAAGGAAATATCTTCCCATAAAAACTAGAAAGAAGCATTCTCAGAACCATTTATGTGAAGCGTGCATTCAACTCACAGAGTTGAACCTTCCTTTTGATAGAACAGTTTTGAAACACTCTTTTGAACAATTGCAGGTGAGTATTTGGAGGGCTTTGAAGCCTTTGTTGGAAATGGGAATATCTTCACACACAAACTAGCCAGAAGCATTCTCAGAAACTTCTTTGTGATGTGTGCATTGAACCCAGAGAGATGAACCTTTCCTTTGATAGAGCAGTTTTGAAACGTGTTTTTGTAAGATCTGCAAGCGGATAGTTGGCTTCGCTGTGTGTCCTTTGGTGGAAACGGGAATATCTTCTAATAAAAACTAGACAGAGATATTCTCAGAAACTTCTTTGTGATGTGGGCATTCAACTAACACAGTTGAACATATCTTTTCACAGAGAAGTTTTGAAACACTCTTTTGGTCGAATCTGCCAGTGGATATTTGGAGCGCTTTGAGGGCTATTGTGCCAATGGAAATATCTGCCCCTAAAAACTAGACAGAAACATTCTCAGAAACTGCTTTGTGATGTTTGCATTCAACTCACACAGGTGAACATACCTCTTCATAGAGCAGTTTTGCAAACCTCTTTTTGTAGAATCTGCAAGTGGATATTCGGACCACTTTGAGGCCTTCATAGGAAACAGTAATATCTTCACATAAAAACTAGACAGAAGCATTGTCAGAAAGTTCTTTGTGATGTGTGAATTCAACTCACAGAGTTGAACCTTCCTTTAATAGAGCAGTTTTGAAACTCTCTTTTTGTAGAATCTGCAAGTAGATATTTGGAGCGCTTTGAGGCCTTCTTTGGAAACCGGAATATCTTCACATAAAAAGTAGATAGAGGCATTCTCAGAAACTTTTTCGTGATATGTGGATTCAACTCACAGCGTTGAACCTTTCTTTTGATAGAGCAGTTTTGTAAAACTCTTTTATCGAATCTGCAAGTAGACATTTGGAGTGCTTTGGGGGCTGTGGTGCAAAAGGAAATGTCTTCCCATAGAAACTAGACTGAAGCATTCTCAGCAACTTCTTGGTGACGTTTGCATTCGTCTCACAGTGTTGAACATACCTTTCCATAGAGTGGTTTTGAAACACTGTTTTTGTAGAATCGGCAAGTGGATATTTGGACTGCTTTGAGGCCTTCATCGGAAACGGGAATATCTTCACATAAACACTAGAGAGAAGCATTCTCAGAAACTTCTTTGTCATCTGTCCATTCAACTCACAGAGTTGAACCTTCCTTTTTATGGAGCAGTTTTGAAACACTCCTTTTGGAGAATCTGCAAGTGGATATTTGGAGCGCTTTGAGGCCTATGGTAGAAAAAGAAATATCCGCCCCTAAAAACCAGACAGAAGCATTCTGAGAAACTTCTTTGTGATGTTTACATTCAACTACCAGAGTTGAACCTTCCTTTTGATAGGGCAGTTTGGAAACACTCTTTTTGTAGAATCTGCATGTGGATATCTGGAGCGATTTGAGGCCTACGGTCCAAAAGGAAATATCTTCCTGGGAAAAATGGACGAAAGCATTCTCAGAAACTGCTTTGTGATATGTGCATTCAACTCACCGAGTTGAAACTTTTTTTGGATAGAGCAGTTTTGAAACACTCTGTAGAATCTGAAAGTGGATATTTGGAGCTCTTTGAGGGCTATGGTGGAAAAGAAAATATATTCACATTAAACTATACAGCAGCATTCTCAGAAACATCTTTAGGATGTTTGCAGTAAACTCATAGAGTTCAACATACCTTTCCGTAGAGCAGCTTTGAAACACTCTGTTTGTGGGATCCGCAAGTGGATATTTGGACCGCTTTGAGACCTTTGCTGGAAATGGGAATATCTTCACATATAAACTAGACAGAAGCATTCTCAGAAACTTCTTCGTGACGTGTGCATTGTACTCCCAAATTTGAATCTTCCTTCTCATGGAGCAGTTTTGAAACACTCTGTTTGTGCAATCTACAATTGGAGAATTGGAAGGCTTGGATGCCCATGGTAGAAAAGGAAATATCCTCATATAAAAACTAGACAGAAGGATTCACAGAAAATGCTTTGTGATGTGTGCATTCAAATCACGGGGTTGAATCTTTCTTTTGTTAGAGCAGTTTTGAAACACTGTTTCTGAGGAATCTGCCAGCGGACACTTGGAGCGCTTTGAGGGTCATGGTGGAGAAGGAAATATCTTTCCATAAAAACTAGAAAGAAGCATTCTCAGAAACATTTATGTGAAGCGTGCATTCAACTCACAGAGTTGAACCTTCCTTTTGATACAACAGTTTTGAAACACTCTTTTGAACAATTGCAGGTGAATCTTCGGAGCGCTTTGAAGCCTTTGTTGGAAATGGGAATATCTTCACACACAAACTAGCCAGAAGCATTCTCAGAAACATCTTTGTGATGTGTGCGTTGAACCCAGAGAGATGAACCTTTCCTTTGATAGAGCAGTTTTGAAACGTGTTTTTGTAAGGTCTGCAAGCGGATAATGGGCTTCGCTTTGTGTCCTTTGGTGGAAACGGGAATATCTTCTAATAAAAACTAGACAGAAATATTCTCAGAATCTTCTTTGTGATGTGGGCATTCAACTAACACAGTTGAACGTTTCTTTTCACAGAGCAGTTTTGAAACACTCTTTTGGTAGAATCTGCCAGTGGATATTTGGAGCGCTTTGAGGGCTATTGTGCCAACGGAAATATCTGCCCCTAAAAACTAGACAGAAGCATTCTCAGAAACTACTTCGTGATGTTTGCATTCAACACACAGAGTTGAACATACCTCTTCACAGAGCAGTTTTGAAAACCTCTTTCTGTACAATCTGCAAGTGGATATTCGGACCACTTTGAGGCCTTCATAGGAAACAGTAATATCTTTGCATAAAAACTAGATAGAAGCATTGTCAGAAAGTTCTTTGTGATGTGTGAATTCAACTCACAGAGTTGAACCTTCCTTCAATAGAGCAGTTTTGAAACACTCTTTTTCCAGAATCTGCAAGTAGATATTTCGAGCGCTTTGAGGCCTTCGTTGGAAACCGGAATATCTTCACAGGAAAAGTAGATAGAGGCATTCTCAGAAACTTTTTTGTGATATGTAGATTCAACTCACAGCGTTGAACCTTTTTTTGGATGGAGCAGTTTTGAAAAACTCTTTTATCGAATCTGCAGGTAGACATTTGGGGTGCTTTGAGGGCTGTGGTGCAAAAGGAAATGTCTTCCCATAGAAACTAGACTGAAGCATTCTCAGCAACTTCTTGGTGACGTTTGCATTCATCTCACAGTGTTGAACATACCTTTCCATAGAGTGGTTTTGAAACACTGTTTTTGTAGAATCGGCAAGTGGATATTTGGACTGCTTTCAGGCCTTCATCACAAACGGGAATATCTTCACATAAACACTAGAGAGAAGCATTCTCAGAAACTTCTTTGTCATCTGTCCATTCAACTCACAGAGTTGAACCTTCCTTTTTCTGGAGCAGTTTTGAAACACTCTTTTTCGAGAATCTGCAAGTGGATATTTGGAGCGCTTTGAGGCCTATGGTAGAAAAAGTAATATCTGCCTCTAAAAACCAGACAGAAGCATTCTGAGAAACTTCTTTGTGATGTTTGCCTTCAACTACCAGAGTTGAACCTTCCTTTTGATAGGGCAGTTTGGAAACACTCTTTTTGTAGAATCTGCATGTGGATATCTGGAGCGATTTGAGGCCTACGGTCCAAAAGGAAATATCTGCCTGGGAAAGATAGACGAAAGCATTCTCAGAAAGTGCTTTGTGATATGTGCATTCGACTCACCGAGTTGAAACTTTTTTTTGATAGAGCAGTTTTGAAACACTCTGTAGAATCTGAAAGTGGATATTTGGAGCTCTTTGAGGGCTATGGCGGAAAAGAAAATATATTCACATTAAGGTAGACAGCAGCATTCTTAGAAACTTCTTTAGGATGTTTGCAGTAAACTCACAGAGTTGAACCTACCTTTCCGTAGAGCAGTTTTGAAACACTCTGTTTGTGGGATCCGCAAGTGGATATTTGGACCGCTTTGAGACCTTTGCTGGAAATGGGAATATCTTCACATATAAACTAGGCAGAAGCATTCTCAGAAACTTCTTCGTGATGTGTGCATTCTACTCCCAAATTTGAATCTTCCTTTTCATGAAGCAGTTTTGAAACACTCGGTTTGTGCAATCCACAATTGGATAATTGGAACGCTTTGATGCCCATGGTAGAAAAGGAAATATCCTCATATAAAAACTAGACAGAAGGATTCACAGAAAATGCTTTGTGATGTGTGCATTCAAATCACGGAGTTGAATCTTTCTTTTGTCAGAGCAGTTTTGAAACACTGTTTCTGTGGAATCTGCCAGCGGACTCTTGGAGCTCTTTGAGGGCTATGGTGGAGAAGGAAATATCTTCCCATAAAAAGTAGAAAGAAGCATTCTCAGAAACATTTATGTGAAGCGTGCATTCAACTCACAGAGTTGAACCTTCCTTTTGATACAACAGTTTTGAAACACTCTTTTGAACAATTGCAGGTGAATCTTTGGAGCGCTTTGAAGCCTTTGTTGGAAATGGGAATATATTCACACACAAACTAGCCAGAAGCATTCCCAGAAACTTCTTTGTGATGTGTGCGTTGAACCCAGAGAGATGAACCTTTCCTTTGATAGAGCAGTTTTGAAACGTGTTTTTGTAAGATCGGCAAGCGGATAATTGGCTTCGCTTTGTGTCCTTTGGTGGAAACGGGAATATCTTCTAATAAAAACTAGACAGAAATATTCTCACAATCTCCTTTGTGATGTGGGCATTCAACTAACACAGTTGAACATTTCTTTTCACAGAGCAGTTTTGAGACACTCTTTTGGTAGAATCTGCCAGTGGATATTTGGAGCGCTTTGAGGGCTGTTGTGCCAATGGAAATATCTGCCCCTAAAATCTAGACAGAAGCATTCTCAGAAACTGTTTTGTGATGTTTGCATTCAACTCACAGAGGTGAACATACCTCTTCATAGAGCAGTTTTGCAAACCTCTTTTTGTAGAATCTGCAAGTGGATATTCGGACCACTTTGAGGCCTTCATAGGAAACAGTAATATCTTCACATAAAAACTAGATAGAAGCATTGTCAGAAAGTTCTTTGTGATGTGTGAATTCAACTCACAGAGTTGAACCTTCCTTTAATAGAGCAGTTTTGAAACACTCTTTTTCTAGAATCTGCCAGTAGATATTTGGAGCGCTTTGAGGCCTTCGTTGGAATCCGGAATATCTTCACATAAAAAGTTGATAGAGGCATTCTCAGAAACTTTTTTGTGATATGTAGATTCAACTCACAGCGTTGAACCTTTCTTTGGATGGAGCAGTTTTGACAAACCCTTTTATCGAATCTGCAGGTAGACATTTGGGGTGCTTTGAGGGCTGTGGTGCAAAAGGTAATGTCTTCCCATAGAAACTAGACTGAAGCATTCTCAGCAACTTCTTGGTGACGTTTGCATTCATCTCACAAGTGTTGAACATACCTTTCCATAGAGTAGTTTTGAAACACTGTTTTTGTAGAATCGGCAAGTGGATATTTGGACTGCTTTGAGGCCTTCATCGGAAACGGGAATATCTTCACATAAACACTAGAGAGAAGCATTCTCAGAAACTACTTTGTGATCTGTCCATTCAACTCACAGAGTTGAACCTTCCTTTTTATGGAGCAGTTTTGAAACACTGTTTTTGGAGAATCTGCAAGTGGATATTTGGAGCGCTTTTAGGCCTATGGTAGAAAAAGAAATATCTGCCTATTACAACTAGACTGAAGCATTCTGTGAAACTTCTTTGTGATGTTTGCCTTCAACTACCAGAGTTGAACCTTCCTTTTGATAGGGCAGTTTGGAAACACTCTTTTTGTAGAATCTGCATGTGGATATCTGGAGCGATTTGAGGCCTACGGTCCAAAAGGAAATATCTTCCTGGGAAAGATAGACGAAAGCATTCTCAGAAACTGCTTTGTGACATGTGCATTCGACTCACCGAGTTGAAACTTTTTTTGGATAGAGCAGTTTTGAAACACTCTGTAGAATCTGAAAGTGGATATTTGGAGCTCTTTGAGGGCTATGGCGGAAAAGAAAATATATTCACATTAAACTAGACAGCAGCATTCCCGGAAACTTCTTTAGGATGTTTGCAGTAAACTCACAGAGTTGAACATACCTTTCCGTAGAGCAGTTTTGAAACACTCTGTTTGTGGGATCCGCAAGTGGATATTTGGACCGCTTTGAGACCTTTGCTGGAAACGGGAATATCTTCACATATAAACTAGACAGAAGCATTCTCAGAAACTTCTTCGTGATGTGTGCATTCTACTCCCGAATTTGAATCTTCCTTTTCATGAAGCAGTTTTGAAACACTCTGTTTGTGCAATCCACAATTGGATAAATGGAACGCTTTGATGCCCATGGTAGAAAAGGAAATATCCTCATATAAAAACTAGACAGAAGGATTCACAGAAAATGCTTTGTGATGTGTGCATTCAAATCACAGAGTTGAATCTTTCTTTTGTTAGAGCAGTTTTGAAAGACTGTTTCTGTGGAATCTGCCAGCGGACACTTGGAGCGCTTTGAGGGCTACGGTGGAGAAGGAAATATCTTCACATAAAAACTAGAAAGAAGCATTCTCAGAAACATTTATGTGAAGCGTGCATTCAACTCACAGAGTTGAACCTTCCTTTGGATACAACAGTTTTGAAACACTCTTTTGAACAATTGCAGGTGAATCTTTGGAGCGCTTTGAAGCCTTTGTTGGAATTGGGAATATCTTCACACACAAACTAGCCAGAAACATTCTCAGAAACTTCTTTGTGATGTGTGCGTTGAACCCAGAGAGATGAACCTTTCCTTTGATAGAGCAGTTTTGAAACGTGTTTTTGTAAGATCTGCAAGCGGATAGTTGGCTTCGCTTTGTGTCCTTTGTTGGAAACGGGAATATCTTCTAATAAAAACTAGACAGAAATATTCTCAGAATCTTCTTCGTGATGTGGGCATTCAACTAACACAGTTGAACCTTTCTTTTCACAGAGCAGTTTGGAAACACCCTTTTGGTAGAATCTGCCAGTGGATATTTGGAGCGCTTTGAGGGCTATTGTGCCAACGGAAATATCTGCCCCTAAAAACTAGACAGAAGCATTCTCAGAAACTGCTCTGTGATGTTTGCATTCAACTCACAGAGTTGAACATACCTCTTCATAGAGCACTTTTGGAAACCTCTTTTTGTAGAATCTGCAAGGGGATATTCGGACCACTTTGAGGCCTTCATAGGAAACAGTAATATCTTCACATAAAAACTAGATAGAAGCATTGTCAGAAAGTTCTTTGTGATGTGTGAATTCAACTCACAGAGTTGAACCTTCCTTCAATAGAGCAGTTGTGAAACACTCTTTTTCTAGAATCTGCAAGTGGATACTTGGAGCGCTTTGAGGCCTTCGTTGGAAACCGGAATATCTTCACAGGAAAAGTAGATAGAGGCATTCTCAGTAAACTTTTTTGTGATATGTAGATTCAACTCACAGCGTTGAACCTTTCTTTGGATGGAGCAGTTTTGAAAAACTCTTTTATCGAATCTGCAGGTAGACATTTGGGGTGCTTTGAGGGCTGTGGTGCAAAAGGAAATGTCTTCCCATAGAAACTAGACTGAAGCATTCTCAGCAACTTCTTTGTGACGTTTGCATTCATCTCACAGTGTTGAACATACCTTTCCATAGAGTAGTTTTGAAACACTGTTTTTGTAGAATCTGCAAGTGGATATTTGGACTGCTTTGAGGCCTTCATCGGAAACGGGAATATCTTCACATAAACACTAGACAGAAGCATCCTCAGAAACTTCTTTGTCATCTGTCCATTCAACTCACAGATTTGAACCTTCCTTTTTCTGCAGCAGTTTTGAAACACTCTTTTTGGAGAATCTGCAAGTGGATATTTGGAGCGCTTTGAGGCCTATGGTAGAAAAAGAAATATCTGCCTCTAAAAACCAGACAGAAAGCATTCCGAGAAACTTCTCTGTGATGTTTGCATTCAACTAGCAGAGTTGAACCTTCCTTTTGATAGGGCAGTTTGGAAACACTCTTTTTGTAGAATCTGCATGTGGATATCTGGAGCGGTTTGAGGCCTACGGTCAAAAAGGAAATATCTTCCTGGGAAAAATAGACAAAAGCATTCTCAGAAACTGCTTTGTGATATGGGCATTCGACTCACCGAGTTGAAACTTTTTTTTGATAGAGCAGTTTTGAAACACTCTGTAGAATCTGAAAGTGGATATTTGGAGCTCTTTGAGGGCTATGGCGGAAAACAAAATATATTCACATTAAAGTAGACAGCAGCATTCCCAGAAACTTCTTTAGGATGTTTGCAGTAAACTCACAGAGTTGAACATACCTTTCCGTAGAGCTGTTTTGAAACACTCTGTTTGTGGGATCCGCAAGTGGATATTTGGACCGCTTTGAGACCTTTGCTGGAAACGGGAATATCTTCACATATAAACTAGACAGAAGCATTCTCAGAAACTTCTTCGTGATGTGTGCATTCTACTCCCAAATTTGAATCTTCCTTTTCATGAAGCAGTTTTGAAACACTCTATTTGTGCATTCTACAATTGGATGATTGGAACGCTTTGATGCCCATGGTAGAAAAGGAAATATCCTCATATAAAAACTAGGCAGAAGGATTCACAGAAAATGCTTTGTGATGTGTGCATTCAGATCACGGAGTTGAATCTTTCTTTTGTTAGAGCAGTTTTGAAACACTGTTTCTGTGGAATCTGCCAGCGGACACTTGGAGCGCTTTGAGGGCTATGGTGGAGAAGGAAATATCTTCACATAAAAACTAGAAAGAAGCATTCTCAGAACCATTTATGTGAAGCGTGCGTTCAACTCACAGAGTTGAACCTTCCTTTTGATAGAACAGTTTTGAAACACTCTTTTGAACAATTGCAGGTGAATATTTGGAGGGCTTTGAAGCCTTTTTTGGAAATGGGAATATCTTCACACACAAACTAGCCAGAAGCATTCTCAGAAACTTCTTTGTGATGTGTGCGTTGAACCCAGAGAGATGAACCTTTCCTTTGATAGAGCTGTTTTGAAACGTGTTTTTCTAACATCTGCAAGCGGATAATTGGCTTCGCGTTGTGTCCTTTGGTGGAAACGGGAATATCTTCTAATAAAAACTAGACAGAAATATTCTCAGAATCTTCTTTGTGATGTGGGCATTCAACTAACACAGTTGAACGTTTCTTTTCACAGAGCAGTTTTGAAACACTCTTTTGGTAGAATCTGCCAGTGGATATTTGGAGCGCTTTGAGGGCTATTGTGCCAATGGAAAATCTGCCCCTAAAAACTAGACAGAAGCATTCTCAGAAACTACTTCGTGATGTTTGCATTCAACTCACAGAGTTGAACATACCTCTTCACAGAGCAGTTTTGAAAACCTCTTTTTGTAGAATCTGCAAGTGGATATTCGGAGCACTTTGAGGCCTTCATAGGAAACAGTAATGTCTTCGCATAAAAACTAGATAGAAGCATTGTCAGAAAGTTCTTTGTGATGTGTGAATTCAACTCACAGAGTTGAACCTTCCTTTAATAGAGCAGTTTTGAAACACTCTTTTTCTAGAATCTGCGAGTAGATATTTGGAGCGCTTTGAGGCCTTCGTTGGAAACCGGAATATCTTCACATAGAAAGTAGATAGAGGCATTCTCAGAAACTTTTTTGTGATATGTAGATTCAACTCACAGCGTTGAACCTTTCTTTGGATGGAGCAGTTTTGAAAAACTCTTTTATCGAATCTGCAGGTAGACATTTGGGGTGCTTTGAGGGCTGTGGTGCAAAAGGAATTGTCTTCCCATAGAAACTAGACTGAAGCATTCTCAGCAACTTCTTGGTGACGTTTGCATTCATCTCACAGTGTTGAACATACGTTTCCATAGAGTGGTTTTGAAACACTGTTTTTGTAGAATCGGCAAGTGGATATTTGGACTGCTTTGAGGCCTTCATCGGAAACGGGAATATCTTCACATAAACACTAGAGAGAAGCAATCTCAGAAACTTCTTTGTGATCTGTCCGTTCAACTCACAGAGTTGAACCTTCCTTTTTATGGAGCAGTTTTGAAACACTGTTTGTGGAGAATCTGCAAGTGGATATTTGGAGCGCCTTGAGGCCAATGGTAGAAAAAGAAATATCTGCCTCTAAATACTAGACTGAAGCATTCCGAGAAACTCCTTTGTGATGTTTGCATTCAACTAGCAGAGTTGAACCTTCCTTTTGATAGGGCAGTTTGGAAACACTCTTTTTGTAGAATCTGCATGTGGATATCTGGAGCGGTTTGAGGCCTACGGTCAAATAGGAAATATCTTCCTGGGAAAAATAGACGAAAGCATTCTCAGAAACTGCTTTGTGATATGTGCATTCGACTCACCGAGTTGAAACTATTTTTTGATAGAGCAGTTTTGAAACACTCTGTAGAATCTGAAAGTGGATATTTGGAGCTCTTTGAGGGCTATGGCGGAAAAGAAAATATATTCACATTAAAGTAGACAGCAGCATTCTCAGAAACTTCTTTAGGATGTTTGCAGTAAACTCAGAGAGTTGAACATACCTTACGGTAGAGTAGTTTTGAAACACTCTGTTTGTGGGATCCTCAAGTGGATATTTGGACCGCTTTGAGACCTTTGCTGGAAATGGGAATATCTTCACATATAAGCTAGACAGAAGCATTCTCAGAAACTTCTTGGTGATGTGTGCATTGTACTCCCAAATTTGAATCTTCCTTCTCATGGAGCAGTTTTGAAACACTCTGTTTGTGCAATCTACAATTGGAGAATTGGAATGCTTGGATGCCCGTGGTAGAAAAGGAAATATCCTCATATAAAAACTAGACAGAAGGATTCACAGAAAATGCTTTGTGATGTGTGCATTCAAATCACGGAGTTGAATCTTTCTTTCGTTAGAGCAGTTTTGAAACACTGTTTCTGTGGAATCTGCCAGCGGACACTTGGAGCGCTTTGAGAGCTATGGTGGAGAAGGAAATATCTTCACATAAAAACTAGAAAGAAGCATTCTCAGAAACATTTATGTGAAGCGTGCATTCAACTCACGGAGTTGAACCTTCCTTTTGATACAACAGTTTTGAAACACTCTTTGGAACAATTGCAGGTGAATCTTTGGAGCGCTTTGAAGCCTTTGTTGCAAATGGGAATATCTTCACACACAAACTAGCCAGAAGCATTCCCAGAAACTTCTTTGTGATGTGTGCGTTGAACCCAGAGAGATGAACCTTTCCTTTGATAGAGCAGTTTTGAAACGTGTTTTTGTAAGATCTGCAAGCGGATAATTGGCTTTGCTTTGTGTCCCTTGGTGAAAACGGGAATATCTTCTAATAAAAACTAGACAGAAATATTCTCAGAATCTCCTTTGTGATGTGGGCATTCAACTAACACAGTTGAACATTTCTTTTCACAGAGCAGTTTTGAAACACTCTTTTGGTAGAATCTGCCAGTGGATATTTGGAGCGCTTGGAGGGCTATTGTGCCAATGGAAATATCTGCCCCTGAAAACTGGACAGAAGCATTCTCAGAAACTACTTCGTGATGTTTGCATTCAACACACAGAGTTGAACATACCTCTTCACAGAGCAGTTTTGAAAACCTCTTTCTGTAGAATCTGCAAGTGGATATTCGGACCACTTTGAGGCCTTCATAGGAAACAGTAATATCTTCACATAAAAACTGGATAGAAGCATTGTCAGGAAGTTCTTTGTGATGTGTGAATTCAACTCACAGAGTTGAACCTTCCTTTAATAGAGCAGTTTTGAAACACTCTTTTTCTAGAATCTGCAAGTAGATATTTGGAGCGCTTGGAGGCCTTCTTTGGAAACCGGAATATCTTCAAAGGAAATGTAGATAGAGGCATTCTCAGAAACATTTTTTGTGATATGTAGACTCAACTCACAGCGTTGAACCTTTCTTTGGATGGAGCAGTTTTGAAAAACTCTTTTATCGAATCTGCAGGTAGACATTTGGGGTGCTTTGAGGGCTGTGGTGCAAAAGGAAATGTCTTCCCATAGAAACTAGACTGAAGCATTCTCAGCAACTTCTTTGTGACGTTTGCATTCATCTCACAGTGTTGAACATACCTTTCCATAGAGTAGTTTTGAAACACTGTTTTTGTAGAATCGGCAAGTGGATATTTGGACTGCTTTGAGGCCTTCATCGGAAACGGGAATATCTTCACATAAACGCTAGAGAGAAGCATTCTCAGAAACTTCTTTGTGATCTGTCCATTCAACTCACAGAGTTGAACCTTCCTTTTTCTGGAGCAGTTTTGAAACACTGTTCTTGGAGAATCTGCAAGTGGATATTTGGAGCGCTTTGAGGCCTGTGGTAGAAAAAGAAATATCTGCCTCTAAAAACTAGACAGAAGCATTCCGAGAAACTTCTCTGTGATGTTTGCATTCAACTAGCAGAGTTGAACCTTCCTTTTGATAGGGCAGTTTGGAGACACTCTTTTTTTAGAATCTGCATGTGGATATCTGGAGCGGTTTGAGGCCTACGGTCAAAAAGGAAATATCTTCCTGGGAAAAATAGACGAAAGCATTCTCAGAAACTGCTTTGTGATATGTGCATTCGACTCACCGAGTTGAAACTTTTTTTTGATAGAGCAGTTTTGGAACACTCTGTAGAATCTGAAAGTGTAGATTTGGAGCTCTTTGAGGGCTATGGCGGAGAAGAAAATATATTCACATTAAACTAGACAGCAGCATTCCCAGAAACTTCTTTAGGATGTTTGCAGTAAACTCACAGAGTTGAACATACCTTTCCGTAGAGCAGTTTTGAAACACTCTGTTTGTGGGATCCGCAAGTGGATATTTGGACCGCTTTGAGACCTTTGCTGGAAACGGGAATATCTTCACATATAAACTAGACAGAAGCATTCTCAGAAACTTCTTCGTGATGTGTGCATTCTACTCCCGAATTTGAATCTTCCTTTTCATGAAGCAGTTTTGAAACACTCTGTTTGTGCAATCCACAGTTGGATAATTGGAAGGCTTTGATGCCCATGGTAGAAAAGGAAATATCCTCATATAAAAACTAGACAGAAGGATTCACAGAAAATGCTTTGTGATGTGTGCATTCAAATCACGGAGTTGAATCTTTCTTTTGTCAGAGCAGTTTTGAAAAAATGTTTCTGTGGAATCTGCCAGCGGACACTTGGAGCGCTTTGAGGGCTATGGTGGAGAAGGAAATATCTTCCCATAAAAACTAGAAAGAAGCATTCTCAGAACCATTTATGTGAAGCGTGCATTCAACTCACAGAGTTGAACCTTCCTTTTGATAGAACAGTTTTGAAACACTCTTTTGAACAATTGCAGGTGAATATTTGGAGGGCTTTGAAGCCTTTGTTGGAAATGGGAATATCTTCACACACAAACTAGCCAGAAGCATTCTCAGAAACTTCTTTGTGATGTGTGCGTTGAACCCAGAGAGATGAACCTTTCCTTTGATAGAGCAGTTTTGAAACTTGTTTTTGTAAGATCGGCAAGCGGATAATTGGCTTCGCTTTGTGTCCTTTGGTGGAAACGGGAATATCTTCTAATAAAAACTAGACAGAAATATTCTCAGAATCTTATTTGTGATGTAGGCATTCCACTAACACAGTTGAAGATTTCTTTTCATAGAGTAGTTTTGAAACACTCTTTTGGTAGAATCTGCCAGTGGATATTTGGAGCGCTTTGAGGGCTATTGTGCCAATGGAAATATCTTCCCCTGAAAACTAGACAGAAGCATTCTCAGAAACTACTTCGTGATGTTTGCATTCAACTCACAGAGTTGAACATACCTCTTCATAGAGCAGTTTTGAAAACCTCTTTCTGTAGAATCTGCAAGTGGATATTCGGACCACTTTGAGGCCTTCATAGGAAACAGTAATATCTTCACATAAAAACTAGATAGAAGCATTGTCAGAAAGTTCTTTGTGATGTGTGAATTCAACTCACAGTAGTTGAAACTTCCTTTAATAGAGCAGTTTTGAAACACTCTTTTTCTGGAATCTGCAAGTAGATATTTGGAGCGCTTTGAGGCCTTCGTTGGAAACCGGAGTATCTTCACAGGAAAAGTAGATAGGGGCATTCTCAGAAACTTGTTTTGTGATATGTAGATTCAACTCACAGCGTTGAACCTTTCTTTGGATGGAGCAGTTTTGAAAACCTCTTTTATCGAATCTGCAGGTAAACATTTGGGGTGCTTTGAGGGCTGTGGTGCAAAAGGAAATGTCTTCCCATAGAAACTAGACTGAAGCATTCTCAGAAACTACTTTGTGACGTTTGCATTCATCTCACAGTGTTGAACATACCTTTCCATAGAGTAGTTTTGAAGCACTATTTTTGTAGAATCTGCAAGTGGATATTTGGACTGCTTTGAGGCCTTCATCGGAAACGGGAATATCTTCACATAAACACTAGACAGAAGCATTCTCAGAAACTTCTTTGTGATCTGTCCATTCAACTCACAGAGTTGAACCTTCCTTTTTATGGAGTAGTTTTGAATCACTGTTTTTGGAGAATCTGCAAGTGGATATTTGGAGCGCTTTGAGGCCTATGGTAGAAAAAGAAATATCTGCCTCTAAAAACCAGACAGAAGCATTCCGAGAAACTTCTCTGTGATGTTTGCATTCAACTAGCAGAGTTGTACCTTCCTTTTGATAGGGCAGTTTGGAAACACTCTTTTTGTAGAATCTGCATGTGGATATCTGGAGCGGTTTGAGGCCTACGGTCAAAAAGGAAATATCTTCCTGGGAAAAATAGACGAAAGCATTCTCAGAAACTGCTTTGTGATATGGGAATTCGACTCACCGAGTTGAAACTTTTTTTTGATAGAGCAGTTTTGAAACACTCTGTAGAATCTGAAAGTGGATATTTGGAGCTCTTGCAGGGCTATGGCGGAAAAGAAAATATATTCACATTAAAGTAGACAGCAGCATTCTCAGAAACTTCTTTAGGATGTTTGCAGTAAACTCACAGAGTTGAACCTACCTTTCTGTAGAGCAGTTTTGAAACACTCTGTTTGTGGGATCCGCAAGTGGATATTTGGACCGCTTTGAGACCTTTGCTGGAAATGGGAATATCTTCACATATAAACTAGACAGAAGCATTCTCAGAAACTTCTTCATGATGTGTGCATTCTCCTCCCGAATTTGAATCTTCCTTTTCATGAAGCAGTTTTGAAACACTCTGTTTGTGCAATCCACAATTGGATAATTGGAACGCTTTGATGCCCATGGTAGAAAAGGAAATATCCTCATATAAAAACTAGACAGAAGGATTCACAGAAAATGCTTTGTGATGTGTGCATTCAAATCACGGAGTTGAATCTTTCTTTTGTTAGAGCAGTTTTCAAACACTGTTTCTGTGGAATCTGCCAGCGGACACTTGGAGCGCTTTGAGGGCTGTGGTGGAGAAGGAAATATCTTCCCATAAAAACTAGAAAGAAGCATTCTCAGAAACATTTATGTGAAGCGTGCCTTCAACTCACAGAGTTGAACCTTCCTTTTGATACAACAGTTTTGAAACACTCTTTGGAACAATTGCAGGTGAATCTTTGGAGCGCTTTGAAGCCTTTGTTGGAAATGGGAATATCTTCACACACAAACTAGCCAGAAGCATTCTCAGAAACTTCTTTGTGATGTGTGCGTTGAACCCAGAGAGATGAACCTTTCCTTTGAAAGAGCAGTTTTGAAACGTGTTTTTGTAAGATCTGCAAGCGGATAGTTGGCTTCGCTTTGTGTCCTTTGGTGGAAACGGGAATATCTTCTAATAAAAACTAGACAGAAATATTCTCAGAATCTTCTTTGTGATGTGGGCATTCAACTAACACAGTTGAACCTTTCTTTTCACAGAGCAGTTTTGAAACACTCTTTTGGTAGAATCTGCCAGTGGATATTTGGAGCGCTTTGAGGGCTATTGTGCCAACGGAAATATCTGCCCCTAAAAACTAGACAGAAGCATTCTCAGAAACTACTTCGTGATGTTTGCATTCAACTCACAGAGTTGAACATACCTCATCACAGAGCAGTTTTGAAAACCTCTTTTTGTAGAATCTGCAAGTGTATATTCGGAGCACTTTGAGGCCTTCATAGGAAACAGTAATATCTTCGCATAAAAACTAGATAGAAGCATTGTCAGGAAGTTCTTTGTGATGTGTGAATTCAACTCACAGAGTTGAACCTTCCTTTAATAGAGCAGTTTTGAAACACTCTTTTTCTAGAATCTGCAAGTAGATATTTGGAGCGCTTAGAGGCCTTCTTTGGAAACCGGAATATCTTCACAGGAAATGTAGATAGAGGCATTCTCAGAAACATTTTTTGTGATATGTAGATTCAACTCACAGCGTTGAACCTTTCTTTGGATGGAGCAGTTTTGAAAAACTCTTTTATCGAATCTGCAGGTAGACATTTGGGGTGCTTTGAGGGCTGTGGTGCAAAAGGAAATGTCTTCCCATAGAAACTAGACTGAAGCATTCTCAGCAACTTCTTTGTGACGTTTGCATTCATCTCACAGTGTTGAACATACCTTTCCATAGAGTAGTTTTGAAATACTGTTTTTGTAGAATCGGCAAGTGGATATTTGGACTGCTTTGAGGCCTTCATCGGAAACGGGAATATCTTCACATAAACACTAGAGAGAAGCATTCTCAGAAACTTCTTTGTGATCTGTCCATTCAACTCACAGAGTTGAACCTTCCTTTTTATGGAGCAGTTTTGAAACACTCCTTTTGGAGAATCTGCAGGTGGATATTTGGAGCGCTTTGAGGCCTATGGTAGAAAAAGAAATATCTGCCTCTAAAAACCAGACAGAAGCATTCTGAGAAACTTCTTTGTGATGTTTGCCTTCAACTACCAGAGTTGAACCTTCCTTTTCATAGGGCAGTTTGGAAACACTCTTTTTGTAGAATCTGCATGTGGATATCTGGAGCGATTTGAGGCCTACGGTCCAAAAGGAAATATCTTCCTGGGAAAGATAGACGAAAGCATTCTCAGCAACTGCTTTGTGATATGTGCATTCGACTCACCGAGTTGAAACTTTTTTTTGATAGAGCAGTTTTGAAACACTCTGTAGAATCTGAAAGTGGATATTTGGAGATCTTTGAGGGCTATGTCGGAAAAGAAAATATATTCACATTAAAGTAGACAGCAGCATTCCCAGAAACTTCTTTAGGATGTTTGCAGTAAACTCACAGAGTTGAACATACCTTTCCATAGAGCAGCTTTGAAACACTCTGTGTGTGGGATCCGCAAGTGGATATTTGGACCGCTTTGAGACCTTTGCTGGAAACGGGAATATCTTCAAATATAAACTGGACAGAAGCATTCTAAGAAACTTCTTCTTGATGTGTGCATTCTACTCCAGAATTTGAATCTTCCTTCTCATGAAGCAGTTTTGAAACACTCTATTTGCGCAATCTACAATTGGATAATTGGAACGCTTTGATGCCCATGGTAGAAAAGGAAATATCCTCATATAAAAACTAGACAGAAGGATTCACAGAAAATGCTTTGTGATGTGTGCATTCAAATCACGGAGTTGAATCTTTCTTTTGTTATAGCAGTTTTGAAACACTGTTTCTGTGGAATCTGCCAGCGGACACTTGGAGCGCTTTGAGGGCTGTGGTGGAGAAGGAAATATCTTCCCATAAAAACTAGAAAGAAGCATTCTCAGAACCATTTATGTGAAGCGTGCGTTCAACTCACAGAGTTGAACCTTCCTTTTGACAGAACAGTTTTGAAACACTCTTTTGAACAATTGCAGGTGAATATTTGGAGGGCTTTGAAGCCTTTGTTGGAAATGGGAATATCTTCACACACAAACTAGCCAGAAGCATTCTCAGAAACTTCTTTGTGATGTGTGCGTTGAACCCAGAGAGATGAACCTTTCCTTTGACAGAGCAGTTTTGAAACGTGTTTTTGTAAGATCTGCAAGCGGATAGTTGGCTTCGCTGTGTGTCCTTTGGTGGAAACGGGAATATCTTCTAATAAAAACTAGACAGAAATATTCTCAGAATCTCCTTTGTGATGTGGGCATTCAACTAACACAGTTGAACATTTCTTTTCACAGAGCAGTTTTGAAACACTCTTTTGGTAGAATCTGCCAGTGGATATTTGGAGCGCTTGGAGGACTATTGTGCCAATGGAAATATCTGCCCCTGAAAACTGGACAGAAGCATTCTCAGAAACTAATTCGTGATGTTTGCATTCAACACACAGAGTTGAACATACCTCTTCACAGAGCAGTTTTGAAAACCTCTTTCTGTAGAATCTGCAAGTGGATATTCGGACCACTTTGAGGCCTTCATAGGAAACAGTAATATCTTCACATAAAAACTAGATAGAAGCATTGTCAGAAAGTTCCTTGTGATGTGTGAATTCAACTCACAGAGTTGAACCTTCCTTTAATAGAGCAGTTTTGAAACACTCTTCTTCTAGAATCTGCAATTAGATATTTGGAGCGCTTTGAGGCCTTCATTGGAAACCGGAATATCTTCACAGAAAAAGTAGATAGAGGCATTCTCAGAAACTTTTTTGTGATATGTAGATTCAACTCACAGCGTTGAACCTTTCTTTGGATGGAGCAGTTTTGAAAAACCCTTTTATCGAATCTGCAGGTAGACATTTGGGGTGCTTTGAGGGCTGTGGTGCAAAAGGAAATGTCTTCCCATAGAAACTAGACTGAAGCATTCTCTCAACTTCTTTGTGACGTTTGCATTCATCTCACAGTGTTGAACATACCTTTCCATCGAGTACTTTTGAAACACTGTTTTTGTAGAATCTGCAAGTGGATATTTGGACTGCTTTGAGGCCTTCATCGGAAACGGGAATATCTTCACATAAACACTAGAGAGAAGCATTCTCAGAAACTTCTTTGTCATCTGTCCATTCAACTCACAGAGTTGAACCTTCCTTTTTATGGAGCAGTTTTGAAACACTCCTTTTGGAGAATCTGCAAGTGGATATTTGGAGCGCTTTGAGGCCTATGGTAGAAAAAGAAATATCTGCCTCTGAAAACCAGACAGAAGCATTCCGAGAAACTTCTTTGTGATGTTTGCATTCAACTAGCAGAGTTGAACTTCCTTTTGATAGGGCAGTTTGGAGACACTCTTTTTGTAGAATCTGCATGTGGATATCTGGAGCGGTTTGAGGCCTACGGTCAAAAAGGAAATATCTTCCTGGGAAAAATAGACGAAAGCATTCTCAGAAACTGCTTTGTGATATGTGCATTCGACTCTCCGAGTTGAAACTTTTTTTTGATAGAGCAGTTTTGAAACACTCTGTAGAATCTGAAAGTGGATATTTGGAGCTCTTCGAGGGCTATGGCGGAAAAGAAAATGTATTCACATTAAACTAGACAGCAGCATTCCCAGAAACTTCTTTAAGATGTTTGCAGTAAACTCACAGAGTTGAACATACCTTTCCGTAGAGCAGCTTTGAAACACTCTGTGTGTGGGATCCGCAAGTGGATATTTGGACCGCTTTGAGACCTTTGCTGGAAACGGGAATATCTTCACATATAAACTGGACAGAAGCATTGTCAGAAACTTCTTCGTGATGTGTGCATTCTACTCCCGAATGTGAATCTTCCTTTTCATGAAGCAGTTTTGAAACACTCTGTTTGTGCAATCCACAATTGGATAATTGGAACGCTTTGATGCCCATGGTAGAAAAGGAAATATCTTCATATAAAAACTAGACAGAAGGATTCTCAGAAAATGCTTTGTGATGTGTGCATTCAAATCACGGAGTTGAATCTTTCTTTTGTTAGAGCAGTTTTGAAACACTGTTTCTGTGGAATCTGCCAGCGGACACTTGGAGCGCTTTGAGGGCTATGGTGGAGAAGGAAATATCTTCACATAAAAACTAGAAAGAAGCATTCTCAGAACCATTTATGTGAAGCGTGCATTCAACTCACAGAGTTGAACCTTCCTTTTGATAGAACAGTTTTGAAACACTCTTTTGAACAATTGCAGGTGAATATTTGGAGGGCTTTGAAGCCTTTGTTGGAAATGGGAATATCTTCACACACAAACTAGCCAGAAGCATTCTCAGAAACTTCTTTGTGATGTGTGCGTTGAACCCAGAGAGATGAACCTTTCCTTGGATAGAGCAGTTTTGAAACGTGTTTTTGTAAGATCGGCAAGCGGATAATTGGCTTCGCTTTGTGTCCTTTGGTGGAATCGGGAATATCTTCTAATAAAAACTAGACAGAAATATTCTCAGAATCTCCTTTGTGATGTGGGCATTCAACTAACACAGTTGAACATTTCTTTTCACAGAGCAGTTTTGAAACACTCTTTTGGTAGAATCTGCCAGTGGATATTTGGTGCGCTTGGAGGGCTATTTTGCCAATGGAAATATCTGCCCCTGAAAACTAGACAGAAGCATTCTCAGAAACTACTTCGTGATGTCTGCATTCAACACACAGAGTTGAACATACCTCTTCACAGAGCAGTTTTGAAAACCTCTTTCTGTAGAATCTGCAAGTGGATATTCGGACCACTTTGAGGCCTTCGTAGGAAACAGTATTATCTTCACATAAAAACTAGATAGAAGCATTGTCAGAAAGTTCTTTGTGATGTGTGAATTCAACTCACAGAGTTGAACCTTCCTTTAATACAGCAGTTTTGAAACACTCTTTTTCTAGAATCTGCAAGTAGATATTTGGAGCGCTTTGAGGCCTTCGTTGGAAACCGGAATATCTTCACAGGAAAAGTAGATAGAGGCATTCTCAGAAACTTTTTCGTGATATGTGGATTCAAGTCACAGCGTTGAACCTTTCTTTTGATAGAGCAGTTTTGTAAAACTCCTTTATCGAATCTGCAAGTAGACATTTGGAGTGCTTTGGGGGCTGTGGTGCAAAAGGAAATGTCTTCCCATAGAAAGTAGACTGAAGCATTCTCAGCAACTTCTTGGTGACGTTTGCATTCATCTCATAGTGTTGAACATACCTTTCCATAGAGTGGTTTTGAAACACTGTTTTTGTAGAATCGGCAAGTGGATATTTGGACTGCTTTGAGGCCTTCATCGGAAACGGGAATATCTTCACATAAACACTAGAGAGAAGCATTCTCAGAAACTACTTTGTGATCTGTCCATTCAACTCACAGAGTTGAACCTTCCTTTTTATGGAGCAGTTTTGAAACACTGTTTTTGGAGAATCTGCAAGTGGATATTTGGAGCGCTTTGAGGCCTATGGTAGAAAAAGAAATATCTGCCTATTACAACTAGACAGAAGCATTCTCAGAAACTTCTTTGTGATGTTTGCATTCAACTACCAGAGTTGAACCTTCCTTTTGATAGGGCAGTTTGGAAACACTCTTTTTGTAGAATCTGCATGTGGATATCTGGAGCGATTTGAGGCCTACGGTCCAAAAGGAAATATCTTCCTGGGAAAAATAGACGAAAGCATTCTCAGAAACTGCTTTTTGATATGTGCATTCGACTCACCGATTTGAAACTTTTTTTGGATAGAGCAGTTTTGAAACACTCTGTAGAATTTGCAAGTGTATATTTGGAGCTCTTTGAGGGCTATGGCGGAAAAGAAAATATATTCACATTAAACTAGACAGCAGCATTCCCAGAAACTTCTTTAGGATGTTTGCAGTAAACTCACAGATTTGAACATACCTTTCCGTAGAGCAGCTTTGAAAAACTCTGTTTGTGGGATCCGCAAGTGGATATTTGGACCGCTTTGAGACCTTTGCTGGAAACGGGAATATCTTCACATATAAACTGGACAGAAGCATTCTCAGAAACTTCTTCGTGATGTGCGCATTCTACTCCCAAATTTGAATCTTCCTTCTCATGAAGCAGTTTTGAAACTCTCTATTTGTGCAATCTACAATTGGATAATTGGAACCCTTTGATGCCCATGGTAGAAAAGGAAATATCCTCATATAAAAACTAGACAGATAAGGATTCACAGAAAATGCTTTGTGATGTGTGCATTCAAATCACGGAGTTGAATCTTTCTTTTGTTAGATCAGTTTTGAAACACTGTTTCTGTGGAATCTGCCAGCGGACACTTGGAGCGCTTTGAGGGCTATGGTGGAGAAGGAAATATCTTCACATAAAAACTAGAAAGAAGCATTCTCAGAACCATTTATGTGAAGCGTGCCTTCAACTCACAGAGTTGAACCTTCCTTTTGATAGAACAGTTTTGAAACACTCTTTTGAACAATTGCAGGTGAATATTTGGAGGGCTTTGAAGCCTTTGTTGGAAATGGGAATATCTTCACACACAAACTAGCCAGAAGCATTCTCAGAAACTTCTTTGTGATGTGTGCGTTGAACCCAGAGAGATGAACCTTTCCTTTGAAAGAGCAGTTTTGAAACGTGTTTTTGTAAGATCTGCAAGCGGATGGTTGGCTTCGCTTTGTGTCCTTTGGTGGAAACGGGAATATCTTCTAATAAAAACTAGACAGAAATATTCTCAGAATCTTCTTTGTGATGTGGGCATTCAACTAACAGAGTTGAACGTTTCTTTTGACAGAGCAGTTTTGAAACACTCTTTTGGTAGAATCTGCCAGTGGATATTTGGAGCGCTTTGAGGGCTATTGTGCCAACGGAAATATCTGCCCCTAAAAACTAGACAGAAGCATTCTCAGAAACTGCTTTGTGATGTTTGCATTCAACTCACAGAGGTGAACATACCTCTTCATAGAGCAGTTTTGCAAACCTCTTTTTGTAGAATCTGCAAGTGGATATTCGGACCACTTTGAGGCCTTCATAGGAAACAGTAATATCTTCACATAAAAACTAGATAGAAGCATTGTCAGAAAGTTCTTTGTGATGTGTGAATTCAACTCACAGAGTTGAACCTTCCTTTAATAGAGCAGTTTTGAAACACTCTTTTTCTAGAATCTGCAAGTAGATACTTGGAGCGCTTTGAGGCCTTCTTTGGAAACCGGGAATATCTTCACATAAAAAGTAGATAGAGGCATTCTCAGAAACTTTTTGTGATATGTAGATTCAACTCACAGCGTTGAACCTTTCTTTGGATGGAGCAGTTTTGAAAAACTCTTTTATCGAATCTGCAGGTAGACATTCGGGGTGCTTTGAGGGCTGTGGTGCAAAAGGAAATGTCTTCCCATAGAAACTAGACTGAAGCATTCTCAGCAACTTCTTGGTGACGTTTGCATTCATCTCACAGTGTTGAACATACCTTTCCATAGAGTGGTTTTGAAACACTGTTTTTGTAGAATGGGCAAGTGGATATTTGGACTGCTTTGAGGCCTTCATCGGAAACGGGAATATCTTCACATAAACACTAGAGAGAAGCATTCTCAGAAACTTCTTTATCATCTGTCCATTCAACTCACAGAGTTGAACCTTCCTTTTTATGGAGCAGTTTTGAAACACTCCTTTTGGAGAATCTGCAAGTGGATATTTGGAGCGCTTTGAGGCCTATGGTAGAAAAAGAAATATCTGCCTCTAAAAACAAGACAGAAGCATTCTCACAAAGTGCTTTGTGATATGTGCATTCGACTCACCGAGTTGAAACTTTTTTATGATAGAGCAGTTTTGAAACACTCTGTAGAATCTGAAAGTGGATATTTGGAGCTCTTCGAGGGCTATGGCGGAAAAGAAAATATATTCACATTAAACTAGACAGCAGCATTCTCAGAAACATCTTTAGGATGTTTGCAGTAAACTCACAGAGTTGAACATACCTTTCCGTAAAGCAGTTTTGAAACCCTCTGTTTGTGGGATCTGCAAGTGGATATTTGGACCGCTTTGAGACCTTTGCTGGAAATGGGAATATCTTCACATATAAACTAGACAGAAGCATTCTCAGAAGCTTCTTCGTGATGTGTGTATTCTACTCCCAAATTTGAATCTTCCTTTTCATGAAGCAGTTTTGAAACACTCTGTTTGTACAATCCACAATTGCATAATTGGAACGCTTTGATGCCCATGGTAGAAAAGGAAATATCCTCATATAAAAACTAGACAGAAGGATTCACAGAAAATGCTTTGTGATGTGTGCATTCAAATCACGGAGTTGAATCTTTCTTTTGTTAGAGCAGTTTTGAAACACTGTTTCTGTGGAATCTGCCAGCAGACACTTGGAGCGCTTTGAGGGCTATGGTGGAGAAGGAAATATCTTCCCATAAAAACTAGAAAGAAGCATTCTCGGAAACATTTATGTGAAGCGTGCATTCAACTCACAGAGTTGAACCTTTCTTTTGATAGAACAGTTTTGAAACACTCTTTTGAACAATTGCAGGTGAATCTTTGGAGCGCTTTGAAGGCTTTGTTGGAAATGGGAATATCTTCACACACAAACTAGCCAGAAGCATTCTCAGAAACTTCTTTGTGATGTGTGCGTTGAACCCAGAGAGATGAAACTTTCCTTTGATAGAGCAGTTTTGAAACGTGTTTTTGTAAGATCTGCAAGCGGATAATTGGCTTCGCTTTGTGTCCTTTGGTGGAAACGGGAATATCTTCTAATAAAATCTAGACAGAAATATTCTCAGAATCTCCTTTGTGATGTGGGCATTCAACTAACACAGTTGAACATTTCTTTTCACAGAGCAGTTTTGAGACACTCTTTTGGTAGAATCTGCCAGTGGATCTTTGGAGCGCTTTGAGGGCTGTTGTGCCAATGGAAATATCTGCCCCTAAAATCTAGACAGAAGCATTCTCAGAAACTGCTTCGTGATGTTTGCATTCAACTCACAGACTTGAACATACCTCTTCATAGAGCAGTTTTGAAAACCTCTTTTTGTAGAATCTGCAAGTGGATATTCGGACCACTTTGAGGCCTTCATAGGAAACAGTAATATCTTCACATAAAAACTAGATAGAAGCATTGTCAGAAAGTTCTTTGTGATGTGTGAATTCAACTCACAGAGTTGAACCTTCCTTCAATAGAGCAGTTGTGAAACACTCTTTTTCTAGAATCTGCAAGTAGATATTTGGAGCGCTTTGAGGCCTTCGTTGGAAACCGGAATATCTTCACAGGAAAAGTAGATAGAGGCATTCTCAGAAACTTTTTCGTGATATGTGGATTCAACTCACGGCGTTGAACCTTTCTTTTGATAGAGCAGTGTTGTAAAACTCTTTTATCGAATCTGCAAGTAGACATTTGGAGTGCTTTGGGGGCTGTGGTGCAAAAGGAAATGTCTTCCCATAGAAACTAGACTGAAGCATTCTCAGCAACTTCTTTGTGACGTTTGCATTCATCTCACAGTGTTGAACATACCTTTCCATAGAGTAGATTTGAAACACTATTTTTGTAGAATCTGCAAGTGGATATTTGGACTGCTTTGAGGCCTCCATCGGAAACGGGAATATATTCACATAAACACTAGACAGAAGCATTCTCAGAAACTTCTTTGTCATCTGTCCATTCAACTCACAGAATTGAACCTTCCTTTTTATGGAGCAGTTTTGAAACACTCTTTTGGTAGAATCTGCCAGTGGATATTTGGAGCGCTTGGAGGGCTATTGTGCCAATGGAAATATCTGCCCCTGAAAACTAGACAGAAGCATTCTGAGAAAAGTTCTTTGTGATGTTTGCATTCAACTAGCAGAGTTGAACCTTCCTTTTGATAGGGCAGTTTGGAAACACTCTTTTTGTAGAATCTTCATGTGGATATCTGGAGCGGTTTGAGGCCTACGGTCAAAAAGGAAATATCTTCCTGGGAAAAATAGACGAAAGCATTCTCAGAAAGTGCTTTGTGATATGCGCATTCGACTCACCGAGTTGAAACTTTTTTTTGATACAGCAGTTTTGAAACACTCTGTAGAATCTGAAAGTGGATATTTGGAGCTCTTTGAGGGCTATGGCGGAAAAGAAAATATATTCACATTAAAGTAGTCAGCAGCATTCTCAGAAACTTCTTTAGGATGTTTGCAGTAAACTCACAGAGTTGAACATACCTTTCCGTAGAGCAGTTTTGAAACACTCTGTTTGTGGGATCCGCAAGTGGATATTTGGACCGCTTTGAGACCTTTGCTGGAAATGGGAATATCTGCACATTTAAACTAGACAGAAGCATTCTCAGAAACTTCTTGGTGATGTGTGCATTGTACTCCCAAATTTGAATCTTCCTTCTCATGGAGCAGTTTTCAAACACTCTGTTTGTGCAATCTACAATTGGAGAATTGGAAGGCTTGGATGCCCGTGGTAGAAAAGGAAATATCCTCATATAAAAACTAGACAGAAGGATTCACAGAAAATGCTTTGTGATGTGTGCATTCAAATCACGGAGTTGAATCTTTCTTTTGTCAGAGCAGTTTTGAAACACTGTTTCTGTGGAATCTGCCAGCGGACACTTGGAGCGCTTTGAGGGCTATGGTTGAGAAGGAAATATCTTCCCATAAAAACTAGAAAGAAGCATTCTCAGAAACATTTATGTGAAGCGTGCATTCAACTCACAGAGTTGAACCTTCCTTTTGATAGAACAGTTTTGAAACACTCTTTTGAACAATTGCAGGTGAATCTTTGGAGCGCTTTGAAGCCTTTGTTGGAAATGGGAATATCTTCACACACAAACTAGCCAGAAGCATTCTCAGAAACTTCTTTGTGATGTGTGCGTTGAACCCAGAGAGATGAACCTTTCCTTCGATAGAGCAGTTTTGAAACGCGTTTTTGTAAGATCGGTAAGCGGATAATTGGCTTCGCTTTGTGTCCTTCGGTGGAAACGGGAATATCTTCTAATAAAAACTAGACAGAAATATTCTCAGAATCTCCTTTGTGATGTGGGCATTCAACTAACACAGTTGAACATTTCTTTTCACAGAGCAGTTTTGAAACACTCTTTTGGTAGAATCTGCCAGTGGATATTTGGAGCGCTTGGAGGGCTGTTGTGCCAATGGAAATACCTGCCCCTGAAATCTGGACAGAAGCATTCTCAGAAACTACTTCGTGATGTTTGCATTCAACACACAGAGTTGAACATACCTCTTCACAGAGCAGTTTTGAAAACCTCTTTCTGTAGAATCTGTAAGTGGATATTGGGACCACTTTGAGGCCTTCATAGGAAACAGTAATATCTTCACATAAAAACTAGATGGAAGCATTCTCAGAAAGTTCTTTGTGATGTGTGAATCCAACTCACAGAGTTGAACCTTCCTTTAATACAGCAGTGTTGAAACACTCCTTTTCTAGAATCTGCAAGTAGATATTTGGAGCGCTTTGAGGCCTTCGTTGGAAACCGGAATATCTTCACAGGAAAAGTAGATAGAGGCATTCTCAGAAACTTTTTTGTGATATGTTGATTCATCTGACAGCGTTGAACCTTTCCTTTGATAGAGCAGTTTTGAAAAACTCTTTTGTCGAATCTGCAAGTAGACATTTGGAGTGCTTTGAGGTCTGTGGTGCCAAAGGAAATGTCTTCCCATGGAAACTAGACTGAAGCATTCTCAGCAACTTCTTTGTGACGTTTGCATTCATCTCACAGTGTTGAACATACCTTTCCATAGAGTAGTTTTGAGACACTATTTTTGTAGAATCTGCAAGCGGATATTTGGACTGCTTTGAGGCCTTCATCGGAGACGGGAATATCTTCACATAAACACTAGGCAGAAGCATTCTCAGAAACTACTTTGTGATCTGTCCATTCAACTCACAGAGTTGAACCTTCCTTTTTATGGAGCAGTTTTGAAACACTGTTTTTGGAGAATCTGCAAGTGGATATTTGGAGCGCTTTGAGGCCTATGGTAGAAAAAGAAATATCTGCCTCTAAAAACTAGACAGAAGCATTCTGAGAAACTTCTTTGTGATGTTTGCATTCAACTACCAGAGTTGAATCTTCCTTTTGATAGGGCAGTTTGGAAACACTCTTTTTGTAGAATCTGCATGTGGATATCTGGAGCGATTTGAGGCCTATGGTCAAAAAGGAAATATCTTCCTGGGAAAAATAGACGAAAGAATTCTCAGAAACTGCTTTGTGACATGTGCATTCGACTCACCGTGTTGAAACTGTTTTTCGATAGAGCAGTTTTGAAACACTCTGTAGAATCTGAAAGTGGATATTTGGAGCTCTTTGAGGGCTATGGCGGAAAAGAAAATATATTCACATTAAAGTAGACAGCAGCATTCTCAGAAACTTCTTTAGGATGTTTGCAGTAAACTCACAGAGTTGAACATACCTTTCGGTAGAGCAGTTTTGAAACACTGTTTGTGGGATCCGCAAGTGGATATTTGCACCGCTTTGAGACCTTTGCTGGAAATGGGAATATCTTCACATATAAACTAGACGGAAGCATTCTCAGAAACTTCTTCGTGATGTGTGCATTCTACTCCCGAATTTGAATCTTCCTTTTCATGAAGCAGTTTTGAAACACTCTGTTTGTGCAATCCACAAGTGGATAATTGGAACGCTTTGATGCGCATGGTAGAAAAGGAAATATCCTCATATAAAAACTAGACAGAAGGATTCACAGAAAATGCTTTGTGATGTGTGCATTCAAATCACGGAGTTGAATCTTTCTTTTGTTAGAGCAGTTTTGAAACACTGTTTCTGTGGAATCTGCCAGCGGACACTTGGAGCGCTTTGAGGGCTATGGTGGAGAAGGGAAATATCTTCCCATAAAAACTAGAGAGAAGCATTCTCGGAAACATTTATGTGAAGCGTGCATTCAACTCACAGAGTTGAACCTTTCTTTTGAGAGAACAGTTTTGAAACACTCTTTTGAACAATTGCAGGTGAATCTTTGGAGCGCTTTGAAGGCTTTGTTGGAAATGGGAATATCTTCACACACAAACTAGCCAGAAGCATTCTCAGAAACTTCTTTGTGATGTGTGCGTTGAACCCAGAGAGATGAACCTTTCCTTTGATAGAGCAGTTTTGAAACGTGTTTTTGTAAGATCTGCAAGCGGATAGTTGGCTTCGCTTTGTGTCCTTTGGTGGAAACGGGAATATTTTCTAATAAAAACTAGACAGAAATATTCTCAGAATCTTCTTTGTGATGTGGGCATTCAACTAACACAGTTGAACCTTTCTTTTCACAGAGCAGTTTTGAAAGACTCTTTTGGTAGAATCTGCCAGTGGATATTTGGAGCGCTTTGAGGGCTATTGTGCCAATGGAAATATCTTCCCCTAAAAACTAGACAGAAGCATTCTCAGAAACTGCTTTGTGATGTTTGCATTCAACTCACAGAGTTGAACATACCTTTTCATAGAGCAGTTTTGAAAACCTCTTTTTGTAGAATCTGCAAGAGGATATTCGGACCACTTTGAGGCCTTCATAGGAAACAGTAATATCTTCGCATAAAAACTAGATAGAAGCATTGTCAGAAAGTTCTTTGTGATGTGTGAAATCAACTCACAGAGTTGAACCTTCCTTTAATAGAGCAGTTTTGAAACACTCTTTTTCTAGAATCTGCAAGTAGATATTTGGAGCGCTTTGAGGCCTTCTTTGGAAACCGGAATATCTTCACATAAAAAGTAGATAGAGGCATGCTCAGAAACTTTTCTGTCATATGTAGATTCAACTCACAGCGTTGAACCTTTCTTTTGATAGAGCAGTTTTGAAAAACTCTTTTATCGAATCTGCAAGTAGACATTTGGAGTGCTTTGAGGGCTGTGGTGCAAAAGGAAATGTCTTCCCGTAGAAACTAGACTGAAGCATTCTCAGCAACTTCTTGGTGACGTTTGCATTCATCTCACAGTGTTGAACATACCTCTCCATAGAGTGGTTTTGAAACACTGTTTTTGTAGAATCGGCAAGTGGATATTTGGACTGCTTTGAGGCCTTCATCGGAAACGGGAATATCTTCACATAAACACTAGAGAGAAGCATTCTCAGAAACTTCTTTGTGATCTGTCCATTCAACTCACAGAGTTGAACCTTCCTTTTTATGGAGCAGTTTTGAATCACTGTTTTTGGAGAATCTGCAAGTGGATATTTGGAGTGCTTTGAGGCCTATGGTAGAAAAAGAAATATCTGCCTCTAAAAACCAGACAGAAGCATTCTGAGAAACTTCTTTGTGATGTTTGCATTCAACTACCAGAGTTGAATCTTCCTTTTGATAGGGCAGTTTGGAAACACTCTTTTTGTAGAATCTGCATGTGGATATCTGGAGCGATTTGAGGCCTACGGTCCAAAAGGAAATATCTTCCTGGGAAAAATAGAGGAAAGCATTCTCAGAAACTGCTTTGTGATATGTGCATTCGACTCACCGAGTTGAAACTTTTTTTGGATAGAGCAGTTTTGAAACACTCTGTAGAATCTGAAGGTGGATATTTGGAGCTCTTTGAGGGCTATGGCGGAAAAGAAAAGATATTCACATTAAACTAGACAGCAGCATTCTCAGAGACTTCTTGAGGATGTTTGCAGTAAACTCACAGAGTTGAACATACCTTTCCGTAAAGCAGTTTTGAAACCCTCTGTTTGTGGGATCTGCAAGTGGATATTTGGACCGCTTTGAGACCTTTGCTGGAAATGGGAATATCTTCACATATAAACTAGACAGAAGCATTCTCAGAAACTTCTTCGTGATGTGTGCATTCTCCTCGCAAATTTGAATCTTCCTTTTCATGAAGCAGTTTTGAAACACTCTGTTTGTGCAATCCACAATTGGATAATTGGAACGCTTTGATGCCCATGGTAGAAAAGGAAATATCCTCATATAAAAACTAGACAGAAGGATTCACAGAAAATGCTTTGTGATGTGTGCATTCAGATCACGGAGTTGAATCTTTCTTTTGTTAGAGCAGTTTTGAAACACTGTTTCTGTGCAATCTGCCAGCGGACACTTGGAGCGCTTTGAGGGCTATGGTGGAGAAGGAAATATCTTCACATAAAAACTAGAAAGAAAAGCATTCTCAGAAACATTTATGTGAAGCGTGCATTCAACTCACAGAGTTGAACCTTCCTTTTGATACAACAGTTTTGAAACACTCTTTTGAACAATTGCAGGTGAATCTTTGGAGCGCTTTGAAGCCTTTGTTGCAAATGGGAATATCTTCACACACAAACTAGCCAGAAAGCATTCTCAGAAACTTCTTTGTGATGTGTGCGTTGAACCCAGAGAGATGAACCTTTCCTTTGATAGAGCAGTTTTGAAACGTGTTTTTGTAAGATCGGCAAGCGGATAATTGGCTTCGCTTTGTGTCCTTTGGTGGAAACGGGAATATCTTCTAATAAAAACTAGACAGAATATTCTCAGAATCTCCTTTGTGATGTGGGCATTCAACTAACACAGTTGAACATTTCTTTTCACAGAGCAGTTTTGAAACACTCTTTTGGTAGAATCTGCCAGTGGATACTTGGAGAGCTTGGAGGGCTATTGTGCCAATGGAAATATCTGCCCCTGAAAACTAGACAGAAGCATTCTCAGAAACTACTTCGTGATGTTTGCATTCAACACACAGAGTTGAACATACCTCTTCACAGAGCAGTTTTGAAAACCTCTTTCTGTAGAATCTGCAAGTGGATATTCGGACCACTTTGAGGCCTTCACAGGAAACAGTAATATCTTCACATAAAAACTAGACAGAAGCATTGTCAGAAAGTTCTTTGTGATGTGTGAATTCAACTCACAGTGTTGAACCTTCTTTTCATAGAGCAGTTTTGAAACACTCTTTTTCTAGAATCTGCAAGTAGATATTTGGAGCGCTTTGAGGCCTTCGTTGGAAACCGGAATATCTTCACATAAAAAGTAGATAGAGGCATTCTCAGAAACTTTTTTGTGATATGTAGATTCAACTCACAGCGTTGAACCTTTCTTTTGATAGAGCAGTTTTGGAAAACTCTTTTATCGAATCTGCAAGTAGACATTTGGAGTGCTTTGAGGGCTCTGGTGCAAAAGGAAATGTCTTCCCATAGAAACTAGACTGAAAGCATTCTCAGCAACTTCTTGGTGACGTTTGCATGCATCTCACAGTGTTGAACATACCTTTGCATAGAGCGGTTTTGAAACACTATTTTTGTAGAATCTGCAAGTGGATATTTGGACTGCTTTGAGGCCTTCATCGGAAACGGGAATATCTTCACATAAACACTAGACAGAAGCATTCTGAGAAACTTCTTTGTGATCTGTCCATTCAACTCACAGAGTTGAACCTTCCTTTTTATGGAGCAGTTTTGAATCACTGTTTTTGGAGAATCTGCAAGTGGATATTTGGAGCGCTTTGAGGCCTATGGTAGAAAAAGAAATATCTGCCTCTAAAAACCAGACAGAAGCATTCCGAGAAACTTCTTTGTGATGTTTGCATTCAACTAGCAGAGTTGAACCTTCCATTTGATAGGGCAGTTTGGAAACACTCTTTTTGTAGAATCTGCATGTGGATATCTGGAGCGGTTTGAGGCCTACGGTCAAAAAGGAAATATCTTCCTGGGAAAAATAGACGAAAGCATCCTCAGTAAACTGCTTTGTGATATGTGCATTCGACTCACTGAGTTGAAACTTTTTTTGGATAGAGCAGTTTTGAAACACTCTGTAGAATCTGAAAGTGGATATTTGGAGCTCTTTGAGGGCTATGGCGGAAAAGAAAATATATTCACATTAAACTAGACAGCAGCATTCTCAGAAACTTCTTTAGGATGTTTGCAGTAAACTCACAGAGTTGAACATACCTTTCCGTAGAGCAGTTTTGAAACACTCTGTTTGTGGGATCCGCAAGTGGATATTTGGACCGATTTGAGACCTTTGCTGCAAATGGGAATATCTTCACATATAAACTAGACAGAAGCATTCTCAGAAACTTCCTCGTGATGTGTGCATTCTACTCCCGAATTTGAATCTTCCTTTTCATGAAGCAGTTTTGAAACACTCTGTTTGTGCAATCCACAATTGGATAATTGGAACGCTTTGATGCCCATGGTAGAAAAGGAAATATCCTCATATGAAAACTAGACAGAATGATTCACAGAAAATGCTTTGTGATGTGTGCATTCAAATCACGGAGTTGAATCTTTCTTTTGTCAGAGCAGTTTTGAAACACTGTTTCTGTGGAATCTGCCAGTGGACACTTGGAGCGCTTTGAGGGCTGTGGTGGAGAAGGAAATATCTTCCCATAAAAACTAGAAAGAAGCATTCTCAGAAACATTTATGTGAAGCGTGCATTCAACTCACAGAGTTGAACCTTCCTTTGATACAACAGTTTTGAAACACTCTTTTGAACAATTGCAGGTGAATCTTTGGAGCGCTTTGAAGCCTTTGTTGGAAATGGGAATATCTTCACACGCAAACTAGCCAGAAGCATTCTCAGAAACTTCTTTGTGATGTGTGCGTTGAACCCAGAGAGATGAACCTTTCCTTTGATAGAGCAGTTTTGAAACGTGTTTTTGTAAGATCTGCAAGCGGATAGTTGGCTTCGCTTTGTGTCCTTTGGTGGAAACGGCAATATCTTCTAATAAAAACTAGAGAGAAATATTCTCAGAATCTACTTTGTGATGTGGGCATTCAACTTACACAGTTGAACATTTCTTTTCACAGAGCAGTTTTGAAACACTCTTTTGGTAGAATCTGCCAGTGGATATTTGGAGCGCTTGGAGGGCTATTGTGCCAATGGAAATATCTGCCCCTGAAAACTAGACAGAAGCATTCTCAGAAACTACTTTGTGATGTTTGCATTCAACTCACAGAGTTGAACATACCTCTTCATAGAGCAGTTTTGAAAACCCCTTTTTGTAGAATCTGCAAGTGGATATTCGGACCACTTTGAGGCCTTCATAGGAAACAGTAACATCTTCACATAAAAACTAGATAGAAGCATTGTCAGAAAGTTCTTTGTGATGTGTGAATTCAACTCACAGAGTTGAACCTTCCTTTAATAGAGCAGTTTTGAAACACTCTTTTTCTACAATCTGCAAGTAGATATTTGGAGCGCTTGGAGGCCTTCGTTGGAAACCGGAATATCTTCACAGGAAATGTAGATAGAGGCATTCTCAGAAACTTTTTTGTGATATGTAGATTCAACTTACAGCGTTGAACCTTTCTTTGGATGGAGCAGTTTTGAAAAACCCTTTTATCGAATCTGCAGGTAGACATTTGGGGTGCTTTGAGGGCTGTGGTGCAAAAGGAAATGTCTTCCCATAGAAACTAGACTGAAGCATTCTCAGCAACTTCTTTGTGACGTTTGCATTCATGTCACAGTGTTGAACATACCTTTCCATAGAGTAGTTTTGAAGCACTATTTTTGTAGAATCTGCAAGTGGATATTTGGACTGCTTTGAGGCCTTCATCGGAAACGGGAATATCTTCACATAAACACTAGACAGAAGCATTCTCAGAAACTTCTTTGTGGTCTGTCCATTCAACTCACAGAGTTGAACCTTCCTTTATATGGAGCAGTTTTGAAACCCTGTTTTTGGAGAATCTGCAAGTGGATATTTGGAGCACTTTGAGGCCTATGGTAGAAAAAGAAATATCTGCCTATCACAGCTAGACAGAAGCATTCCGAGAAACTTCTTTGTGATGTTTCCATTCAACTAGCAGAGTTGAACCTTCCTTTTGATAGGGCAGTTTGGAGACACTCTTTTTGTAGAATCTGCATGTGGATATCTGGAGCGGTTTGAGGCCTACGGTCAAAAAGGAAATATCTTCCTGGGAAAAATAGACGAAAGCATTCTCAGAAAGTGCTTTGTGATATGTGCATTCGACTCACCAAGTTGAAACTTTTTTTTGATAGAGAAGTTTTGAAACACTCTGTAGAATCTGAAAGTGGATATTTGGAGCTCCTTGAGGGCTATGGCGGAAAAGAAAATATATTCACATTAAAGTAGACAGCAGCATTCTCAGAAACTTCTTTAGGATGTTTGCAGTAAACTCTCAGAGTTGAACCTACCTTTCCGTAGAGCAGTTTTGAAACACTCTGTTTGTGGGATCCGCAAGTGGATATTTGGACCGCTTTGAGACCTTTGCTGGAAATGGGAATATCTTCACATATAAACTAGACAGAAGCATTCTCAGAAACTTCTTCGTGATGTGTGCATTCTACTCCCGAATTTGAATCTTCCTTTTCATGAAGCAGTTTTGAAACACTCTGTTAGCGCAATCCACAATTGGATAATTGGAACGCTTTGATGCCCATGGTAGAAAAGGAAATATCCTCATATAAAAACTAGACAGAAGGATTCACAGAAAATGCTTTGTGATGTGTGCATTCAAATCACGGAGTTGAATCTTTCTTTTGTTAGAGCAGTTTTGAAACACTGTTTCTGTGGAATCTGCCAGCGTACACTTGGAGCGCTTTGAGGGCTACGGTGGAGAAGGAAATATCTTCACATAAAAACTAGAAAGACGCATTCTCAGAAACATTTATGTGAAGCGTGCATTCAACTCACAGAGTTGAACCTTCCTTTTGATAGAACAGTTTTGAAACACTCTTTTGAACAATTGCAGGTGAATCTTTGGAGCGCTTTGAAGCCTTTGTTGGAAATGGGAATATCTTCACACACAAACTAGCCAGAAGCATTCTCAGAAACTTCCTTGTGATGTGTGCGTTGAACCCAGAGAGATGAACCATTCCTTTGATAGAGCAGTTTTGAAACGTGTTTTTGTAAGATCTGCAAGCGGATAGTTGGCTTCGCTTTGTGTCCTTTGGTGGAAACGGGAATATCTTCTAATAAAAACTAGACAGAAATATTCTCAGAATCTCCTTTGTGAAGTGGGCATTCAACTAACACAGTTGAACATTTCTTTTCACAGAGCAGTTTTGAAACACTCTTTTGGTAGAATCTGCCAGTGGATATTTGGAGCGCTTGGAGGGCTATTGTGCCAATGGAAATATCTGCCCCTGAAAACTAGACAGAAGCATTCTCAGAAACTACTTCGTGATGTCTGCATTCAACACACAGAGTTGAACATACCTCTTCAGAGAGCAGTTTTGAAAACCTCTTTCTGTAGAATCTGCAAGTGGATATTCGGGCCACTTTGAGGCCTTCATAGGAAACAGTAATATCTTCACATAAAAACTAAATAGAAGCATTGTCAGAAAGTTCTTTGTGATGCGTGAATTCAACTCACAGAGTTGAACCTTCCTTTAATAGAGCAGTTTTGAAACACTCTTTTTCTAGAATCTGCAAGTAGATATTTGGAGCGCTTTGAGGCCTTCGTTGGAAACCGGAATATCTTCACAGGAAAAGTAGATAGAGGCATTCTCAGAAACTTTTTTGTGATATGTAGATTCAACTCACAGCGTTGAACCTTTCTTTGGATGGAGCAGTTTTGAAAAACTCTTTTATCGAATCTGCAGGTAGACTTTCGGGGTGCTTTGAGAGCTGTGGTGCAAAAGGAAATGTCTTCCCATAGAAACTAGACTGAATCATTCTCAGCAACTTCTTGGTGACGTTTGCATTCATCTCACAGTGTTGAACATACCTTTGCATAGAGTAGTTTGGAAACACTATTTTTGTAGAATCTGCAAGTGGACATTTGGACTGCTTTGAGGCCTTCATCGGAAACGGGAATATCTTCACATAAACACTAGACAGAATCATTCTCAGAAACTTCTTTGTCATCTGTCCATTCAACTCACAGAGTTGAACCTTCCTTTTTCTGGAGCAGTTTTGAAACACTCCTTTTGGAGAATCTGCAAGTGGATATTTGGAGCGCTTTGAGGCCTATGGTAGAAAAAGAAATATCTGCCTCTAAAAACCAGACAGAAACATTCCAAGAAACTTCTCTGTGATGTTTGCATTCAACTAGCAGAGTTGAACCTTCCTTTTGATAGGGCAGTTTGGAAATACTCTTTTTGTAGAATCTGCATTTGGATATCTGGAGCGGTTTGAGGCCTACGGTCAAAAAGGAAATATCTTCCTGGGAAAAATAGACGAAAGCATTCTCAGAAACTGCTTTGTGATATGTGCATTCGAATCACCGAGTTGAAACTTTTTTTTCATAGAGCAGTTTTGAAACACTCTGTAGATTCTGAAAGTGGCTATTTGGAGGTCTTTGAGGGCTATGGCGGAAAAGAAAATATATTCACATTAAACTAGACAGCAGCATTCTCAGAAACCTCTTTAGGATGTTTGCAGTAAACTCACAGAGTTGAACATACCTTTCCGTAGAGCAGTTTTGAAACACTCTGTTTGTGGGATCCGCAAGGGGATATTTGGACCGCTTTGAGACCTTTGCTGGAAATGGGAATATCTTCACATATAAACTAGACAGAAGCATTCTCAGAAACTTCTTTCGTGATGTGTGCATTCTACTCCCAAATTTGAATCTTCCTTTTCATGAAGCAGTTTTGAAACACTCGGTTTGTGCAATCCACAATTGGATAATTGGAACGCTTTGATGCCCATGGTAGAAAAGGAAATATCCTCATATAAAAACTAGACAGAAGGATTCACAGAAAATGCTTTGTGATGTGTGCATTCAAATCACGGAGTTGAATCTTTCTTTTGTCAGAGCAGTTTTGAAACACTGTTTCTGTGGAATCTGCCAGCGGACACTTGGAGCGCTTTGAGGACTATGGTGGAGAAGGAAATATCTTCCCATAAAAACTAGAAAGAAGCATTCTCAGAACCATTTATGTGAAGCATGCATTCAACTCACAGAGTTGAACCTTCCTTTTGATAGAACAGTTTTGAAACACTCTTTTGAACAATTGCAGGTGAATATTTGGAGGGCTTTGAAGCCTTTGTTGGAAACGGGAATATCTTCACACACGAACTAGCCAGAAGCTTTCTCAGAAACTTCTTTGTGATGTGTGCGTTGAACCCAGAGAGATGAACCTTTCCTTTGATAGAGCAGTTTTGAAACGTGTTTTTGTAAGATCTGCAAGCGGATAGTTGGCTTCGCTTTGTGTCCTTTGGTGGAAACGGGAATATCTTCTAATAAAAACTAGACAGAAATATTCTCAGAATCTTCTTTGTGATGTGGGCATTCAACTAACAGAGTTGAACGTTTCTTTTCACAGAGCAGTTTTGAAACTCTCTTTTGGTAGAATCTGCCAGTGGATATTTGGAGCGCTTTGAGGGCTATTGTGCCAACGGAAATATCTGCCCCTAAAAACTAGACAGAAGCATTCTCAGAAACTACTTCGTGATGTTTGCATTCAACACACAGAGTTGAACATACCCCTTCCCAGAGCAGTTTTGAAAACCTCTTTCTGTAGAATCTGCAAGTGGATATTCGGACCACTTTGAGGCCTTCATAGGAAACAGTAATATCTTCACATAAAAACTAAAAAGAAGCATTGTCAGAAAGTTCTTTGTGATGTGTGAATTCAACTCACAGAGTTGAACCTTCCTTTAATAGAGCAGTTTTGAAACACTCTTTTTCTAGAATCTGCAAGTAGATATTTGGAGCGCTTTGAGGCCTTCGTTGGAAACTGGAATATCTTCACAGGAAAAGTAGATAGAGGCATTCTCAGAAACTTTTTTGTGATATGTAGATTCAACTCACAGCGTTGAACCTTTCTTTGGATGGAGCAGTTTTGAAAAACTCCTTTATCGAATCTGCAGGTAGACATTTGGGGTGCTTTGAGGGCTGTGGTGCAAAAGGAAATGTCTTCCCATAGAAACTAGACTGAAGCATTCTCAGCAACTTCTTGGTGACGTTTGCATTCATCTCACAGTGTTGAACATACGTTTCCATAGAGTGGTTTTGAAACACTGTTTTTGTAGAATCGGCAAGTGGATATTTGGACTGCTTTCAGGCCTTCATCGGAAACGGGAATATCTTCACATAAACACTAGAGAGAAGCATTCTCAGAAACTTCTTTGTCATCTGTCCATTCAACTCACAGAGTTGAACCTTCCTTTTTATGGAGCAGTTTTGAAACACTCCTTTTGGAGAATCTGCAAGTGGATATTTGGAGCGCTTTGAGGCCTATGGTAGAAAAAGAAATATCTGCCTCTAAAAACCAGACAAAAGCATTCTGAGAAACTTCTTTGTGATGTTTGCATTCAAATACCAGCAGTTGAACCTTCCTTTTGATAGGGCAGTTTGGAAACATTCTTTTTGTAGAATCTGCATGTGGATATCTGGAGCGATTTGAGGCCTACGGTCAAAAAGGAAATATCTTCCTGGGAAAAATAGACGAAAGCATTCTCAGAAAGTGCTTTGTGATATGTGCATTCGGCTCACCGATTTGAAACCTTTTTTTGATAGAGCAGTTTTAAAACACACTGTAGAATCTGAAAGTGGATATTTGGAGCTCTTTGAGGGCTATGGCGGAAAAGAAAATATATTCACATTAAAGTAGACAGCCAGCATTCTCAGAAACTTCTTTAGGATGTTTGCAGTAAACTCACAGAGTTGAACATACCTTTCCGTAGAGCAGTTTTGAAACACTCTGTTTGTGGGATCCGCAAGTGGATATTTGGACCGCTTTGAGACCTTTGCTGGAAATGGGAATATCTTCACGTATAAACTAGACAGAGCATTCTCAGAAACTTCTTGGTGATGTGTGCATTGTACTCCCAAATTTGAATCTTCCTTCTCATGGAACAGTTTTGAAACACTCTGTTTGTGCAATATACAATTGGAGAATTGGAACGCTTGGATGCCCGTGGTAGAAAAGGAAATATCCTCATATAAAAACTAGACAGAAGGATTCACAGAAAATGCTTTGTGATGTGTGCATTCAAATCACGGAGTTGAATCTTTCTTTTGTCAGAGCAGTTTTGAAACACTGTTTCTGTGGAATCTGCCAGCGGACACTTGGAGCGCTTTGAGGGCTATGGTGGAGAAGGAAATATCTTCCCATAAAAACTAGAAAGAAGCATTCTCGGAAACATTTATGTGAAGCGTGCATTCAACTCACAGAGTTGAACCTTCCTTTTGATAGAACAGTTTTGAAACACTCTTTTGAACAATTACAGGTGAATCTTTGGAGCGCTTTGAAGCCTTTGTTGGAAATGGGAATATCTTCACACACAAACTAGCCAGAAGCATTCTCAGAAACTTCTTCGTGATGTGTGCGTTGAACCCAGAGAGATGAACCTTTCCTTCGATAGAGCAGTTTTGAAACGTGCTTTTGTAAGATCTGCAAGCGCATAATTGGCTTCACTTTGTGTCCTTTGGTTGAAACGGGAATATCTTCTAATAAAAACTAGACAGAAATATTCTCAGAATCTCCTTTGTGATGTGGGCATTCAACTAACACAGTTGAACATTTCTTTTCACAGAGCAGTTTTGAAACACTCTTTTGGTAGAATCTGCCAGTGGATACTTGGAGCGCTTGGAGGGCTATTGTGCCAATGGAAATATCTGCCCCTGAAAACTAGACAGAAGCATTCTCAGAAACTGCTTTGTGATGTTTGCATTCAACTCACAGAGTTGAACATACCTTTTCATAGAGCAGTTTTGAAAATATCTTTTTGTAGAATCTGCAAGTGGATATTCGGACCAGTTTGAGGCCTTCATAGGAAACAGTAATATCTTCACATAAAAACTAGATAGAAGCATTGTCAGAAAGTTCTTTGTGATGTGTGAATTCAACCCACAGAGTTGAACCTTCCTTTAATAGAGCAGTTTTGAAACACTCTTTTTCTAGAGTCTGCAAGTAGATATTTGGAGCGCTTTGAGGCCTTCTTTGGAAACCGGAATATCTTCACATAAAAAGTAGATAGAGGCATTCTCAGAAACTTTTTTGTGATATGTTGATTCATCTGACAGCGTTGAACCCTTCTTTTGATAGAGCAGTTTTGAAAAACTCTTTTGTCGAATCTGCAAGTAGACATTTGGAGTGCTTTGAGGGCTGTGGTGCCAAAGGAAATGTCTTCCCATGGAAACTAGACTGAAGCATTCTCAGCAACTTCTTTGTGACGTTTGCATTCATCTCACAGTGTTGAACATACCTTTCCATAGAGTAGTTTTGAGACACTATTTTTGTAGAATCTGCAAGTGGATATTTGGACTGCTTTGAGGCCTTCATCGGAGACGGGAATATCTTCACATAAACACTAGACAGAAGCATTCTCAGAAACTTCTTTGTCATCTGTCCATTCAACTCACAGAGTTGAACCTTCCTTTTTATGGAGCCGTTTTGAAACACTCCTTTTGGAGAATCTGCAAGTGGATATTTGGAGCGCTTTGAGGCCTATGGTAGAAAAAGAAATATCCGCCCCTAAAAACCAGACAGAAGCATTCTGAGAAACTTCTTTGTGATGTTTGCATTCAACTACCAGAGTTGAACCTTCCTTTTGATAGGGCAGTTTGGAAACACTCTTTTTGTAGAATCTGCATGTGGATATCTGGAGCGATTTGAGGCCTACAGTCAAAAAGGAAATATCTTCCTGGGAAAAATAGACGAAAGCATTCTCAGAAACTGCTTTCTGATATGTGCATTCGACTCACCGAGTTGAAACTTTTTTTTGATAGAGAAGTTTTGAAACACTCTGTAGAATCTGAAAGTGGATATTTGGAGCTCTTTGAGGGCTATGGCGGAAAAGAAAATATATTCACATTAAACTAGACAGCAGAATTCCCAGAAAATTCTTTAGGATGTTTGCAGTAAACTCACAGAGTTGAACATACCTTTCCGTAGAGCAGTTTTGAAACACTCTGTTTGTGGGATCCGCAATTGGATTTTGGACCGCTTTGAGACCTTTGCTGGAAACGGGAATATCTTCACATATAAACTAGACAGAAGCATTCTCAGAAACTTCTTCATGATGTGTGCATTCTACTCCCGAATTTGAATCTTCCTTTTCATGAAGCAGTTTTGAAACACTCTGTTTGTGCAATCCACAATTGGATAATTGGAACGCTTTGATGCCCATGGTAGAAAAGGAAATATCCTCATATAAAAACTAGACAGAAGGATTCACAGAAAATGCTTTGTGATGTGTGCATTCAAATCACGCAGTTGAATCTTTCTTTTGTTAGAGCAGTTTTGAAACACTGTTTCTGTGGAATCTGCCAGCGGACACTTGTAGCGCTTTGAGGGCTATGGTGGAGAAGGAAATATCTTCACATAAAAACTAGAAAGAAGCATTCTCAGAACCATTTATGTGAAGCGTGCGTTCAACTCACAGAGTTGAACCTTCCTTTTGATAGTACAGTTTTGAAACACTCTTTTGAACAATTGCAGGTGAATATTTGGAGGGCTTTGAAGCCTTTGTTGGAAATGGGAATATCTTCACACACAAACTAGCCAGAAGCATTCTCAGAAACTTCTTTGTGATGTGTGCGTTGAACCCAGAGAGATGAACCTTTCCTTTGATAGAGCAGTTTTGAAACGTGCTTTTGTAAGATCGGCAAGCGGATAATTGGCTTCGCTTTGTGTCCTTTGGTGGAAACGGGAATATCTTCTAATAAAAACTAGACAGAAATATTCTCAGAATCTTCTTTGTGATGTGGGCATTCAACTAACACAGTTGAACGTTTCTTTTCACAGAGCAGTTTTGAAACACTCTTTTGGTAGAATCTGCCAGTGGATATTTGGAGCGCTTTGAGGGCTATTGTGCCAATGGAAATATCTTCCCATAGAAACTAGACAGAAGCATTCTCAGAAACTACTTCGTGATGTTTGCCTTCAACTCACAGAGTTGAACATACCTCTTCATAGAGCAGTTTTGAAAACCTCTTTCTGTAGAATCTGCAAGTGGATATTCGGACCACTTTGAGGCCTTCATAGGAAACAGTAATATCTTCACATAAAAACTAGATAGAAGCATTGTCAGAAAGTTCTTTGTGATGTGTGAATTCAACTCACAGAGTTGAACCTTCCTTTAATAGAGCAGTTTTGAAACACTCTTTTTCTAGAATCTGCAAGTAGATATTTGGAGCGCTTTGAGGCCTTCGTTGGAATCCGGAATATCTTCACATAAAACGTAGATAGAGGCATTCTCAGAAACTTTTTTGTGATATGTAGATTCAACTCACAGCGTTGAACCTTTCTTTTGATACAGCGGTTTTCAAAAACTCTTATGTCGAATCTGCAAGTAGACATTTGGAGTGCTTTGAGGGCTGTGGTGCAAAAGGAAATGTCTTCCCATAGAAACTAGACTGAATCATTCTCAACAACTTCCTTGTGACGTTTGCATTCATCTCACAGTGTTGAACATACCTTTTCATAGAGCAGTTTTGAAACACTCTTTTTGTAGAATCTGCAATTGGATATTTGGACTGCGTTGAGGCCTTCACTGGAAACGGGAATATCTACACATAAACACTAGACAGAAGCATTCTGAGAAACTTCTTTGTGATCTGTCCATTCAACTCACAGAGTTGAACCTTCCTTTTTATGGAGCCGTTTTGAAACACTGTTTTTGTAGAATCTGCAAGTGGATATTTGGAGCGCTTTGAAGCCTATGGTAGAGAAAGAAATATCTGCATATCAAAACTAGACAGAAGCATTCCGAGAAACTTCTCTGTGATGTTTGCATTCAACTAGCAGAGTTGAACCTTCCTTTTGATAGGGCAGTTTGGAAACACTCTTTTTGTAGAATCTGCATGTGGATATCTGGAGCGGTTTGAGGCCTACGGTCAAAAAGGAAATATCTTCCTGGGAAAAATAGACGAAAAGCATTCTCAGAAACTGCTTTGTGATATGTGCATTCGACTCACCGAGTTGAAACTTTTTTTTGATACAGCAGTTTTGAAACACTCTGTAGAATCTGAAAGTGGATATTTGGAGCTCTTTGAGGGCTATGGCGGAAAAGAAAATATATTCACATTAAAGTAGACAGCAGCATTCTCAGAAACTTCTTTAGGATGTTTGCAGTAAACTCACAGAGTTGAACCTACCTTTCCGTAGAGCAGTTTTGAAACACTCTGTTTGTGGGATCCGCAAGTGGATATTTGGACCGCTTTGAGACATTTGCTGGAAATGGGAATATCTTCACATATAAACTAGACAGAAGCATTCTCAGAAACTTCTTCGTGATGTGTGCATTGTACTCCCAAATTTGAATCTTCCTTCTCATGGAGCAGTTTTGAAACACTCTGTTTGTGCAATCTACCATTGGAGAATAGGAACGCTTGGATGCCCGTGGTAGAAAAGGAAATATCCTCATATAAAAACTAGACAGAAGGATTCACAGAAAATGCTTTGTGATGTGTGCATTCAAATCATGGAGTTGAATCTTTCTTTTGTTAGAGCAGTTTTGAAACACTGTTTCTGTGGAATCTGCCAGCGGACACTTGGAGCGCTTTGAGGGCTATGGTGGAGAAGGAAATATCTTCACATAAAAACTAGAAAGAAGCATTCTCGGAAACATTTATGTGAAGCGTGCCTTCAACTCACAGAGTTGAACCTTCCTTTTGATAGAACAGTTTTGAAACACTCTTTTGAACAATTGCAGGTGAATCTTTGGAGCGCTTTGAAGCCTTTGTTGGAAATGGGAATATCTTCACACACAAACTAGCCAGAAGCATTCTCAGAAACTTCTTTGTGATGTGTGCGTTGAACCCAGAGAGATGAACCTTTCCTTTGATAGAGCAGTTTTGAAACGTGTTTTTGTAAGATCTGCAAGCGGATAATTGGCTTTGCTTTGTGTCCTTTGGTGGAAACGGGAATATCTTCTAATAAAAACTAGACAGAAATATTCTCAGAATCTTCTTTGTGATGTGGGCATTCAACTAACACAGTTGAACGCTTCTTTTCACAGAGCAGTTTTGAAACACTCTTTTGGTAGAATCTGCCAGTGGATATTTGGAGCGCTTTGAGGGCTATTGTGCCAATGGAAATATCTGCCCTTAAAACTAGACAGAAGCATTCTCAGAAACTACTTCATGATGTTTGCATTCAACACACAGAGTTGAACATACCTCTTCACAGAGCAGTTTTGAAAACCTCTTTCTGTAGAATCTGCAAGTGGATATTCGGACCACTTTGAGGCCTTCATAGGAAACAGTAATATCTTCACATAAAAACTAGATAGAAGCATTGTCAGAAAGTTCTTTGTGATGTGTGAATTCAACTCACAGAGTTGAACCTTCCTTTAATAGAGCAGTTTTGAAACACTCTTCTTCTAGAATCTGCAAGTAGATATTTGGAGCGCTTTGAGGCCTTCGTTGGAAACCGGAATATCTTCACAGAAAAAGTAGATAGAGGCATTCTCAGAAACTTTTTTGTGATATGTTGATTCATCTGACAGCGTTGTACCTTTCTTTTGATAGAGCAGTTTTGAAAAACTCTTTTGTCGAATCTGCAAGTAGACATTTGGAGTGCTTTGAGGGCTGTGGTGCAAAAGGAAATGTCTTCCCATGGAAACTAGACTGAAGCATTCTCAGCAACTTCTTGGTGACGTTTGCATGCATCTCACAGTGTTGAACATACCTTTCCATAGAGTGGTTTTGAAACACTGTTTTTGTAGAATCGGCAAGTGGATATTTGGACTGCTTTGAGGCCTTCATCGGAAACGGGAATATCTTCACATAAACACTAGAGAGAAGCATTCTCAGAAACTTCTTTGTCATCTGTCCATTCAACTCACAGAGGTGAACCTTCCTTTTTATGGAGCAGTTTTGAAACACTGTTTTTGGAGAATCTGCAAGTGGATATTTGGAGCGCTTTGAGGCGTATGGTAGAAAAAGAAATATCTGCCTCTAAAAACCAGACAGAAGCATTCCGAGAAACTTCTTTGTGATGTTTGCATTCAACTAGCAGAGTTGAACCTTCCTTTTGATAGGGCAGTTTGGAAACACTCTTTTTGTAGAATCTGCATGTGGATATCTGGAGCGGTTTGAGGCCTACGGTTAAAAAGGAAATATCTTCCTGGGAAAAATAGACGAAAGCATTCTCAGAAACTTCTTTGTGATATGTGCATTCGACTCTCCGAGTTGAAACTTTTTTTGGATAGAGCAGTTTTGAAACACTCTGTAGAATCTGAAAGTGGATATTTGGAGCTCTTTGAGGGCTATGGCGGAAAAGAAAAGATATTCACATTAAACTAGACAGCAGCATTCTCAGAAACTTCTTTAGGATGTTTGCAGTAAACTCACAGAGTTGAACCTACCTTTCCGTAGAGCAGTTTTGAAACACTCTGTTTGTGGGATCCGCAAGTGGATATTTGGACCGCTTTGAGACCTTTGCTGGAAATGGGAATATCTGCACATATAAACTAGACAGAAGCATTCTCAGAAACTTCTTGGTGATGTGTGCAGTCTCCTCCCGAATTTGAATCTTCCTTTTCATGAAGCAGTTTTCAAACACTCTGTTTGTGCAATCCACAATTGGATAATTGGAACACTTTGATGCCCATGGTAGAAAAGGAAATATCCTCATATAAAAACTAGACAGAAGGATTCACAGAAAATGCTTTGTGATGTGTGCATTCAAATCACGGAGTTGAATCTTTCTTTTGTCAGAGCAGTTTTGAAACACTGTTTCTGTGGAATCTGACTGCGGACACTTGGAGCGCTTTGAGGGCTATGGTGGAGAAGGAAATATCTTCCCATAAAAACTAGAAAGAAGCATTCTCGGAAACATTTATGTGAAGCGTGCCTTCAACTCACAGAGTTGAACCTTCCTTTTGATAGAACAGTTTTGAAACACTCTTTTGAACAATTGCAGGGGAATCTTTGGAGCGCTTTGAAGCCTTTGTTGGAAATGGGAATATCTTCACACACAAACTAGCCAGAAGCATTCTCAGAAACTTCTTTGTGATGTGTGCGTTGAACCCACAGAGATGAACCTTTCCTTTGATGCAGCACTTTTGAAACGTGTTTTTGTAAGATCGGCAAGCGGATAACTGGCTTCGCTTTGTGTCCTTTGGTGGAAACGGGAATATCTTCTAATAAAAACTAGACAGAAATATTCTCAGAATCTCCTTTGTGATGTGGGCATTCAACTAACACAGTTGAACATTTCTTTTCAGAGAGCAGTTTTGAAACACTCTTTTGGTAGAATCTGCCAGTGGATATTTGGAGCGCTTTGAGGGCTGTTGTGCCAATGGAAATATCTGCCCCTAAAATCTAGACAGAAGCATTCTCAGAAACTGCTTTGTGATGTTTGCATTCAACTCACAGAGTTGAACATACCTTTACATAGAGCAGTTTTGAAAACCTCTTTTTGTAGAATCTGCAAGAGGATATTCGGACCACTTTGAGGCCTTCATAGGAAACAGTAATATCTTCACATAAAAACTAGATAGAAGCATTGTCAGAAAGTTCTTTGTGATGTGTGAATTCAACTCACAGAGTTGAACCTTCCTTTAATAGAGCAGTTTTGAAATACTCTTTTTCTAGAATCTGCAACTAGATATGTGGAGCGCTTTGAGGCCTTCTTTGGAAACCGGAATATCTTCACATAAAAAGTAGATAGAGGCATTCTCAGAAACTTTTTTGTGATATGTAGATTCAACTCACAGCGTTGAACCTTTCTTTGGATGGAGTAGTTTTGAAAAACTCTTTTATCGAATCTGCAGGTAGACATTTGGGGTGCTTTGAGGGCTGTGGTGCAAAAGGAAATGTCTTCCCATAGAAACTAGACTGAAAGCATTCTCAGCAACTTCTTTGTGACGTTTGCATTCATCTCACAGTGTTGAACATACCTTTCCATCGAGTACTTTTGAAACACTGTTTTTGTAGAATCTGCAAGTGGATATGTGGACTGCTTTGAGGCCTTCATCGGAAACGGGAATATCTTCACATAAACACTAGAGAGAAGCATTCTCAGAAACTACTTTGTGATCTGTCCATTCAACTCACAGAGTTGAACCTTCCTTTTTATGGAGCAGTTTTGGATCACTGTTTTTGGAGAATCTGCAAGTGGATATTTGGAGCGCTTTGAGGCCTATGGTAGAAAAAGAAATATCTGCCTCTAAAAACCAGACAGAAGCATTCCGAGAAACTTCTTTGTGATGTTTGCATTCAACTAGCAGAGTTGAACCTTCCTTTTGATAGGGCAGTTTTGAAACACTCTTTTTGTAGAATCTGCATGTGGATATCTGGAGCGGTTTGAGGCCTACGGTCAAAAAGGAAATATCTTCCTGGGAAAAATAGACGAAAGCATTCTCAGAAACTGCTTTGTGATATGTGCATTCGACTCACCGAGTTGAAACTTTTTTTTGATAGAGCAGTTTTGAAACACTCTGTAGAATCTGAAAGTGGATAGTTGGAGCTCTTTGAGGGCTATGGCGGAAAAGAAAATATATTCACATTAAAGTAGACAGCAGCATTCTCAGAAACTTCTTTAGGATGTTTGTAGTAAACTCACAGAGTTGAACATACCTTTCCGTAGAGCAGTTTTGAAACACTCTGTTTGTGGTATCCGCAAGTGGATATTTGGACCGCTTTGAGACCTTTGCTGGAAATGGGAATATCTTCACATATAAACTAGACAGAAGCATTCTCAGAAACTTCTTCGTGATGTGTGCATTCTACTCCCGAATGTGAATCTTCCTTTTCATGAAGCAGTTTTGAAACACTCTGTTTGTGCAATCCACAATTGGATAATTGGAACGCTTTGATGCCCATGGTAGAAAAGGAAATATCTTCATATAAAAACTAGACAGAAGGATTCACAGAAAATGCTTTGTGATGTGTGCATTCAAATCATGGAGTTGAATCTTTCTTTTGTTAGAGCAGTTTTGAAACACTGTTTCTGTGGAATCTGCCAGTGGACACTTGGAGCGCTTTGAGGGCTATGGTGGAGAAGGAAATATCTTCCCATAAAAACTAGAAAGAAGCATTCTCAGAAACATTTATGTGAAGCGTGCATTCAACTCACAGAGTTGAACCTTCCTTTTGATACAACAGTTTTGAAACACTCTTTTGAACAATTGCAGGTGAATCTTTGGAGCGCTTTGAAGCCTTTGTTGCAAATGGGAATATCTTCACACACAAACTAGCCAGAAGCATTCTCAGAAACTTCTTTGTGATGTGTGCGTTGAACCCAGAGAGATGAACCTTTCCTTGGATAGAGCAGTTTTGAAACGTGTTTTTGTAAGATCTGCAAGCGGATAATTGGCTTCGCTTTGTGTCCTTTGGTGGAAACGGGAATATCTTCTAATAAAAACTAGACAGAAATATTCTCAGAATCTCCTTTGTGATATGGGCATTCAACTAACACAGTTGAACATTTCTTTTCACAGAGCAGTTTTGAAACACTCTTTTGGTAGAATCTGCCAGTGGATATTTGGAGCGCTTGGAGGGCTATTGTGCCAATGGAAATATCTGCCCCTGAAAACTAGACAGAAGCATTCTCAGAAACTGCTTTGGGATGTTTGCATTCAACTCACAGCAGTTGAACATACCTCTGCATAGAGCAGTTTTGAAAACCTCTTTTTGTAGAATCTGCAAGTGGATATTCGGACCACTTTGAGGCCTTCATAGGAAACAGTAATATCATCACATAAAAACTAGATAGAAACATTGTCAGAAAGTTCTTTGTGATGTGTGAATTCAACTCACAGAGTTGAACCTTCCTTTAATAGAGCAGTTTTGAAACACTCTTTTTCTAGAATCTGCCAGTAGATATTTGGAGCGCTTTGAGGCCTTCGTTGGAAACCGGAATATCTCCACATAAAAAGTAGATAGAGGCATTCTCAGAAACTTTTTTGTGATATGTAGATTCAACTTACAGCGTTGAACCTTTCTTTGGATGGAGCAGTTTTGAAAAACCCTTTTATCGAATCTGCAGGTAGACAATTGGGGTGCTTTGAGGGCTGTGGTGCAAAAGGAAATGTCTTCCCATAGAAACTAGACTGAAGCATTGTCAGCAACTTCTTGGTGACGTTTGCATTCATCTCACAGCGTTGAACATACCTTTCCATAGAGTGGTTTTGAAACACTGTTTTTGTAGAATCGGCAAGTGGATATTTGGACTGCTTTCAGGCCTTCATCAGAAACGGGAATATCTTCACATAAACACTAGAGAGAAGCATTCTCAGAAACTTCTTTGTGATCTGTCCATTCAACTCACAGAGTTGTACCTTCCTTTTTCTGGAGCAGTTTTGAAACACTCCTTTTGGAGAATCTGCAAGTGGATATTTGGAGCGCTTTGAGGCCTATGGTAGAAAAAGAAATATCTGCCTCTAAAAACCAGACAGAAGCATTCCGAGAAACTTCTTTGTGATGTTTGCATTCAACTAGCAGAGTGGAACCTTCCTTTTGATAGGGCAGTTTGGAAACACTCTTTTTGTAGAATCTGCATGTGGATATCTGGAGCGGTTTGAGGCCTACGGTCAAAAAGGAAATATCTTCCTGGGAAAAATAGACGAAAGCATTCTCAGAAAGTGCTTTGTGATATGTGCATTCGACTCACCGAGTTGAAACTTTTTTTTGATAGAGCAGTTTTGAAACACTCTGCAGAATCTGAAAGTGGATATTTGGAGCTCTTTGAGGGCTATGGCGGAAAAGAAAATATATTCACATTAAAGTAGACAGCAGCATTCTCAGAAACTTCTTTAGGATGTTTGCAGTAAACTCACAGAGTTGAACATACCTTTCCGTAGAGCAGTTTTGAAACACTCTGTTTGTGGGATCCGCAAGGGGATATTTGGACCGCTTTGAGACCTTTGCTGGAAATGGGAATATCTTCACGTATAAACTAGACAGAAGCATTCTCAGAAACTTCCTCGTGATGTGTGCATTCTTCTCCCGAATTTGAATCTTCCTTTTCATGAAGCAGTTTTGAAACACTCTGTTTGTGCAATCCACAATTGGATAATTGGAACGCTTTGATGCCCATGGTAGAAAACGAAATATCCTCATATAAAAATTAGACAGAAGGATTCAGAGAAAATGCTTTGTGATGTGTGCATTCAAATCACGGAGGTGAATCTTTGTTTTCTTAGAGCAGTTTTGAAACACTGTTTCTGTGGAATCTGCCAGCGGACACTTGGAGCGCTTTGAGGGCTATGGTGGAGAAGGAAATATCTTCACATAAAAACTAGAAAGAAGCATTCTCAGAAACATTTATGTGAAGCGTGCATTCAACTCACAGAGTTGAACCTTCCTTTTGATACAACAGTTTTGAAACACTCTTTTGAACAATTGCAGGTGAATCTTTGGAGCGCTTTGAAGCCTTTGTTGGAAATGGGAATATCTTCACACACAAACCAGCCAGAAACATTCTCAGAAACTTCTTTGTGATGTGTGCGTTGAACCCAGAGAGATGAACCTTTCCTTTGATAGAGCAGTTTTGAAACGTGTTTTTGTAAGATCGGCAAGCGGATAATTGGCTTCGCTTTGTGTCCTTTGGTGGAAACGCGAATATCTTCTAATAAAAACTAGACAGAAATATTCTCAGAATCTTCTTTGTGATGTGGGCATTCAACAAACACAGTTGAACATTTCTTTTCACAGAGCAGTTTTGAAACACTCTTTTGGTAGAATCTGCCAGTGGATATTTGGAGCGCTTTGAGGGCTATTGTGCCAATGGAAATATCTGCCCCTAAAAACTAGACAGAAGCATTCTCAGAATCTACTTCGTGATGTTTGCATTCAACACAGAGAGTTGAACATACCTCTTCACAGAGCAGTTTTGAAAACCTCTTTCTGTAGAATCTGCAAGTGGATATTCGGACCACTTTGAGGCCTTCATAGGAAACAGTAATATCTTCACATAAAAACTAGATAGAAGCATTGTCAGAAAGTTCTTTGTGATGTGTGAATTCAACTCACAGAGTTGAACCTTCCTTTAATAGAGCAGTTTTGAAACACTCTTTTTCTAGAATCTGCAAGTAGATATTTGGAGCGCTTTGAGGCCTTCGTTGGAAACCGGAACATCTTCACATAAAAAGTAGATAGAGGCATTCTCAGAAAATTTTGTGATATGTAGATTCATCTGACAGCGTTGAACCTTTCTTTTGATAGAGCAGTTTTCAAAAACTCTTTTGTCGAATCTGCAAGTAGACATTTGGAGTGCTTTGAGGGCTGTGGTGCCAAAGGAAATGTCTTCCCATAGAAACTAGAATGAAGCATTCTCAGCAACTTCTTTGTGACGTTTGCATTCATCTCACAGTGTTGAACATACCTTTCCATAGAGTAGTTTTGAAGCACTATTTTTGTAGAATCTGCCAGTGGATATTTGGACTGCTTTGAGGCCTTCATCGGAAACGGGAATATCTTCACATAAACACTAGACAGAAGCATTCTCAGAAACTTCTTGGTGATCTGTCCATTCAACTCACAGAGTTGAACCTTCCTTTTTATGGAGCAGTTTTGAAACATTGTTTTTGGAGGATCTGCAAGTGGATATTTAGAGCGCTTTGAGGCCTATGGTAGAAAACGAAATATCTGCCTATAACAACTAGACAGAAGCATTCTGAGAAACTTCTTTGTGATGTTTGCATTCAACTACCAGAGTTGAACCTTCCTTTTGATAGGGCAGTTTGGAAACACTCTTTTTGTAGAATCTGCATGTGGATATCTGGAGCGATTTGAGGCCTACGGTCCAAAAGGAAATATCTTCCTGGGAAAAATAGACGAAAGCATTCTCAGAAAGTGCTTTGTGATATGTGCATTCGACTCACCGAGTTGAAACTTTTTTTTGATAGAGCAGTTTTGAAACACTCTGTAGAATCTGAAAGTGGATATTTGGAGCTCTTTGAGGGCTATGGCGGCAAAGAAACTATATTCACATTAAAGTAGACAGCAGCATTCCCAGAAACTTCTTTAGGATGTTTGCAGTAAACTCACAGGAGTTGAACACACCTTTCCGTAGAGCAGCTTTGAAACACTCTGTGTGTGGGATCCGCAAGTGGATATTTGGACCGCTTTGAGACCTTTGCTGGAAACGGGAATATCTTCACATATAAACTGGACAGAAGCATTCTCAGAAACTTCTTCGTGATGTGTGCATTCTACTCCCAAATTTGAATTTTCCTTTTCATGAAGCAGTTTTGGAACACTCTATTTGTGCAATCTACAATTGGATAATTGGAACGCTTTGATGCCCATGGTAGAAAAGGAAATATCCTCATATAAAAACTAGACAGAAGGATTCACAGAAAATGCTTTGTGATGTGTGCATTCAAATCATGCAGTTGAATCTTTCTTTTGTTAGAGCAGTTTTGAAACACTGTTTCTGTGGAATCTGCCAGCGGACACTTGGAGCGCTTTGAGGGCTATGGTGGAGAAGGAAATATCTTCACATAAAAACTAGAAAGAAGCATTCTGAGAACCATTTATGTGAAGCGTGCGTTCCACTCACAGAGTTGAACCTTCCTTTTGATAGAACAGTTTTGAAACACTCTTTTGAACAATTGCAGGTGAATATTTGGAGGGCTTTTAAGCCTTTGTTGGAAATGGGAATATCTTCACACACAAACTAGCCAGAAGCATTCTCAGAAACTTCTTTGTGATGTGTGCGTTAAACCCAGAGAGATGAACCTTTCCTTTGATAGAGCAGTTTTGAAACGTGTTTTTGTAATATCGGCAAGCGGATAATTGGCTTCGCTTTGTGTCCTTTGGTGGAAACGGGAATATCTTCTAATAAAAACTAGACAGAAATATTCTCAGAATCTTCTTTGTGATGTGGGCATTCAACAAACACAGTTGAACATTTCTTTTCACAGAGCAGTTTTGAAACACTCTTTTGGTAGAATCTGCCAGTGGATATTTGGAGCGCTTTGAAGGCTATTGTGCCAATGGAAATATCTTCCCCTAAAAACTAGACAGAAGCATTCTCAGAAACTACTTCATGATGTTTGCATTCAACACACACAGTTGAACATACCTCTTCACAGAGCAGTTTTGAAAACCTCTTTCTGTAGAATCTGTAAGTGGATATTGGGACCACTTTGAGGCCTTCATAGGAAACAGTAATATCTTCACATAAAAACTAGATGGAAGCATTCTCAGAAAGTTCTTTGTGATGTGTGAATTCAACTCACAGAGTTGAACCTTCCTTCAATAGAGCAGTTTTGAAACACTCTTTTTCTAGAATCTGCAAGTAGATATTTGGAGCGCGTTGAGGCCTTCGTTGGAAACCGGAATATCTTCACAGGAAAAGTAGATAGAGGCATTCTCAGAAACTTTTTTGTGATATGTAGATTCAACTCACAGCGTTGAACCTTTCTTTGGATGGAGCAGTTTTGAAAAACCCTTTTATCGAATCTGCAGGTAGACATTCGGGGTGCTTTGAGGGCTGTGGTGCAAAAGGAAATGTCTTCCCATAGAAACTAGACTGAAGCATTCTCAGCAACTTCTTGGTGACGTTTGCATTCATCTCACAGTGTTGAACATACCTTTCCATAGAGTGATTTTGAAACACTGTTTTTGTAGAATCGGCAAGTGGATATTTGGACTGCTTTGAGGCCTTCATCGGAAACGGGAATATCTTCACATAAACACTACAGAGAAGCAATCTCAGAAACTTCTTTGTGGTCTGTCCATTCAAATCACAGAGTTGAACCTTCCTTTTTATGGAGCAGTTTTGGAACCCTGTTTTTGGAGAATCTGCAAGTGGATATTTGGAGCGCTTTGAGGCCTATGGTAGAAAAAGAAATATCTGCCTATGACAACTAGACAGAAGCATTCTGAGAAACTTCTTTGTGATGTTTGCATTCAACTACCAGAGGTGAACCTTCCTTTTGATAGGGCAGTTTGGAAACACTCTTTTTGCAGAATCTGCATGTGGATATCTGGAGCGATTTGAGGCCTACGGTCCAAAAGGAAATATCTTCCTGGGAAAAATAGACGAAAGCATTCTCAGAAACTGCTTTGTGATATGTGCATTCGACTCACCGAGTTGAAACTTTTTTTGGATAGAGCAGTTTTGAAACACTCTGTAGAATCTGAAAGTGGATATTTGGAGCTACTTTGAGGGCTATGGCGGAAAAGAAAATATATTCACATTAAACTAGACAGCAGCATTCCCAGAAACTTCTTTAGGATGTTTGCAGTAAACTCACAGAGTTGAACATACCTTTCCGTAGAGCAGCTTTGAAACACTCTGTGTGTGGGATCCGCAAGTGGATATTTGGACCGCTTTGAGACCTTTGCTGGAAATGGGAATATCTTCACATATAAACTGGACAGAAGCATTCTCAGAAACTTCTTCGTGATGTGTGCATTCTCCTCCCGAATTTGAATCTTCCTTTTCATGAAGCAGTTTTGAAACACTCTGTTTGTGCAGTCCACAATTGGATAATTGGAACGCTTTGATGTCCAAGGTAGAAAAGGAAATATCCTCATATAAAAACTAGACAGAAGGATTCACAGAAAATGCTTTGTGATGTGTGCATTCAAATCACGGAGTTGAATCTTTCTTTTGTTAGAGCAGTTTTGAAACACTGTTTCTGTGGAATATGCCAGCGGACACTTGGAGCGCTTTGAGGGCTACGGTGGAGAAGGAAATATCTTCACATAAAAACTAGAAAGAAGCATTCTCAGAACCATTTATGTGAAGCGTGCATTCAACTCACAGAGTTGAACCTTCCTTTTGATAGAACAGTTTTGAAACACTCTTTTGAACAATTGCAGGTGAATATTTGGAGGGCTTTGAAGCCTTTGTTGGAAACGGGAATATCTTCACACACGAACTAGCCAGAAGCATTCTCAGAAACTTCTTTGTGATGTGTGCGTTGAACCCAGAGAGATGAACCTTTCCTTTGATAGAGCAGTTTTGAAGCGTGTTTTTGTAAGATCGGCAAGCGGATAATTGGCTTCGCTTTGTGTCCCTTGGTGGAAACGGGAATATCTTCTAATAAAAACTAGACAGAGATATTCTCAGAAACTTCTTTGTGATGTGGGCATTCAACTGACACAGTCGAACATTTCTTTTCACAGAGCAGTTTTGAAACACTCTTTTGGTCGAATCTGCCAGTGGATATTTGGAGCGCTTTGAGGGCTATTGTGCCAATGGAAATATCTGCCCCTAAAAACTAGACAGAAGCATTCTCAGAAACTGCTTCGGGATGTTTGCATTCAACTCACAGAGTTGAATATACCTCTGCATAGAGCAGTTTTGAAAACCTCTTTTTGTAGAATCTGCATGTGGATATTCGGACCACTTTGAGGCCTTCATGGGAAACAGTAATATCTTCACATAAAAACTAGATAGAAGCATTGTCAGAAAGTTCTTTGTGATGTGTGAATTCAACTCACAGAGTTGAACCTTCCTTTAATAGAGCAGTTTTGAAACACTCTTTTTCTAGAATCTGCAAGTAGATATTTGGAGCGCTTTGAGGCCTTCGTTGGAAACCGGAATATCTTCACAGGAAAAGAAGATAGAGGCATTCTCAGAAACTTTTTTGTGATATGTAGATTCAACTCACAGCGTTGAACCTTTCTTTGGATGGAGCAGTTTTGAAAAACTCTTTTATCGAATCTGCAGGTAGACATTTGGGGTGCTTTGAGGGCTGTGGTGCAAAAGAAAATGTCTTCCCATAGAAACTAGACTGAAGCATTCTCAGCAACTTCTTTGTGACGTTTGCATTCATCTCACAGTGTTGAACATACCTTTCCATAGAGTAGTTTTCAGACACTATTTTTGTAGAATCTGCAAGCGGATATTTGGACTGCTTTGAGGCCTTCATCGGAGACGGGAATATCTTCACATAAACACTAGGCAGAAGCATTCTCAGAAACTTCTTTGTGATCTGTCCATTCAACTCACAGAGTTGAACCTTCCTTTTTATGGAGCAGTTTTGAATCACTGTTTTTGGGGAATCTGCAAGTGGATATTTCGAGCGCTTTGAGGCCTATGGTAGAAAAAGAAATATCTGCCTCTAAAAACCAGACAGAAGCATTCCGAGAAACTTCTCTGTGATGTTTGCATTCAACTAGCAGAGTTGAACCTTCCTCTTGATAGGGCAGTTTGGAAACACTCTTTTTGTAGAATCTGCATGTGGATATCTGGAGCGGTTTGAGGCCTACGGTCAAAAAGGAAATATCTTCCTGGGAAAAATAGACGAAAGCATTCTCAGAAACTGCTTTGTGACATGTGCATTCGACTCACCGTGTTGAAACTGTTTTTCGATAGAGCAGTTTTGAAACACTCTGTAGAATCTGAAAGTGGATATTTGGAGCTCTTTGAGGGCTATGGCGGAAAAGAAAATATATTCACATTAAAGTAGACAGCAGCATTCTCAGAAACTTCTTTAGGATGTTTGCAGTAAACTCACAGAGTTGAACATACCTTTCCGTTAAGCAGTTTTGAAACACTCTGTTTGTGGGATCCGCAAGTGGATATTTGGACCGCTTTGAGACCTTTGCTGGAAATGGGAATATCTTCACATATAAACTAGACAGAAGCATTCTCAGAAACTTCTTCGTGATGTGTGCATTCTACTCCCGAATTTGAATCTTCCTTTTCATGAAGCAGTTTTGAAACACTCTGTTTGTGCAATCCACAATTGGATAATTGGAACGCTTTGATACCCATGGTAGAAAAGGAAATAGCCTCATATAAAAACTAGACAGAAGGATTCACAGAAAATGCTTTGTGATGTGTGCATTCAAATCACGCAGTTGAATCTTTCTTTTGTTAGAGCAGTTTTGAAACACTGTTTCTGTGGAATCTGCCAGCGGACACTTGGAGCGCTTTGAGGGCTATGGTGGAGAAGGAAACATCTTCCCATAAAAACTAGAAAGAAGCATTCTCGGAAACATTTATGTGAAGCGTGCATTCAACTCACAGAGTTGAACCTTCCTTTTGATGGAACAGTTTTGAAACACTCTTTTGAACAATTGCAGGTGAATCTTTGGAGCGCTTTGAAGCCTTTGTTGGAAATGGGAATATCTTCACACACAAACTAGGCAGAAGCATTCTCAGAAACTTCTTTGTGATGTGTGCGTTGAACCCAGAGAGATGAACCTTTCCTTTGATAGAGCAGTTTTGAAACGTGTTTTTGTAAGGTCGGCAAGCGGATAATTGGCTTCGCTTAGTGTCCTTTGGTGGAAACGGGAATATCTTCTAATAAAAACTAGACAGAAATATTCTCAGAATCTTCTTTGTGATGTGGGCATTCAACTAACAGAGTTGAACGTTTCTTTTCACAGAGCAGTTTTGAAACACTCTTTTGGTAGAATCTGCCAGTGGATATTTGGAGCGCTTTGAGGGCTATTGTGCCAACGGAAATATCTGCCCCTAAAAACTAGACAGAAGCATTCTCAGAAACTACTTCGTGATGTTTGCATTCAACACACAGAGTTGAACATACCTCTTCACAGAGCGGTTTTGAAAAACTCTTTCTGTAGAATCTGCAAGTGGATATTCGGACCACTTTGAGGCCTTCATAGGAAACAGTAATATCTTCACATAAAAACTAGATAGAAGCATTGTCAGAAAATTCCTTGTGATGTGTGAATTCAACTCACAGAGTTGAACCTTCCTTTAATAGAGCAGTTTTGAAACACTCTTCTTCTAGAATCTGCAAGTAGATATTTGGAGCGCTTTGAGGCCGTCGTTGGAAACCGGAATATCTTCACAGAAAAAGTAGATAGAGGCATTCTCAGAAACTCTTTTGTGATATGTTGATTCATCTGACAGCGTTGAACCTTTCTTTTGATAGAGCAGTTTTGAAAAACTCTTTTGTCGAATCTGCAAGTAGACATTTGGAGTGCTTTGAGGGCTGTGGTGCCAAAGGAAATGTCTTCCCATGGAAACTAGACTGAAGCATTCTCAGCAACTTCTTTGTGACGTTTGCATTCATCTCACAGTGTTGAACATACCTTTCCATAGAGTAGTTTTGAGACACTATTTTTGTAGAATCTGCAAGCGGATATTTGGACTGCTTTGAGGCCTTCATCGGAGACGGGAATATCTTCACATAAACACTAGACAGAAGCATTCTCAGAAACCTCTTTGTGGTCTGTCCATTCAACTCACAGAGTTGAACCTTCCTTTTTATGGAGCAGTTTTGAAACCCTGTTTTTGGAGAATCTGCAAGTGGATATTTGGAGCGCTTTGAGGCCTATGGTAGAAAAAGAAATATCTACCTATGACAACTAGACAGAAGCATTCTCAGAAACTGCTTTGTGATATGTGCATTCGACTCACCGAGTTGAAACTTTTTTTTGATTGAGCAGTTTTGAAACACTCTGTAGAATCTGAAAGTGGATATTTGGAGCTCTTTGAGGGCTATGGCGGAAAACAAAATATATTCACATTAAAGTAGACAGCAGCATTCTCAGAAACTTCTTTAGGATGTTTGCAGTAAACTCACAGAGTTAAACATATCTTTCCGTAGAGCAGTTTTGAAACACTCTGTTTGTGGGATCCGCAAGTGGATATTTGGGCCCCTTTGAGACCTTTGCTAGAAATGGGAATATCTTCACATATAAACTAGACAGAAGCATTCTCAGAAACTTCTTCGTGATGTGTGCATTGTACTCCCAAATTTGAATCTTCCTTCTCATGGAGCAGTTTTGAAACACTCTGTTTGTGCAATCTACCATTGGAGAATTGGAACGCTTGGATGCCCGTGGTAGAAAAGGAAATATCCTCATATAAAAACTAGACAGAAGGATTCACAGAAAATGCTTTGTGATGTGTGCATTCAAATCACGGAGTTGAATCTTTCTTTTGTCAGAGCAGTTTTGAAACACTGTTTCTGTGGAATCTGCCAGCGGATACTTGGAGCGCTTTGAGGGCTGTGGTGGAGAAGGAAATATCTTCCCATAAAAACTAGAAAGAAGCATTCTCAGAAACATTTATGTGAAGCGTGCATTCAACTTACAGAGTTGAACCTTCCTTTTGATACAACAGTTTTGAAACACTCTTTTGAACAATTGCAGGTGAATCTTTGGAGCGCTTTGAAGCCTTTGTTGGAAATGGGAATATCTTCACACACAAACTAGCCAGAAGCATTCTCAGAAACTTCTTTGTGATGTGTGCGTTGAACCCAGAGAGATGAACCTTTCCTTCGATAGAGCAGTTTTGAAACGTGTTTTTGTAAGATCTGCAAGCGGATAATTGGCTTCGCTTTGTGTCCTTTGGTGGAAACGGGAATATCTTCTAATAAAAACTAGACAGAAATATTCTCAGAATCTTCTTTGTGATGTGGGCAATCAACTAACACAGTTGAACGTTTCTTTTCACAGAGCAGTTTTGAAACACTCTTTTGGTAGAATCTGCCAGTGGATATTTGGAGCGCTTTGAGGGCTATTGTGCCAACGGAAATATCTGCCCCTAAAAACTAGACAGAAGCATTCTCAGAAACTACTTCGTGATGTTTGCATTCAACACACAGAGTTGAACATACCTCTTCACAGAGCAGTTTTGAAAAACTCTTTCTGTAGAATCTGCAAGTGGATATTCGGACCACTTTGAGGCCTTCATAGGAAACAGTAATATCTTCACATAAAAACTAGATAGAAGCATTGTCAGAAAGTTCTTTGTGATGTGTGAATTCAACTCACAGAGTTGAACCTTCCTTTAATAGAGCAGTTTTGAAACACTCTTTTTCTAGAATCTGCAAGTAGATATTTGGAGCGCTTTGAGGCCTTCGTTGGAAACTGGAATATCTTCACATAAAAAGTAGATAGAGGCATTCTCAGAAACTTTTTTGTGATATGTTGATTCATCTGACAGCGTTGAACCTTTCTTTTGATAGAGCAGTTTTGAAAAACTCTTTTGTCGAATCTGCAAGTAGACATGTGGAGTGCTTTGAGGGCTGTGGTGCCAAAGGAAATGTCTTCCCATGGAAACTAGACTGAAGCATTCTCAGCAACTTCTTGGTGACGTTTGCATTCATCTCACAGTGTTGAACATACCTATCCATAGAGTGGTTTTGAAACACTGTTTTTGTAGAATCGGCAAGTGGATATTTGGACTGCTTTGAGGCCTTCATCGGAAACGGGAATATCTTCACATAAACACTAGAGAGAAGCATTCTCAGAAACTTCTTTGTCATCTGTCCATTCAACTCACAGAGGTGAACCTTCCTTTTTATGGAGCAGTTTTGAAACACTGTTTTTGGAGAATCTGCAAGTGGATATTTGGAGCGCTTTGAGGCCTATGGTAGAAAAAGAAATATCTGCCTCTAAAAACCAGACAGAAGCATTCTGAGAAACTTCTTTGTGATGTTTGCATTCAACTACCAGAGTTGAATCTTCCTTTTGATAGGGCAGTTTGGAAACACTCTGTTTGTAGAATCTGCATGTGGATATCTGGAGCGATTTGAGGCCTATGGTCAAAAAGGAAATATCTTCCTGGGAAAAATAGACGAAAGCATTCTCAGAAACTGCTTTGTGATATGTGCATTCGACTCACCGAGCTGAAACTTTTTTTTGATAGAGCAGTTTTGAAACACTCTGTAGAATCTGAAAGTGGATATTTGGAGCTCTTTGAGGGCTATGGCGGAAAAGAAAATATATTCACATTAAACTAGACAGCAGCATTCTCAGAAACTTCTTTAGGATATTTGCAGTAAACTCACAGAGTTGAACATACCTTTCCGAAGAGCAGTTTTGAAACACTCTGTTTGTGGGATCCGCAAGTGGATATTTGGACCGCTTTGAGACCTTTGCTGGAAATGGGAATATCCTCACATATAAACTAGACAGAAGCATTCTCAGAAACTTCTTCGTGATGTGTGCATTCTACTCCCAAATTTGAATCTTCCTTTTCATGAAGCAGTTTTGAAACACTCTATTTGTGCATTCTACAATTGGATGATTGGAACGCTTTGATGCCCATGGTGGAAAAGGAAATATCCTCATATAAAAACTAGACAGAAGGATTCACAGAAAATGCTTTGTGATGTGTGCATTCAAATCACGGAGTTGAATCTTTCTTTTGTTAGAGCAGTTTTGAAACACTGTTTCTGTGGAATCTGCCAGCGGACACTTGGAGCGCTTTGAGGGCTACGGTGGAGAAGGAAATATCTTCACATAAAAACTAAAAAGAAGCATTCTCAGAAACATTTATGTGAAGCGTGCATTCAACTCACAGAGTTGAACCTTCCTTTGGATACAACAGTTTTGAAACACTCTTTTGAACAATTGCAGGTGAATCTTTGGAGCGCTTTGAAGCCCTTGTTGGAATTGGGAATATCTTCACACACAAACTAGCCAGAAGCATTCTCAGAAACTTCTTTGTGATGTGTGCGTTGAACCCAGAGAGATGAACCTTTCCTTGGATAGAGCAGTTTTGAAACGTGTTTTTGTAAGGTCTGCAAGCGGATAATTGGCTTCGCTTTGTGTCCTTTGGTGGAAACGGGAATATCTTCTAATAAAAACTAGACAGAAATATTCTCAGAATCTCCTTTGTGATGTGGGCATTCAACTAACACAGTTGAACATTTCTTTTCACAGAGCAGTTTTGAAACACTCTTTTGGTAGAATCTGCCAGTGGATATTTGGAGAGCTTGGAGGGCTGTTGTGCCAATGGAAATATCTGCCCCTAAAATCTAGACAGAAAGCATTCTCAGAAACTACTTTGTGATGTTTGCATTCAACTCACAGAGTTGAACATACCTCTTCATAGAGCAGTTTTGAAAACCTCTTTTTGTAGAATCTGCAAGTGGATATTCGGACCACTTTGAGGCCTTCATAGGAAACAGTAATACCTTCACATAAAAACTAGATAGAAGCATTGTCAGAAAGTTCTTTGTGATGTGTGAATTCAACTCACAGAGTTGGACCTTCCTTTAATAGAGCAGTTTTGAAACACTCTTTTTCTAGAATCTGCAAGTGGATATTTGGAGCGCTTTGAGGCCTTCGTTGGAAACCGGAATATCTTCACAGGAAAAGTAGATAGAGGCATTCTCAGAAACTTTTCTGTGATATGTAGATTCAACTCACAGCGTTGAACCTTTCTTTGGATGGAGCAGTTTTGAAAAACCCTTTTATCGAATCTGCAGGTAGACATTTGGGGTGCTTTGAGGGCTGTGGTGCAAAAGGTAATGTCTTCCCATAGAAACTAGACTGAAGCATTCTCAGCAACTTCTTGGTGACGTTTGCATTCATCTCACAGTGTTGAACATACCTCTCCATAGAGTGGTTTTGAAACACTCTTTTTGTAGAATCGGCAAGTGGATATTTGGACTGCTTTGAGGCCTTCATCGGAAACGGGAATATCTTCACATAAACACTAGAGAGAAGCATTCTCAGAAACTTCTTTGTGGTCTGTCCATTCAACTCACAGAGTTGAACCTTCCTTTTTATGGAGCAGTTTTGAAACCCTGTTTTTGGAGAATCTGCAAGTGGATATTTGGAGCGCTTTGAGGCCTATGGTAGAAAAAGAAATATCTGCCTATGACAACTAGACAGAAGCATTCTGAGAAACTTCTTTGTGATGTTTGCATTCAACTACCAGAGTTGAACCTTCCTTTTGATAGGGCAGTTTGGAAACACTCTCTTTGTAGAATCTGCATGTGGATATCTGGAGCGATTTGAGGCCTACGGTCCGAAAGGAAATATCTTCCTGGGAAAAATAGACGAAAGCATTCTCAGAAACTGCTTTGTGATATGTGCATTCGACTCACCGAGTTGAAACTTTTCTTGGATAGAGCAGTTTTGAAACACTCTGTAGAATCTGAAAGTGGATATTTGGAGCTCTTTGAGGGCTATGGCGGAAAAGAAAATATATTCACATTAAACTAGACAGCAGCATTCTCAGAAACTTCTTTAGGATGTTTGCAGTAAACTCACAGATTTGAACATACCTTTCCGTAGAGCAGTTTTGAAACACTCTATTTGTGGGATCCGCAAGTGGATATTTGGACCGCTTTGAGACCTTTGCTGGAAATGGGAATATCTTCACGTATAAACTAGACAGAAGCATTCTCAGAAACTTCTTCATGATGTGTGCATTCTACTCCCAAATTTGAATCTTCCTTTTCATGAAGCAGTTTTGAAACACTCGGTTTGTGCAATCCACAATTGGATAATTGGAACGCTTTGATGCCCATGGTAGAAAAGGAAATATCCTCATATAAAAACTAGACAGAAGGATTCACAGAAAATGCTTTGTGATGTGTGCATTCAAATCACGGAGTTGAATCTTTCTTTTGTGAGAGCAGTTTTGAAACACTGTTTCTGTGGAATCTGCCAGCGGACACTTGGAGCGCTTTGAGGGCTATGGTGGAGAAGGAAATATCTTCCCATAAAAACTAGAAAGAAGCATTCTCAGAAACATCTATGTGAAGTGTGCATTCAACTCACAGATTTGAACCTTCCTTTTTCATAGAACAGTTTTGAAACACTCTTTTGTACAATTTTAGGTGAATATTTGGAGCTCTTTGAAGCCTTTGTTGGAATTGGGAATATCTTCACATACAAACTAGCCAGAAGCATTCTCAGAAACTTCTTTGTGATGTGTGCGTTGAACTCAGAGAGATGAACCTTTCCTTTGATAGAGCAGTTTTGAAACGTGTTTCTGTAAGATCTGTATGTGGATATTTGGGGCGCTTTGAGTCCTTTGGTGGAAACGGGAATATCTTCTAATAAAAACTAGACAGAGATATTCTCAGAAACTTCTTTGTGATGTGGGCATTCAACTGACACAGTCGAACGTTTCTTTTCACAGAGCAGTTTTGAAACACTCTTTTGGTCGAATCTGCCAGTGGATATTTGGAGCGCTTTGAGGGCTATTGTGCCAATGGAAATATCTGCCCCTAAAAACTAGACAGAAGCATTCTCAGAAACTTCTTTGTGATGTTTGCATTCAAATACCAGAGTTGAACCTCCCTCTTCATAGAGCAGTTTTGAAATCCTCTTTTTGTAGAATCTGCAAGTGGATATTTGGACCACTTTGAGGCCTTCATAGGAAACAGTACTATCTTCACATAAAAACTAGATAGAAGCATTGTCAGAAAGTTCTTTGTGATGTGTGAATTCAACTCACAGAGTTGAACCTTCCTTTAATAGAGCAGTTTTGAAACGCTCTTTTTCTAGAATCTGCCAGTAGATATTTGGAGCGCTTTGAGGCCTTCGTTGGAAACAGGAATATCTTCACATAAAAAGTAGATAGAGGCATTCTCAGAAACTTTTTTGTGATATGTAGATTCCACTCACAGCGTTGAACCTTTCTTTTGATAGAGCAGTTTTGAAAAATTCTTTTATCGAATCTGCAAGTAGACATTTGGGGTGCTTTGAGGGCTGTGGTGCAAAAGGAAATGTCTTCCCATGGAAACTAGACTGAAGCATTCTCAGCAACTTCTTTGTGACGTTTGCATTCATCTCACAGTGTTGAACATACCTTTCCATAGAGTAGTTTTGAAGCACTATTTTTGTAGAATCTGCAAGTGGATATTTGGACTGCTTTGAGGCCTTCATCGGAGACGGGAATATCTTCACATAAACACTAGACAGAAGCATTCTCAGAAACTTCTTTGTGATCTGTCCATTCAACTCACAGAGTTGAACCTTCCTTTTTATGGAGCAGTTTTGAAACACTGTTTTTGGAGAATCTTCAAGTAGATATTTGGAGCGCTTTGTGGCCTATGTTAGAAAAAGAAATATCTGCCTATAACAACTAGACAGAAGCATTCTGAGAAACTTCTTTGTGATGTTTGCATTCAACTACCTTAGTTGAACCTTCCTTTTGATAGGGCAGTTTGGAAACACTCTTTTTGTAGAATCTGCATGTGGATATCTGGAGCGATTTGAGGCCTATGGTCAAAAAGGAAATATCTTCCTGGGAAAAATAGACGAAAGCATTCTCAGAAACTGCTTTGTGATATGTGCATTCGACTCACCGATTTGAAACTTTTTTTTGATAGAGCAGTTTTGAAACACTCTGTAGAAACTGAAAGTGGATATTAGGAGCTCTTTGAGGGTTATGGCGGAAAAGAAAATATATTCACATTAAACTAGACAGCAGCATTCCCAGAAACTTCTTTAGGATGTTTGCAGTAAACTCACAGAGTTGAACATACCTTTCCGTAGAGCAGTTTTGAAACACTCTGTTTGTGGGATCCGCAAGTGGATATTTGGACCGCTTTGAGACCTTTGCTGGAAACGGGAATATGTTCACATATAAACTAGACAGAAGCATTCTCAGAAACTTCTTCGTGATGTATGCATTCTACTCCCTAATTTGAATCTTCCTTTTCATGAAGCAGTTTTGAAACACTCTATTTGTGCATTCTACAATTGGATGATTGGAACGCTTTGATGCCCATGGTAGAAAAGGAAATATCCTCATATAAAAACTAGACAGAAGGATTCACAGAAAATGCTTTGTGATGTGTGCATTCAAACCACGGAGTTGAATCTTTCTTTTGTTAGAGCAGTTTTGAAACACTGTTTCTGTGGAATCTGCCAGCGGACACTTGGAGCGCTTTGAGGGCTATGGTGGAGAAGGAAACATCTTCCCATAAAAACTAGAAAGAAGCATTCTGAGAACCATTTATGTGAAGCGTGCATTCAACTCACAGAGTTGAACCTTCCTTTTGATAGAACAGTTTTGAAACACTCTTTTGAACAATTGCAGGTGAATATTTGGAGGGCTTTGAAGCCTTTGTTGGAAATGGGAATATCTTCACACACAAACTAGCCAGAAGCATTCTCAGAAACTTCTTTGTGATGTGTGCGTTGAATCCAGAGAGATGAACCTTTCCTTTGATAGAGCAGTTTTGAAACGTGTTTTTGTAAGATCTGCAAACGGATAATTGACTTCGCCTTGTGTCCTTTGGTGGAAACGGGAATATCTTCTAATAAAAACTAGACAGAAATATTCTCAGAATCTCCTTTGTGATGTGGGCATTCAACTAACGCAGTTGAACATTTCTTTTCACAGAGCAGTTTTGAAACACTCTTTTGGTAGAATCTGCCAGTGGATATTTGGAGCGCTTTGAGGGCTGTTGTGCCAATGGAAATATCTGCCCCTAAAATCTAGACAGAAGCATTCTCAGAAACTACTTCGTGATGTTTGCATTCAACTCACAGAGTTGAACATACCTCTTCACAGAGCAGTTTTGAAAACCTCCTTTTGTAGAATCTGCAAGTGGATATTCGGAGCACTTTGAGGCCTTCATAGGAAACAGTAATATCTTCGCATAAAAACTAGATAGAAGCATTGTCAGAAAGTTCTTTGTGATGTGTGAATTCAACTCACAGAGTTGAACCTTCCTTTAATAGAGCAGTTTTGAAACACTCTTTTTTTAGAATCTGCAAGTAGATATTTCGAGCGCTTTGAGGCCTTCGTTGGAAACCGGAATATCTTCACAGGAAAAGTAGATAGAGGCATTCTCAGAAACTTTTTTGTGATATGTTGATTCATCTGACAGCGTTGAACCTTTCTTTTGATAGAGCAGTTTTGAAAAACTCTTTTGTCGAATCTGCAAGTAGACATTTGGAGTGCTTTGAGGGCTGTGGTGCCAAAGGAAATGTCTTCCCATGGAAACTAGACTGAAGCATTCTCAGCAACTTCTTGGTGACGTTTGCATTCATCTCACAGTGTTGAACATACCTTTCCATAGAGTGGTTTTGAAACACTGTTTTTGTAGAATCGGCAAGTGGATATTTGGACTGCTTTGAGGCCTTCGTCGGAAACGGGAATATCTTCACATAAACACTAGAGAGAAGCATTCTCAGAAACTTCTTTGTCATCTGTCCATTCAACTCACAGAAGTTGAACCTTCCTTTTTATGGAGCAGTTTTGAAACACTCCTTTTGGAGAATCTGCAAGTGGATATTTGGAGCGCTTTGAGGCCTATGGTAGAAAAAGAAATATCTGCCTCTAAAAACCAGACAGAAAGCATTCTGAGAAACTTCTTTGTGATGTTTGCCTTCAACTACCAGAGTTGAACCTTCCTTTTGATAGGGCAGTTTGGAAACACTCTTTTTGTAGAATCTGCATGTGGATATCTGGAGCGATTTGAGGCCTACGGTCCAAAAGGAAATATCTTCCTGGGAAAGATAGACGAAGCATTCTCAGAAACTGCTTTGTGATATGTGCATTCGACTCTCCGAGTTGAAACTTTTTTCGGATAGAGCAGTTTTGAAACACTCTGTAGAATCTGAAAGTGGATATTTGGAGCTCTTTGAGGGCTATGGCGGAAAAGAAAAGATATTCACATTAAACTAGACAGCAGCATTCCCAGAAACTTCTTTAGGATGTTTGCAGTAAACTCACAGAGTTGAACACACCTTTCCGTAGAGCAGTTTTGAAACACTCTGTTTGTGGGATCCGCAAGTGGATATTTGGACCGCTTTGAGACCTTTGCTGGAAACGGGAATATCTTCACATATAAACTGGACAGAAGCATTCTCAGAAACTTCTTCGTGATGTGTGCATTCTACTCCCAAATTTGAATCTTCCTTTTCATGAAGCAGTTTTGAAACAATCTGTTTGTGCAATCCACAATTGGATAATTGGAACGCTTTGATGCCCATGGTAGAAAAGGAAATATCCTCATATAAAAACTAGACAGAAGGATCCACAGAAAATGCTTTGTGATGTGTGCATTCAAATCACGGAGTTGAATCTTTCTTTTGTCAGAGCAGTTTTGAAACACTGTTTCTGTGGAATCTGCCAGCGGACACTTGGAGCGCTTTGAGGGCTATGGTGGAGAAGGAAATATCTTCCCATAAAAACTAGAGAGAAGCATTCTCAGAACCATTTATGTGAAGCGTGCGTTCAACTCACGGAGTTGAACCTTCCTTTTGATAGAACAGTTTTGAAACACTCTTTTGAACAATTGCAGGTGAATATTTGGAGGGCTTTGAAGCCTTTGTTGGAAATGGGAATATCTTCACACACAAACTAGCCAGAAGCATTCTCAGAAACTTCTTTGTGATGTGTGCGTTGAACCCAGAGAGATGAACCTTTCCTTTGATAGAGCAGTTTTGAAACGTGTTTTTGTAAGATCTGCAAGCGGATAGTTGGCTTCGCTGTGTGTCCTTTGGTGGAAACGGGAATATCTTCTAATAAAAACTAGACAGAAATATTCTCAGAATCTTCTTCGTGATGTGGGCATTCAACTAACACAGTTGAACCTTACTTTTCACAGAGCAGTTTTGAAACACCCTTTTGGTAGAATCTGCCAGTGGATATTTGGAGCGCTTTGAGGGCTATTGTGCCAACGGAAATATCTGCCCCTAAAAACTAGACAGAAGCATGCTCAGAAACTGCTTTGTGATGTTTGCATTCAACTCACAGAGTTGAACATACCTTTTCATAGAGCAGTTTTGAAAACCTCTTTTTGTAGAATCTGCAAGAGGATATTCGGACCACTATGAGGCCTTCATAGGAAACAGTAATATCTTCACGTAAAAACTAGATAGAAACATTGTCAGAAAGTTCTTTGTGATGTGTGAATTCAACTCACAGAGTTGAACCTTCCTTTAATAGAGCAGTTTTGAAACACTCTTTTTCTAGAATCCGCCAGTAGATATTTGGAGCGCTTTGAGGCCTTCGTTGGAAACCGGAATATCTCCACATAAAAAGTAGATAGAGGCATTCTCAGAAACTTTTTTGTGATATGTAGATTCAACTCACAGCGTTGAACCTTTCTTTGGATGGAGCAGTTTTGAAAAACTCTTTTATCGAATCTGCAGGTAGACATTTGTGGTGCTTTGAGGGCTGTGGTGCAAAAGGAAATGTCTTCCCATAGAAACTAGACTGAAGCATTCTCAGCAACTTCTTGGTGACGTTTGCATTCATCTCACAGTGTTTAACATACCTTTCCATAGAGTAGTTTTGAAACACTGTTTTTGTAGAATCGGCAAGTGGATATTTGGACTGCTTTGAGGCCTTCATCGGAAACGGGAATATCTTCACATAAACACTAGAGAGAAGCATTCTCAGAAACTTCTTTGTGATCTGTCCATTCAACTCACAGAGTTGAACCTTCCTTTTTATGGAGCAGTTTTGAAACACTGTTTTTGGAGAATCTGCAAGTAGATATTTGGAGCGCTTTGTGGCCTATGGTAGAAAAAGAAATATCTGCCTATAACAACTAGACAGAAGCATTCTGAGAAACTTCTTTGTGATGTTTGCATTCAACTACCAGAGGTGAACCTTCCTTTTGATAGGGCAGTTTGGAAACACTCATTTGGAGAATCTGCATGTGGATATCTGGAGCGATTTGAGGCCTACTGTCCAAAAGGAAATATCTTCCTGGGAAAAATAGACGAAAGCATTCTCAGAAACTGCTTTGTGATATGTGCATTCGACTCACCGAGTTGAAACTTTTATTTGATAGAGCAGTTTTGAAACACTCTGTAGAATCTGAAAGTGGATATTTGGAGCTCTTTGAGGGCTATGGCGGAAAAGAAAATATATTCACATTAAACTAGACAGCAGCATTCTCAGAAACTTCTTTAGGATGTCTGCAGTAAACTCACAGAGTTGAACATACCTTTCCGTAGAGCAGTTTTGAAACACTCTGTTTGTGGGATCCGCAAGTGGATATTTGGACCTCTTTGAGATCTTTGCTGGAAATGGGAATATCTTCACATATAAACTAGACAGAAGCATTCTCAAAAACTTCTTCGTGATGTGTGCATTGTTCTCCCAAATTTGAATCTTCCTTCTCATGGAGCAGTTTTGAAACACTCTGTTTGTGCAATCTACAATTGGAGAATTGGAACGCTTGGATGCCCGTGGTAGAAAAGGAAATATCCTCATATAAAAACTAGACAGAAGGATTCACAGAAAATGCTTTGTGATGTGTGCATTCAAATCACGGAGTTGAATCTTTCTTTTGTCAGAGCAGTTTTGAAACACTGTTTCTGTGGAATCTGCCAGCGGACACTTGGAGCGCTTTGAGGGCTATGGTGGAGAAGGAAATATCTTCCCATAAAAACTAGAGAGAAGCATTCTCAGAAACATGTATGTGAAGCGTGAATTCAACTCACAGTGTTGAACCTTCCTTTTGATAGAACAGTTTTTAAACACTCTTTTGAACAATTGCAGGTGAATCTTTGGAGCGCTTTGAAGCCTTTGTTGGAAATGGGAATATCTTCACACACAAACTAGCCAGAAGCATTCTCAGAAACTTCTTTGTGATGCGTACGTTGAACACAGAGAGATGAACCTTTCCTTTGATAGAGCAGTTTTGAAACGTGTTTTTGTAAGATCTGCAAGCGGATAATCGGCTTCGCTTTGTGTCCTTTGGTGGAAACGGGAATATCTTCTAATAAAAACTAGACAGAAATATTCTCAGAATCTCCTTTGTGATGTGGGCATTCAACTAACACAGTTGAACTTTCTTTTCACAGAGCAGTTTAGAAACACTCTTTTGGTAGAATCTGCCAGTGGATATTTGGAGCGCTTTGAGGGCTATTGTGCCAATGGAAATATCTGCCCCTGAAATCTAGACAGAAGCATTCTCAGAAACTACTTCGTGATGTTTGCATTCAACTCACAGAGTTGAACATACCTCTTCATAGAGCAGTTTTGAAAACCTCTTTTTGTAGAATCTGCAAGAGGATATTCGGACCACTTTGAGGCCTTCATAGGAAACAGTAATATCTTCGCATAAAAACTAGATAGAAGCATTGTCAGGAAGTTCTTTGTGATGTGTGAATTCAACTCACAGAGTTGAAACTTCCTTTAATAGAGCAGTGTTGAAACACTCTTTTTCTAGAATCTGCAAGTAGATATTTGGAGCGCTTGGAGGCCTTCGTTGTAAACCGGAATATCTTCACAGGAAATGTAGATAGAGGCATTCTCAGAAACTTTTTTGTGATATGTAGATTCAACTCACAGCGTTGAACCTTTCTTTGGATGGAGCAGTTTTGAAAAACTCTTTTATCGAATCTGCAGGTAGACATTCGGGGTGCTTTGAGGGCTGTGCTGCAAAAGGAAATGTCTTCCCATAGAAACTAGACTGAAGCATTCTCAGCAACTTCTTGGTGACGTTTGCATTCATCTCACAGTGTTGAACATACCTTTCCATAGAGTAGTTTTGAAACACTGTTTGTGTAGAATCGGCAAGTGGATATTTGGACTGCTTTGAGGCCTTCATCGGAAACGGGAATATCTTCACATAAACACTAGAGAGAAGCATTCTCAGAAACTTCTTTGTGGTCTGTGCATTCAACTCACAGAGTTGAACCTTCCTTTTTATGGAGCAGTTTTGAAACCCTGTTTTCGGAGAATCTGCAAGTGGATATTTGGAGCGCTTTGAGGCCTATGGTAGAAAAAGAAATATCTGCCTATGACAGATAGACAGAAGCATTCCGAGAAAAGTTCTTTGTGATGTTTGCATTCAACTAGCAGAGTTGAACCTTCCTTTTGATAGGGCAGTTTGGAAACACTCTTTTTGTAGAATCTTCATGTGGATATCTGGAGCGGTTTGAGGCCTACGGTCAAAAAGGAAATATCTTCCTGGGAAAAATAGACGAAAGCATTCTCAGAAACTGCTTTGTGATATGTGCATTCGACTCACCGAGTTGAAACTTTTTTTTGATAGAGCAGTTTTGGAACACTCTGTAGAATCTGAAAGTGTATATTTGGAGCTCTTTGAGGGCTATGGCGGAAAAGAAAATATATTCACATTAAACTAGACAGCAGCATTCTCAGAAACTTCTTTAGGATGTTTGTAGTAAACTCACAGAGTTGAACATACCTTTCCGTAGAGCAGTTTTGAAACACTCTGTTTGTGGGATCCGCAAGGGGATATTTGGACCGCTTTGAGACCTTTGCTGGAAATGGGAATATCTTCACATATAAACTAGACAGAAGCATTCTCAGAAACTTCTTCGTGATGTGTGCATTGTACTCCCAAATTTGAATCTTCCTTCTCATGGAGCAGTTTTGAAACACTCTGTTTGTGCAATCTACAATTGGAGAATTGGAAGGCTTGGATGCCCATGGTAGAAAAGGAAATATCCTCATATAAAAACTAGACAGAAGGATTCACAGAAAATGCTTTGTGATGTGTGCATTCAAATCACGGAGTTGAATCTTTCTTTTGTTAGAGCAGTTTTGAAACACTGTTTCTGTGGAATCTGCCAGCGGACACTTGGAGCGCTTTGAGGGCTATGGTGGAGAAGGAAATATCTTCACATAAAAACTAGAAAGAAGCATTCTCAGAAACATTTATGTGAAGCGTGCGTTCAACTCACAGAGTTGAACCTTCCTTTTGATAGAACAGGTTTGAAACACTCTTTTGAACAATTGCAGGTGAATATTTGGAGGGCTTTGAAGCCTTTGTTGGAAATGGGAATATCTTCACACACAAACTAGCCAGAAGCATTCTCAGAAACTTCTTTGTGATGTGTGCATTGAACCCAGAGAGATGAACCTTTCCTTTGATAGAGCAGTTTTGAAACGTGTTTTTGTAAGATCTGCAAGCGGATAATTGGCTTCGCTTTGTGTCCTTTGGTGGAAACGGGAATATCTTCTAATAAAAACTAGACAGAAATATTCTCAAAATCTCCTTTGTGATGTGGGCATTCAACTAACACAGTTGAACATTTCTTTTCACAGAGCAGTTTTGAAACACTCTTTTGGTAGAATCTGCCAGTGGATATTTGGAGCGCTTGGAGGGCTATTGTGCCAATGGTAATATCTGCCCCTGAAAACTAGACAGAAGCATTCTCAGAAACTGCTTTGTGATGTTTGCATTCAACTCACAGAGTTGAACCTACCTCTTGATAGAGCAGTTTGGAAAACCTCTTCTTGTAGAATCTGCAAGTGGATATTCGGACCACTTTGAGGCCTTCATAGGAAACAATAATATCTTCACATAAAAACTAGATAGAAGCATTGTCAGAAAGTTCTTTGTGATGTGTGAATTCAACTCACAGAGTTGAACCTTCCTTTAATAGAGCAGTTTTGAAACACTCTTTTTCTAGAATCTGCAAGTAGATATTTGGAGCCCTTTGAGGCCTTCTTTGGAAACCGGAATATCTTCACATAAAAAGTAGATAGAGGCATTCTCAGAAACTTTTTTGTGAAATGTAGATTCAACTCACAGCGTTGAACCTTTCTTTGGATGGAGCAGTTTTGAAAAACCCTTTTATCGAATCTGCAGGTAGACATTCGGGGTGCTTTGAGGGCTGTGGTGCAAAAGGAAATGTCTTCCCATAGAAACTAGACTGAAGCATTCTCAGCAACTTCTTTGTGACGTTTGCATTCATCTCACAGTGTTGAACATACCTTTCCATAGAGTAGTTTTGAGACACTATTTTTGTAGAATCTGCAAGTGGATATTTGGACTGCTTTGAGGCCTTCATCGGAGACGGGAATATCTTCACATAAACACTAGGCAGAAGCATTCTCAGAAACTTCTTTGTGATCTGTCCATTCAACTCACAGAGTTGAACCTTCCTTTTTATGGAGCAGTTTTGAAACACTGTTTGTGAAGAATCTGCAAGTGGATATTTGCAGCGCCTTGAGGCCAATGGTAGAAAAAGAAATATCTGCCTCTAAATACTAGACTGAAGCATTCTGAGAAACTTCTTTGTGATGTTTGCTTTCAGCTACCAGAGTTGAACCTTCCTTTTGATAGGGCAGTTTGGAAACACTCTTTTTGTAGAATCTGCATGTGGATATCTGGAGCGATTTGAGGCCTACGGTCAAAAAGGAAATATCTTCCTGGGAAAAATAGACGAAAGCATTCTCAGAAAGTGCTTTGTGATATGCGCATTCGACTCACCGAGTTGAAACTTTTTTTTGATAGAGCAGTTTTGAAACACTCTGTAGAATCTGAAAGTGGATATTTGGAGCTCTTTGAGGGCTATGGCGGAAAAGAAAATATATTCACATTAAAGTAGACAGCAGCATTCTCAGAAACTTCTTTAGGATGTTTGCAGTAAACTCACAGAGTTGAACATACCTTTCCGTAGAGCAGTTTTGAAACACTCTGTTTGTGGGATCCGCAAGTGGATATTTGGACCGCTTTGAGACCTTTGCTGGAAATGGGAATATCTGCACATATAAACTAGACAGAAGCATTCTCAGAAACTTCTTCGTGATGTGTGCATTCTCCTCCCGAATTTGAATCTTCCTTTTCATGAAGCAGTTTTGAAACACTCTGTTTGTGCAATCCACAATTGGATAATTGGAACGCTTTGATGCCCATGGTAGAAAAGGAAATATCCTCATATAAAAACTAGACAGAAGGATTCACAGAAAATGCTTTGTGATGTGTGCATTCAAATCACGGAGTTGAATCTTTCTTTTGTTAGAGCAGTTTTGAAACACTGTTTCTGTGGAATCTGCCAGCGGACACTTGGAGCGCTTTGAGGGCTATGGTGGAGAAGGAAATATCTTCCCATAAAAACTAGACAGAAGCATTCTCAGAACCATTTATGTGAAGCGTGCATTCAACTCTCAGAGTTGAACCTTCCTTTTGTTAGAACAGTTTTGAAACACTCTTTTGAACAATTGCAGGTGAATATTTGGAGCGCTTTGAAGCCTTTGCTGGAAATGGGAATATCTTCACGCACAAAGTAGCCAGAAGCATTCTCAGAAACTTCTTTGTGATGTGTGCGTTGAACCCAGAGAGATGAACCTTTCCTTTGATAGAGCAGTTTTGAAACGTGTTTTTGTAAGGTCGGCAAGCGGATAATTGGCTTCGCTTTGTGTCCTTTGGTGGAAACGGGAATATCTTCTAATAAAAACTAGACAGAAATATTCTCAGAATCTCCTTTGTGATGTGGGCATTCAACTAACACAGTTGAACATTTCTTTTCACAGAGCAGTTTTGAAACACTCTTTTGGTAGAATCTGCCAGTGGATATGTGGAGCGCTTGGAGGGCTATTGTGCCAATGGAAATATCTGCCCCTGAAAACTAGACAGAAGCATTCTCAAAAACTGCTTTGTGATGTTTGCATTCAACTCACAGAGTTGAACATACCTCTTCATAGAGCAGTTTTGAAAACCTCTTTTTGTAGAATCTGCAAGTGGATATTCGGACCACTTTGAGGCCTTCATCGGAAACAGTAATATCATCACATAAAAACTAGATAGAAGCATTGTCAGAAAGTTCTTTGTGATGTGTGAATTCAACTCACATAGTTGAACCTTCCTTTAATAGAGCAGTTTTAAACACTCTTTTTCTAGAATCTGCCAGTAGATATTTGGAGCGCTTTGAGGCCTTCGTTGGAAACCGGAATATCTTCACATAAAAAGTAGATAGAGGCATTCTCAGAAACTTTTCTGTGATATGTAGATTCAACTCACAGCGTTGAACCTTTCTTTTGATAGAGCGGTTTTGAAAAACTCTTATGTCGAATCTGCAAGTAGACATTTGGAGTGCTTTGAGGGCTGTGGTGCAAAAGGAAATGTCTTCCCATAGAAACTAGACTGAAGCATTCTCAGCAACTTCTTTGTGACGTTTGCATTCATCTCACAGTGTTGAACATACCTTTCCATAGAGTAGTTTTGAAACACTGTTTTTGTAGAATCTGCAAGTGGATATTTGGACTGCTTTGAGGCCTTCATCGGAAACGGGAATATCTTCACATAAACACTAGAGAGAAGCATTATCAGAAACTTCTTTGTGGTCTGTCCATTCAACTCACAGAGTTGAACCTTCCTTTTTATGGAGCAGTTTTGAAACACTGTTTTCGGAGAATCTGCAAGTGGATATTTGGAGCGCTTTGAGGCCTATGGTAGAAAAAGAAATATCTGCCTATGACAACTAGACAGAAGCATTCTGAGAAACTTCTTTGTGATGTTTGCATTCAACTACCAGAGGTGAACCTTCCTTTTCATAGGGCAGTTTGGAAACACTCTTTTTGTAGAATCTGCATGTGGATATCTGGAGCGATTTGAGGCCTACGGTCCAAAAGGAAATATCTTCCGGGGAAAAATAGACGAAAGCATTCTCAGAAACTGCTTTGTGATATGTGCATTCGACTCTCCGAGTTGAAACTTTTTTTGGATAGAGCAGTTTTGAAACACTCTGTAGGATCTGAAAGTGGATATTTGGAGCTCTTTGAGGGCTATGGCGGAAAAGAAAATATATTCACATTAAACTAGACAGCAGCATTCTCAGAAACTTCTTTAGGATGTTTGTAGTAAACTCACAGAGTTGAACATACCTTTCCGTAGAGCAGTTTTGAAACACTCTGTTTGTGGGATCCGCAAGTGGATATTTGGACCGCTTTGAGACCTTTGCTGGAAATGGGAATATCTTCACATATAAACTAGACAGAAGCATTCTCAGAAACTTCTTCGTGATGTGTGCATTCTACTCCCAAATTTGAATCTTCCTTCTCATGAAGCAGTTTTGAAACACTCTATTTGTGCAATCTACAATTGGATAATTGGAACCCTTTGATGCCCATGGTAGAAAAGGAAATATCCTCATATGAAAACTAGACAGAAGGATTCACAGAAAATGCTTTGTGATGTGTGCATTCAAATCACGGAGTTGAATCTTTCTTTTGTTAGAGCAGTTTTGAAACACAGTTTCTGTGGAATCTGCCAGCGGACACTTGGAGCGCTTTGAGGGCTACGGTGGAGAAGGAAATATCTTCACATAAAAACTAGAAAGAAGCATTCTCAGAAACATTTATGTGAAGCGTGCATTCAACTCACAGAGTTGAACCTTCCTTTTGATACAACAGTTTTGAAACACTCTTTGGAACAATTGCAGGTGAATCTTTGGAGCGCTTTGAAGCCTTTGTTGCAAATGGGAATATCTTCACACACAAACTAGCCAGAAGCATTCTCAGAAACTTCTTTGTGATGTGTGCGTTGTACCCAGAGAGATGAACCTTTCCTTCGATAGAGCAGTTTTGAAACGTGTTTTTGTAAGATCGGCAAGCGGATAATTGGCTTCGCTTTGTGTCCTTTGGTGGAAACGGGAATATCTTCTAATAAAAACTAGACAGAGATATTCTCAGAAACTTCTTTGTGATGTGGGCATTCAAGTAACACAGTTGAACATTTCTTTTCACAGAGCAGTTTTGAAACACTCTTTTGGTCGAATCTGCCAGTGGATATTTGGAGTGCTTTGAGGGCTATTGTGCCAATGGAAATATCTGCCCCTAAAAACTAGACAGAAGCATTCTCAGAAACTGCTTCGTGATGTTTGCATTCAACACACAGAGTTGAACATACCTCTTCACAGAGCAGTTTTGAAAACCTCTTTCTGTAGAATCTGCAAGTGGATATTCGGACCACTTTGAGGCCTTCATAGGAAACAGTAATATCTTCACATAAAAACTAGATAGAAGCATTGTCAGAAAGTTCTTTGTGATGTGTGAATTCAACTCACAGAATTGAACCTTCCTTCAGCAGAGCAGTTGTGAAACACTCTTTTTCTAGAATCTGCAAGTAGATATTTGGAGCGCTTTGAGGCCTTCGTTGGAAACCGGAATATCTTCACAGGAAAAGTAGATAGAGGCATTCTCAGAAACTTTTTTGTGATATGTAGATTCAACTCACAGCGTTGAACCTTTCTTTGGATGGAGCAGTTTTGAAAAATTCTTTAATCGAATCTGCAGGTAGACATTTGGGGTGCTTTGAGGGCTGTGGTGCAAAAGGAAATGTCTTCCCATAGAAACTAGACTGAAGCATTCTCAGCAACTTCTTTGTGACGTTTGCATTCATCTCACAGTGTTGTACATACCTTTCCATCGAGTACTTTTGAAACACTGTTTTTGTAGAATCTGCAAGTGGATATTTGGACTGCTTTGAGGCCTTCATCGGAAACGGGAATATCTTCACATAAACACTAGAGAGAAGCATTCTCAGAAACTTCTTTGTCATCTGTCCATTCAACTCACAGAGTTGAACCTTCCTTTTTATGGAGCAGTTTTGAAACACTCCTTTTGGAGAATCTGCAAGTGGATATTTGGAGCACTTTGAGGCCTATGGTAGAAAAAGAAATATCTGCCTCTAAAAACCAGACAGAAGCATTCCGAGAAACTCCTTTGTGATGTTTGCATTCAACTAGCAGAGTTGAACCTTCCTTTTGATAGGGCAGTTTGGAAACACTCTTTTTGTAGAATCTGCATGTGGATATCTGGAGCGGTTTGAGGCCTACGGTCAAAAAGGAAATATCTTCCTGGGAAAAATAGACGAAAGCATTCTCAGAAACTGCTTTGTGATATGTGCATTCGACTCACCGAGTTGAAACTTTTTTTTGATAGAGCAGTTTTGAAACACTCTGTAGAATCTGAAAGTGGATATTTGGAGCTCTTTGAGGGCTATGGCGGAAAAGAAAATATATTCACATTAAAGTAGACAGCAGCATTCTCAGAAACTTCTTTAGGATGTCTGCAGTAAACTCACAGAGTTGAACATACCTTTCCATAGAGCAGTTTTGAAACACTCTGTTTGTGGGATCCGCAAGTGGATATTTGGACAGCTTTGAGATCTTTGCTGGAAATGGGAATATCTTCACATATAAACTAGACAGAAGCATTCTCAGAAACTTCTTCGTGATGTGTGCATTCTACTCCCAAATTTGAATCTTCCTTCTCATGAAGCAGTTTGGAAACACTCTATTTGTGCAATCTACAATTGGATAATTGGAACCCTTTGATGCCCATGGTAGAAAAGGAAATATCCTCATATAAAAACTAGACAGAAGGATTCACAGAAAATGCTTTGTGATGTGTTCATTCAAATCACGGTGTTGAATCTTATTTTGTTAGAGCAGTTTTGAAACACTGTTTCTGTGGAATCTGCCCGCGGACACTTGGAGCGCTTTGAGGGCTATGGTGGAGAAGGAAATATCTTCACATAAAAACTAGAAAGAAGAATTCTCGGAAACATTTATGTGAAGCGTGCATTCAACTCACAGAGTTGAACCTTTCTTTTGATAGAACAGTTTTGAAACACTCTTTTGAACAATTGCAGGTGAATCTTTGGAGCGCTTTGAAGCCTTTGTTGGAAATGGGAATATCTTCACACACAAACTAGCCAGAAGCATTCTCAGAAACTTCTTTGTGATGTGTGCGTTGAACCCAGAGAGATGAACCTTTCCTTCGATAGAGCAGTTTTGAAACGTGTTTTTGTAAGATCGGCAAGCGGATAATTGGCTTCGCTTTGTGTCCTTTGGTGGAAACGGGAATATCTTCTAATAAAAACTAGACAGAAATATTCTCAGAATCTCCTTTGTGATGTGGGCATTCAACTAACACAGTTGAACATTTCTTTTCACAGAGCAGTTTTGAAACACTCTTTTGGTAGAATCTGCCAGTGGATATTTGGAGTGTTTGGAGGGCTATTGTGCCAATGGAAATATCTGCCACTGAAATCTAGACAGAAGCATTCTCAGAAACTACTTCGTGATGTTTGCATTCAACACACAGAGTTGAACATACCCCTTCACAGAGCAGTTTTGAAAACCTCTTTCTGTAGAATCTGCAAGTGGATATTCGGACCACTTTGAGGCCTTCATAAGAAACAGTAATATCTTCACATAAAAACTAGATAGAAGCATTGTCAGAAAGTTCTTTGTGATGTGTGAATTCAACTCACAGAATTGAACCTTCCTTCAATAGAGCAGTTGTGAAACACTCTTTTTCTAGAATCTGCAAGTAGATATTTGGAGCGCTTTGAGGCCTTCGTTGGAAACCGGAATATCTTCACAGGAAAAGTAGATAGAGGCATTCTCAGAAACTTTTTCGTGTTATGTGGATTCAACTCACAGCGTTGAACATTTCTTTTGATAGAGCAGTTTTGTAAAACTCTTTTATCGAATCTGCAAGTAGACATTTGGAGTGCTTTGAGGGCTGTGGTGCAAAAGGAAATGTCTTCCCATAGAAACTAGACTGAAGCATTCTCATCAACTTCTTTGTGACGTTTGCATTCATCTCACAGTGTTGAACATTCCTTTCCATAGGGTAGTTTTGAAGCACTATTTTTGCAGAATCTGCAAGTGGATATTTGGACTGCTTTGAGGCCTTCATCGGAAACGGGAATATCTTCACATAAACACTAGACAGAAGCATTCTCAGAAACTTCTTTGTGGTCTGTCCATTCAACTCACAGAGTTGAACCTTCCTTTTTATGGAGCAGTTTTGAAACACTGTTTTCGGAGGATCTGCAAGTGGATATTTGGAGCGCTTTGAGGCCTATTGTAGAAAAAGAAATATCTGCCTATGACAACTAGACAGAAGCATTCCGAGAAACTTCTCTGTGATGTTTGCATTCAACTAGCAGAGTTGAACCTTCCTTTTGATAGGGCAGTTTGGAAACACTCTTTTTGTAGAATCTGCATGTGGATATCTGGAGCGGTTTGAGGCCTACGGTCAAAAAGGAAATATCTTCCTGGGAAAAATAGACGAAAGTATTCTCAGAAACTGCTTTGTGATATGTGCATTCGACTCACCGAGTTGAAACTTTTTTTGGATAGAGCAGTTTTGAAACACTCTGTAGAATCTGAAGGTGGATATTTGGAGCTCTTTGAGGGCTATGGCGGAAAAGAAAAGATATTCACATTAAACTAGACAGCAGCATTCTCAGAAACTTCTTTAGGATGTTTGCGGTAAACTCACAGAGTTGAACCTACCTTTCCATAGAGCAGTTTTGAAACACTCTGTTTGTGGGATCCGCAAGTGGATATTTGGACCGCTTTGAGGCCTTTGCTGGAAATGGGAATATCTTCACATATAAACTAGACAGAAGCATTCTCAGTAACTTCTTCGTGATGTGTGCATTCTACTCCCGAATTTGAATCTTCCTTTTCATGAAGCAGTTTTGAAACACTCTGTTTGTGCAATCCACAATTGGATAATTGGAACGCTTTGATGCCCATGGTAGAAAAGGAAATATCCTCATATAAAAACTAGACACAAGGATTCACAGAAAATGCTTTGTGATGTGTGCATTCAAATCACGGAGTTGAATCTTTCTTTTGTCAGAGCAGTTTTGAAACACTGTTTCTGTGGAATCTGCCAGCGGACACTTGGAGCGCTTTGAGGGTTGTGGTGGAGAAGGAAATATCTTCCCATAAAAACTAGAAAGAAGCATTCTCAGAACCATTTATGTGAAGCGTGCATTCAACTCACAGAGTTGAACCTTCCTTTTGATAGAACAGTTTTGAAACACTCTTTTGAACAATTGCAGGTGAATATTTGGAGGGCTTTGAAGCCTTTGTTGGAAACGGGAATATCTTCACACACAAACTAGCCAGAAGCATTCTCAGAAACTTCTTTGTGATGTGTGCGTTGAACCCAGAGAGATGAACCTTTCCTTTGATAGAGCAGTTTTGAAACGTGTTTTTGTAAGATCTGCAAGCGGATAATTGGCTTCGCTTTGTGTCCTTTGTTGGAAACGGGAATATCTTCTAATAAAAACTAGACAGAAATATTCTCAGAATCTTCTTTGTGATGTGGGCATTCAACTAACAGAGTTGAACATTTCTTGTGACAGAGCAGTTTTGAAACACTCTTTTTGTAGAATCTGCCAGTGGATATTTGGAGCGCTTTGAGGGCTTTGTAGAAATGGAAAAGTCTTCACCTAAAAACTAGACAGAAGCATTCTCAGAAACTGCTTCGGGATGTTTGCATTCAACTCACAGAGTTGAATATACCTCTGCATAGAGCAGTTTTGAAAACCTCTTTTTGTAGAATCTGCAAGTGGATATTCGGACCACTTTGAGGCCTTCATGGGAAACAGTAATATCTTCACATAAAAACTAGATAGAAGCATAGTCAGAAAGTTCTTTGTGATGTGTGAATTCAAATCACAGAATTGAAACTTCCTTTAATAGAGCAGTTTTGAAACACTCTTTTTCTAGAATCTGGAAGTAGATATTTGGAGCGCTTTGAGGCCTTCGTTGGAAACCGGAATATCTTCACATAAAAAGCAGATAGAGGCATTCTCAGAAACTTTTTCGTGATATGTGGATTCAACTCACAGCGTTGAACCTTTCTTTTGATAGAGCAGTTTTGTAAAACTCTTTTATCGAATCTGCAAGTAGACATTTGGAGTGCTTTGAGGGCTGTGGTGCAAAAGGAAATGTCTTCCCATAGAAACTAGATTGAAGCATTCTCAGCAACTTCTTGGTGACGTTTGCATTCATCTCACAGTGTTGAACATACCTTTCCATAGAGTGGTTTTGAAACACTGTTTCTGTAGAATCTGCAAGTGGATATTTGGACTGCTTTGAGGCCTTCATCGGAAACGGGAATATCTTCACATAAACACTAGAGAGAAGCATTCTCAGAAACTTCTTTGTGGTCTGTCCATTCAACTCACAGAGTTGAACCTTCCTTTTTATGGAGCAGTTTTGAAACACTGTTTTCGGAGGATCTGCAAGTGGATATTTGGAGCGCTTTGAGGCCTACGGTAGAAAAAGAAATATCTGCCTATGACAACTAGACAGAAGCATTCTGAGAAACTTCTTTGTGATGTTTGCATTCAACTAGCAGAGTTGAACCTTCCTTTTGATAGGGCAGTTTGGAAACACTCTTTTTGTAGAATCTGCATGTGGATATCTGGAGCGATTTGAGGCCTACGGTCAAAAAGGAAATATCTTCCTGGGAAAAATAGACGAAAGCATTCTCACAAAGTGCTTTGTGATATGTGCATTCGACTCACCGAGTTGAAACTTTTTTTTGATAGAGCAGTTTTGAAACACTCTGTAGAATCTGAAAGTGGATATTTGGAGCTCTTTGAGGGCTATGGCGGAAAAGAAAATATATTCATATTAAACTAGACAGCAGCATTCTCAGAAACCTCTTTAGGATGTTTGCAGTAAACTCACAGAGTTGAACATACCTTTCCGTAGAGCAGTTTTGAAACACTCTGTTTGTGGGATCCGCAAGTGGATATTTGGACCGCTTTGAGACCTTTGCTGGAAATGCGAATATCTGCACATATAAACTAGACAGAAGCATTCTCAGAAACTTCTTCGTGATGTGTGCATTCTACTCCCAAATATGAATCTTCCTTTTCATGAAGCAGTTTTGAAACACTCTATTTGTGCATTCTACAATTGGATGATTGGAACGCTTTGATGCCCATGGTAGAAAAGGAAATATCCTCATATAAAAACTAGACAGAAGGATTCACAGAAAATGCTTTGTGATGTGTGCATTCAAATCACGGAGTTGCATCTTTCTTTTGTGAGAGCAGTTTTGAAACACTGTTTCTGTGGAATCTGCCAGCGGACACTTGGAGCGCTTTGAGGGCTATGGTGGAGAAGGAAATATCTTCCCATAAAAACTAGAAAGAAGCATTCTCGGAAACATTTATGTGAAGCGTGCATTCAACTCACAGAGTTGAACCTTTCTTTTGAGAGAACAGTTTTGAAACACTCTTTTGAACAATTGCAGGTGAATCTTTGGAGCGCTTTGAAGCCTTTGTTGGAAATGGGAATATCTTCACACACAAACTAGCCAGAAGTATTCTCAGAAACTTCTTTGTGATGTGTGCGTTGAACCCAGAGAGATGAACCTTTCCTTGGATAGAGCAGTTTTGAAACGTGTTTTTGTAAGTTCTACAAGCGGATAATTGGCTTCGCTTTGTGTCCTTTGGTGGAAACGGGAATATCTTCTAATAAAAACTAGACAGAAATATTCTCAGAATCTCCTTTGTGATGTGGGCATTCAACTAACACAGTTGAACATTTCTTTTCACAGAGCAGTTTTGAAACACTCTTTTGGTAGAATCTGCCAGTGGATATTTGGAGCGCTTGGAGGGCTATTGTGCCAATGGTAATATCTGCCCCTGAAAACTAGACAGAAGCATTCTCAGTAAACTGCTTTGTGATGTTTGCATTCAACTCACAGAGTTGAACATACCTTTTCATAGAGCAGTTTTGAAAACCTCTTTTTGTAGAATCTGCAAGAGGATATTCGGACCACTTTGAGGCCTTCATAGGAAACAGTAATATCTTCGCATAAAAACTAGATAGAAGCATTGTCAGAAAGTTCTTTGTGATGTGTGAATTCAACTCACAGAGTTGAACCTTCCTTTAATAGAGCAGTTTTGAAACACTCCTTTTCTAGAATCTGCAAGTAGATATTTGGAGCGCTTTGAGGCCTTCGTTGGAAACCGGAATATCTTCACAGGAAAAGTAGATAGAGGCATTCTCAGAAACTTTTTTGTGATAAGTAGATTCAACTCACAGCGTTGAACCTTTCTTTTGATAGAGCAGTTTTGAAAAACTCTTTTATCGAATCTGCAAGTAGACATTTGGAGTGCTTTGAGGGCTGTGGTGCAAAAGGAAATGTCTTCCCATAGAAACTAGACTGAAGCATTCTCAGCAACTTCTTTGTGACGTTTGCATTCATCTCACAGTGTTGAACATACCTTTCCATAGAGTAGTTTTGAAACACTATTTTTGTAGAATCTGCAAGTGGATATTTGGACTGCTTTGAGGTCTTCATCGGAAACGGGAATATCTTCACATAAACACTAGACAGAAGCATTCTCAGAAACTTCTTTGTGATCTGTCCATTCAACTCACAGAGTTGAACCTTCCTTTTTATGGAGCAGTTTTGAAACACTGTTTTTGGAGAATCTGCAAGTGGATATTTGGAGCGCTTTGAGGCCTATGGTAGAAAAAGAAATATCTGCCTCTAAAAACTAGACAGAAGCATTCTCAGAAACTGCTTTGTGATATGTGCATTCGACTCACCGAGTTGAAATTTTTTTTGATAGAGCAGTTTTGAAACACTCTGTAGAATCTGAAAGTGGATATTTGGAGCTCTTTGAGGGCTATGGCGGAAAAGAAAATATATTCACATTAAAGTAGACAGCAGCATTCCCAGAAACTTCCTTAGGATGTTTGCAGTAAACTCACAGAGTTGAGCATTCCTTTCCGTAGAGCAGTTTTGAAACACTCTGTTTGTGGGATCCGCAAGTGGACATTTGGACCGCTTTGAGACCTTTGCTGGAAATGGGAATATCTTCACATATAAACTGGACAGAAGCATTCTCAGAAGCTTCTTCGTGATGTGTGCATTCTACTCCCAAATTTGAATCTTCCTTTTCATGAAGCAGTTTTGAAACACTCTGTTTGTGCAATCCACAATTGGATAATTGGAAAGCTTTGATGCCCATGGTAGAAAAGGAAATATCCTCATATAAAAACTAGACAGAAGGATTCACAGAAAATGCTTTGTGATGTGTGCATTCAAATCACGGAGTTGAATCTTTCTTTTGTTAGAGCAGATTTGAAAGACTGTTTCTGTGGAATCTGCCAGCGGACACTTGGAGCGCTTTGAGGGCTACGGTGGAGAAGGAAATATCTTCACATAAAAACTAGAAAGAAGCATTCTCAGAACCATTTATGTGAAGCGTCCTTTCAACTCACAGAGTTGAACCTTCCTTTTGATAGAACAGTTTTGAAACACTCTTTTGAACAATTGCAGGTGAATATTTGGAGGGCTTTGAAGCCTTTGTTGGAAATGGGAATATCTTCACACACAAACTAGCCAGAAGCTTTCTCAGAAACTTCTTTGTGATGTGTGCGTTGAACCCAGAGAGATCAACCTTTCCTTTGATAGAGCAGTTTTGAAACGTGTTTTTGTAAGATCTGCAAGCGGATAGTTGGCTTCGCTTTGTGTCCTTTGGTGGAAACGGGAATATCTTCTAATAAAAACTAGACAGAAATATTCTCACAATCTCCTTTGTGATGTGGGCATTCAACTAACACAGTTGAACATTTCTTTTCACAGAGCAGTTTTGAAACACTCTTTTGGTAGAATCTGCCAGTGGATATTTGGAGCGCTTTGAGGGCTGTTGTGCCAATGGAAATATCTGCCCCTAAAATCTAGACAGAAGCATTCTCAGAAACTACTTCGTGATGTTTGCATTCAACTCACAGAGTTGAACATAACTCTTCATAGAGCAATTTTGAAAACCTCTTTTTGGAGAATCTGCAAGTGGATATTCAGACCACTTTGAGGCCTTCATAGGAAACAGTAATATCTTCACATAAAAACTATATAGAAGCATTGTCAGAAAGTTCTTTGTGATGTGTGAATTCAACTCACAGAGTTGAACCTTCCTTCAATTGAGCAGTTGTGAAACACTCTTTTTCTAGAATCTGCAAGTAGATATTTGGAGCGCTTTGAGGCCTTCGTTGGAAACCGGAATATCTTCACAGGAAAAGTAGATAGAGGCATTCTCAGAAACTTTTTCGTGATATGTGGATTCAACTCACAGCGTTGAACCTTTCTTTTGATAGAGCAGTTTTGTAAAACTCTTTTATCGAATCTGCATGTAGACATTTGGAGTGCTTTGGGGGCTGTGGTGCAAAAGGAAATGTCTTCCCATAGAAACTAGACTGAAGCATTCTCAGCAACTTCTTGGTGACGTTTGCATTCATCTCACAGTGTTGAACATACCTTTCCATAGAGTAGTTTTGAAACACTGTTTTTGTAGAATCGGTAAGTGGATATTTGGACTGCTTTGAGGCCTTCATCGGAAACGGGAATATCTTCACATAAACACTAGAGAGAAGCATTCTCAGAAACTTCTTTGTGATCTGTCCATTCAACTCAGAGAGTTGAACCTTCCTTTTTATGGAGCAGTTTTGAAACACTGTTTGTGGAGAATCTGCAAGTGGATATTTGGAGCGCCTTGAGGCCAATGGTAGAAAAAGAAATATCTGCCTCTAAATACTAGACTGAAGCATTCTGAGAAACTTCTTTGTGATGTTTGCCTTCAACTACCAGAGTTGAACCTTCCTTTTGATAGGGCAGTTTGGAAACACTCTTTTTGTAGAATCTGCATGTGGATATCTGGAGCGATTTGAGGCCTACGGTCCAAAAGGAAATATCTTCCTGGGAAAAATAGACGAAAGCATTCTCAGAAACTGCTTTGTGATATGTGCATTCGACTCACCTAGTTGAAACTTTTTTTGGATAGAGCAGTTTTGAAACACTCTGTAGAATCTGAAAGTGGATATTTGGAGCTCTTTGAGGGCTATGGCGGAAAAGAAAATATATTCACATTAAACTAGACAGCAGCATTCTCAGAAACTTCTTTAGGATGTTTGCAGTAAACTCACAGAGTTGAACATACCTTTCGGTAGAGCAGTTTTGAAACACTGTTTGTGGGATCCGCAAGTGGATATTTGGACCGCTTTGAGACCTTTGCTGGAAATGGGAATATCTTCACATATAAACTAGACGGAAGCATTCTCAGAAACTTCTTCGTGATGTGTGCATTCTACTCCCAGATTTGAATCTTCCTTCTCATGAAGCAGTTTTGAAACACTCTATTTGTGCAAGCTACAATTGGATAATTGGAACGCTTTGATGCCCATGGTAGAGAAGGAAATATCCTCATATAAAAACTAGACAGAAGGATTCACAGAAAATGCTTTGTGATGTGTGCATTCAAATCACGGAGTTGAATATTTCTTTTGTTAGAGCAGTTTTGAAACACTGTTTCTGTGGAATCTGCCAGCGGACACTTGGAGCGCTTTGAGGGCTATGGTGGAGAAGGAAATATCTTCACATAAAAACTAGAAAGAAGCATTCTCAGAACCATTTATGTGAAGCGTGCGTTCAACTCACAGAGTTGAACCTTCCTTTTGATAGAACAGTTTTGAAACACTCTTTTGAACAATTGCAGGTGAATATTTGGAGGGCTTTGAAGCCTTTGTTGGAAATGGGAATATCGTCACACACAAACTAGCCAGAAGCATTCTCGGAAACTTCTTTGTGATGTGTGCGTTGAACCCAGAGAGATGAACCTTTCCTTTGATAGAGCAGTTTTGAAACGTGTTTTTGTAAGATCTGCAAGCAGATAATTGGCTTCGCTTTGTGTCCTTTGGTGGAAACGGGAATATCTTCTAATAAAAACTAGACAGAAATATTCTCAGAATCTTCTTTGTGATGTGGGCATTCAACTAACACAGTTGAACGTTTCTTTTCACAGAGCAGTTTTGAAACACTCTTTTGGTAGAATCTGCCAGTGGATATTTGGAGCGCTTTGAGGGCTATTGTGCCAACGAAAATATCTGCCCCTAAAAACTAGACAGAAGCATTCTCAGAAACTGCTTTGTGATGTTTGCATTCAACTCACAGAGTTGAACCTACCTTTTCATAGAGCAGTTTTGAAAACCTCTTTTTGTAGAATCTGCAAGAGGATATTCGGACCACTTTGAGGCCTTCATAGGAAACAGTAATATCTTCACATAAAAACTAGATAGAAGCATTGTCAGAAAGTTCTTTGTGATGTGTGAATTCAACTCACAGAGTTGAACCTTCCTTTAATAGAGCAGTTGTGAAACACTCTTTTTCTAGAATCTGCAAGTAGATATTTGGAGCGCTTTGAGGCCTTCGTTGGAAACCGGAATATCTTCACAGGAAAATTAGATAGAGGCATTCTCAGAAACTTTTTTTGTGATATGTAGATTCAACTCACAGTGTTGAACCTTTCTTTGGATGGAGCAGTTTTGAAAAACTCTTTTATCGAATCTGCAGGTAGACATTTGGGGTGCTTTGAGGGCTGTGGTGCAAAAGGAAATGTCTTCTCATAGAAACTAGACTGAAGCATTCTCAGCAACTTCTTTGTGACGTTTGCATTCATCTCACAGTGTTGAACATACCTTTTCATAGAGTAGTTTTGAAACACTATTTTTGTAGAATCTGCAAGTGGATATTTGGACTGCTCTGAGGCCTTCATCGGAAACGGGAATATCTTCACATAAACACTAGACAGAAGCATTCTCAGAAACTTCTTTGTCATCTGTCCATTCAACTCACAGAGTTGAACCTTCCTTTTTATGGAGCAGTTTTGAAACACTCCTTTTGGAGAATCTGCAAATGGATATTTGGAGCGCTTTGAGGCCTATGGTAGAAAAAGAAATATCTGCCTCTAAAAACCAGACAGAAGCATTCTGAGAAACTTCTTTGTGATGTTTGCATTCAACTACCAGAGTTGAACCTTCCTTTTGATAGGGCAGTTTGGAAACACTCTTTTTGTAGAATCTGCATGTGGATATCTGGAGCGATTTGAGGCCTACGGTCAAAAAGGAAATATCTTCCTGGGAAAAATAGATGAAAGCATTCTCAGAAACTGCTTTGTGATATGTGCATTCCACTCACCGAGTTGAAACTTTTTTTTGATAGAGCAGTTTTGAAACACTCTGTAGAATCTGAAAGTGGATATTTGGAGCTCTTTGAGGGCTATGGCGGAAAAGAAAATATATTCACATTAAAGTAGACAGCAGCGTTCTCAGAAACTTCTTTAAGATGTTTGCAGTAAACTCACAGAGTTGAACATACCTTTCCGTAGAGCAGTTTTGAAACACTCTGTTTGTGGGATCCGCAAGTGGATATTTGGACCGCTTTGAGACCTTTGCTGGAAATGGGAATATCTGCACATTTAAACTAGACAGAAGCATTCTCAGAAACTTCTTCGTGATGTGTGCATTCTACTCCCGAATGTGAATCTTCCTTTTCATGAAGCAGTTTTGAAACACTCTGTTTCTGCAATCCACAATTGGATAATTGGAACGCTTTGATGCCCATGGTAGAAAAGGAAATATCTTCATATAAAAACTAGACAGAAGGATTCACAGAAAATGCTTTGTGATGTGTGCATTCAAATCACGGAGTTGAATCTTTCTTTTGTGAGAGCAGTTTTGAAACACTGTTTCTGTGGAATCTGCCAGCGGACACTTGGAGCGCTTTTAGGGCTATGGTGGAGAAGGAAATATCTTCCCATAAAAACTAGAAAGAAGCATTCTCAGAACCATTTATGTGAAGCGTGCATTCAACTCACAGAGTTGAACCTTCCTTTTGATAGAACAGTTTTGAAACACTCTTTTGAACAATTGCAGGTGAATCTTTGGAGGGCTTTGAAGCCTTTGTTGGAAATGGGAATATCTTCACACACAAACTAGCCAGAAGCATTCTCAGAAACTTCTTTGTGATGTGTGCGTTGAACCCAGAGAGATGAACCATTCCTTTGATAGAGCAGTTTTGAAACGTGTTTTTGTAAGATCTGCAAGCGGATAGTTGGCTTCGGCTTTGTGTCCTTTGGTGGAAACGGGAATATCTTCTAATAAAAACTAGACAGAAAATATTCTCAGAATCTCCTTTGTGATGTGGGCATTCAACTTACACAGTTGAACATTTCTTTTCACAGAGCAGTTTTGAAACACTCTTTTGGTAGAATCTGCCAGTGGATATTTGGAGCGCTTGGAGGGCTATTGTGCCAATGGAAATATCTGCCCCTGAAAACTAGACAGAAGCATTCTCAGAAACTACTTCGTGATGTTTGCATTCAACACACAGAGTTGAACATACCTCTTCACAGAGCAGTTTTGAAAACCTCTTTCTGTAGAATCTGCAAGTGGATATTCAGACCACTTTGAGGCCTTCATAGGAAACAGTAATATCTTCACATAAAAACTAGATAGAAGCATTGTCAGAAAGTTCTTTGTGATGTGTGAATTCAACTCACAGAGTTGAACCTTCCTTTAATAGAGCAGTTTTGAAACACTCTTTTTCTAGAATCTGCAAGTAGATATTTGGAGCGCTTGGAGGCCTTCGTTGGAAACCGGAATATCTTCACAGGAAAAGTAGATAGAGGCATTCTCAGAATCTTTTTCGTGTTATGTGGATTCAACTCACAGCGTTGAACCTTTCTTTTGATAGAGCAGTTTTGTAAAACTCTTTTATCGAATCTGCAAGTAGACATTTGGAGTGCTTTCAGGGCTGTGGTGCAAAAGGAAATGTCTTCCCATAGAAACTAGACTGAAGCATTCTCAGCAACTTCTTGGTGACGTTTGCATTCATCTCACAGTGTTGAACATACCTTTCCATAGAGTGGTTTTGAAACACTGTTTTTGTAGAATCGGCAAGTGGATATTTGGACTGCTTTGAGGCCTTCATCGGAAACGGGAATATCTTCACATAAACATAGAGAGAAGCATTCTCAGGAAACTTCTTTGTGATCTGTCCATTCAACTCACAGAGTTGAACCTTCCTTTTTATGGAGCAGTTTTGAAACACTGTTTGTGGAGAATCTGCAAGTGGATATTTGGAGCGCCTTGAGGCCAATGGTAGAAAAAGAAATATCTGCCTCTAAATACTAGACTGAAGCATTCCGAGAAACTTCTTTGTGATGTTTGCATTCAACTAGCAGAGTTGAACCTTCCTTTTGATAGGGCAGTTTGGGAACACTCTTTTTGTAAAATCTGCATGTGGATATCTGGAGCGGTTTGAGGCCTACGGTCAAAAAGGAAATATCTTCCTGAGAAAAATAGACGAAAGCATTCTCAGAAACTGCTTTGTGATATGTGCATTCGACTCACCGAGTTGAAACTTTTTTTTGATAGAGCAGTTTTGAAACACTCTGTAGAATCTGAAAGTGGATATTTGGAGCTCGTTGAGGGCTATGGCGGAAAAGAAAAGATATTCACATTAAACTAGACAGCAGCATTCTCAGAAACTTCTTTAGGATGTTTGCAGTAAACTCACAGAGTTGAACATACCTTTCCGTAGAGCAGTTTTGAAACACTCTGTTTGTGGGATCCGCAAGTGGATATTTGGACCGCTTTGAGACCTTTGCTGCAAATGGGGATATCTTCACGTATAAACTAGACAGAAGCATTCTCAGAAACTTCTTCGTGATGTGTGCAGTCTACTCCCGAATTTGAATCTTCCTTTTCATGAAGCAGTTTTGAAACACTCTGTTTGTGCAATCCACAATTGGATAATTGGAACGCTTTGATGCCCATGGTAGAAAAGGAAATATCCTCATATAAAAACTAGACAGAAGGATTCACAGAAAATGCTTTGTGATGTGTGCATTCAAATCACGGAGTTGAATCTTTCTTTTGTCAGACCAGTTTTGAAACACTGTTTCTGTGGAATCTGCCAGCGGACACTTGGAGCGCTTTGAGGGCTATGGTGGAGAAGGAAATATCTTCCCCTAAAAACTAGAAAGAAGCATTCTCGGAAACATTTATGTGAAGCGTGCATTCAACTCACAGAGTTGAACCTTCCTTTTGATAGAACAGTTTTGAAACACTCTTTTGAACAATTGCAGGGGAATCTTTGGAGCGCTTTGAAGCCTTTGTTGGAAATGGGAATATCTTCACACACAAACTAGCCAGAAGCATTCTCAGAAACTTCTTTGTGATGTGTGCGTTGAACCCAGAGAGATGAACCTTTCCTTTGATAGAGCAGTTTTGAAACGTGTTTTTGTAAGATCTGTAAGCGGATAGTTGGCTTCGCTTTGTGTCCTTTGGTGGAAACGGGAATATCTTCTAATAAAAACTAGACAGAAATATTCTCACAATCTCCTTTGTGATGTGGGCATTCAACTAACACAGTTGAACATGTCTTTTCACAGAGCAGTTTTGAAACACTCTTTTGGTAGTATCTGCCAGTGGATATTTGGAGCGCTTTGAGGGCTGTTGTGCCAATGGAAATATCTGCCCTTAAAATCTAGACAGAAGCATTCTCAGAAACTACTTCGTGATGTCTGCATTCAACACACAGAGTTGAACATACCTCTTCACAGAGCAGTTTTGAAAACCTCTTTCTGTAGAATCTGCAAGTGGATATTCGGACCACTTTGAGCCCTTCATAGGAAACAGTAATATCTTCACATAAAAACTAGATAGAAGCATAGTCAGAAAGTTCTTTGTGATGTGTGAATTCAAATCACAGAGTTGAACCTTCCTTTAATAGAGCAGTTTTGAAACACTCTTTTTCTAGAATCTGCAAGTAGATATTTGGAGCGCTTTGAGGCCTTCGTTGGAAACCGGAATATCTTCACATAAAAAGCAGATAGTGGCATGCTCAGAAACTTTTTTGTCATATGTAGATTCAACTCACAACGTTGAACCTTTCTTTTGATAGAGCAGTTTTGAAAAACTCTTTTATCGAATCTGCAAGTAGACATTTGGAGTGCTTTGAGGGCTGTGGTGCAAAAGGAAATGTCTTCCCATAGAAACTAGACTGAAGCATTCTCAGCAACTTCTTGGTGACGTTTGCATGCATCTCACAGTGTTGAACATACCTTTGCATAGAGCGGTTTTGAAACACTATTTTTGTAGAATCTGCAAGTGGATATTTGGACTGCTTTGAGGCCTTCATCGGAAACGGGAATATCTTCACATAAACACTAGACAGAAGCATTCTCAGAAACTTCTTTGTGGTCTGTCCATTCATCTCACAGAGTTGAACCTTCTTTTTTATGGAGCAGTTTTGAAACACTGTTTTCGGAGAATCTGCAAGTGGATATTTGGAGCGCTTTGAGGCCTATGGTAGAAAAAGAAATATCTGCCTATGACAACTAGACAGAAGCATTCCGAGAAACTTCTTTGTGATGTTTGCATTCAACTAGCAGAGGTGAACCTTCCTTTTGATAGGGCAGTTTGGAAACACTCTTTTTGTAGAATCTGCATGTGGATATCTGGAGCGGTTTGAGGCCTACGGTCAAAAAGGAAATATCTTCCTGGGAAAAATAGACGAAAGCATTCTCAGAAACTGCTTTGTGATATGTGCATTCCACTCACCGAGTTGAAACTTTTTTTTGATAGAGCAGTTTTGAAACACTCTGTAGAATCTGAAAGTGGATATTTGGAGCTCTTTGAGGGCTATGGCGGAAAAGAAAATATATTCACATTAGACTAGAGAGGAGCATTCTCAGAAACTTCTTTAGGATGTTTGCAGTAAACTCACAGAGTTGAACATAAATTTCCGTAGAGCAGTTTTGAAACACTCTGTTTGTGGGATCCGCAAGGGGATATTTGGACCGCTTTGAGACCTTTGCTGGAAATGGGAATATCTTCACATATAAACTAGACAGAAGCATTCTCAGAAACTTCTTCGTGATGTGTGCATTCTACTCCCAAATTTGAATCTTCCTTTTCATGAAGCAGTTTTGAAACACTCTATTTGTAGAATCTACAATTGGATATTTGGAACTCTTTGATGCCCATGGTAGAAAAGGAAATATCCTCATATAAAAACTAGACAGAAGGATTCACAGAAAATGCTTTGTGATGTGTGCATTCATATCACGGAGTTGAACCTTTCTCTTGCTAGAGCAGTTTTGAAACACTGTCTCTGTGGAATCTGCCTGCGGACACTTGGAGCGCTTTGAGGGCTATGGTAGAGAAGGAAATATCTTCAGATAAAAACTAGAAAGAAGAATTCTCAGAACCATTTATGTGAAGCGTGCATTCAACTCACAGAGTTGAACCTTCCTTTTGATAGAACAGTTTTGAAACACTCTTTTGAACAATTGCAGGTGAATATTTGGAGGGCTTTGAAGCCTTTGTTGGAAACGGGAATATCTTCACACACGAACTAGCCAGAAGCATTCTCACAAACTTCTTTGTGATGTGTGCGTTGAACCCAGAGAGATGAACCTTTCCTTTGATAGAGCAGTTTTGAAACGTGTTTTTGTAAGATCTGCAAGCGGATAATTGGCTTCGCTTTGTGTCCTTTGGTGGAAACGGGAATATCTTCTAATAAAAACTAGACAGAAATATTCTCAGAATCTCCTTTGTGATGTGGGCATTCAACTAACACAGTTGAACATTTCTTTTCACAGAGCAGTTTTGAAACACTCTTTTGGTAGAATCTGCCAGTGGATATTTGGAGCGCTTGGAGGGCTATTGTGCCAATGGAAATATCTGCCCCTGAAATCTGGACAGAAGCATTCTCAGAAACTACGTTGTGATGTTTGCATTCAACTCACAGTGTTGAACATACCTCTTCATAGAGCAGTTTTGAAAACCTCTTTTGGTAGAATCTGCAAGTGGATATTTGGACCACTTTGAGGTCTTCATAGGAAACAGTAATATCTTCACATAAAAACTAGATGGAAGCATTGTCAGAAAGTTCTTTGTGATGTGTGAATTCAACTCACAGAGTTGAACCTTCCTTTAATAGAGCAGTTGTGAAACACTCTTTTTCTAGAATCTGCAGGTAGATATGTGGAGCGCTTTGAGGCCTTCGTTGGAAACCGGAATATCTTCACAGGAAAAGTAGATAGAGGCATTCTCAGAAACTTTTTTGTGATATGTAGATTCAACTCACAGCGTTGAACCTTTCTTTGGATGGAGCAGTTTTGAAAATCCCTTTTATCGAATCTGCAGGTAGACATTTGGGGTGCTTTGAGGGCTGTGGTGCAAAAGGAAATGTCTTCCCATAGAAACTAGACTGCAGCCTTCTCAGCAACTTCTTTGTGACGTTTGCATTCATCTCACAGTGTTGAACATACCTTTCCATAGAGTAGTTTTGAAGCACTATTTTTGTAGAATCTGCAAGTGGATATTTGGACTGCTTTGAGGCCTTCATCGGAAACGGGAATATCTTCACATAAACACTAGACAGAAGCATTCTCAGAAACTTCTTTGTCATCTGTCCATTCAACTCACAGAGTTGAAACTTCCTTTTTATGGAGCAGTTTTGAAACACTCCTTTTGGAGAATCTGCAGGTGGATATTTGGAGCGCTTTGAGGCCTATGGTAGAAAAAGAAATATCTGCCTCTAAAAACCAGACAGAAGCATTCCGAGAAACTTCTTTGTGATGTTTGCATTCAACTAGCAGAGTTGAACCTTCCTTTTGATAGGGCAGTTTGGATACACTCTTTTTGTAGAATCTGCATGTGGATATCTGGAGCGGTTTGAGGCCTACGGTCAAAAAGGAAATATCTTCCTGGGAAAAATAGACGAAAACATTCTCAGAAAGTGCTTTGTGATATGTGCATTCGACTCACCGAGTTGAAACTTTTTTTTGATAGAGCAGTTTTGAAACACTCTGTAGAATCTGAAAGTGGATATTTGGAGCTCTTTGAGGGCTATGGCGGAAAAGAAAATATATTCACATTAAAGTAGACAGCAGCATTCTCAGAAACTTCTTTAGGATGTTTGCAGTAAACTCACAGAGTTGAACTTACCTTTCCGTAGAGCAGTTTTGAAACACTCTGTTTGTGGGATCCGCAAGTGGATATTTGGACCGCTTTGAGACCTTTGCTGGAAATGGGAATATCTTCACATATAAACTAGACAGAAGCATTCTCAGAAACTTCTTGGTGATGTGTGCATTGTACTCCCAAATTTGAATCTTCCTTCTCATGGAGCAGTTTTGAAACACTCTGTTTGTGCAATCTACAATTGGAGAATTGGAACGCTTGGATGCCCGTGGTAGAAAAAGAAATATCCTCATATAAAAACTAGACAGAAGGATTCACAGAAAATCCTTTGTGATGTGTGCATTCAAATCACGGAGTTGAATCTTTCTTTTGTCAGAGCAGTTTTGAAACACTGTTTCTGTGGAATCTGCCAGCGGACACTTGGAGCGCTTTGAGGGCTGTGGTGGAGAAGGAAATATCTTCCCATAAAAACTAGAAAGAAGCATTCTCAGAGCCATTTATGTGAAGCGTGCATTCAACTCACAGAGTTGAACCTTCCTTTTGATAGAACAGTTTTTAAACACTCTTTTGAACAATTGCACGTGAATATTTGGAGGGCTTTGAAGCCTTTGTTGGAAATGGGAATATCTTCACACACAAACTAGCCAGAAGCATTCTCAGAAACTTCTTTGTGATGTGTGCGTTGAACCCAGAGAGATGAACCTTTCCTTTGAAAGAGCAGTTTTGAAACGTGTTTTTGTAAGATCTGCAAGCGGATAGTTGGCTTCGCTTTGTGTCCTTTGGTGGAAACGGGAATATCTTCTAATAAAATCTAGACAGAAATATTCTCAGAATCTTCTTTGTGATGTGGGCATTCAACTAACACAGTTGAACGTTTCTTTGCACAGAGCAGTTTTGAAACACTCTTTTGGTAGAATCTGCCAGTGGATATTTGGAGCGCTTTGAGGGCTATTGTGCCAACGGAAATATCTGCCCCTAAAAACTAGACAGAAGCATTCTCAGAAACTGCTTTGTGATGTTTGCATTCAACTCACAGACTTGAACATACCTCTGCATAGAGCACTTTTGGAAACCTCTTTTTGTAGAATCTGCAAGTGGATATTCGGAACACTCTGAGGCCTTCATAGGAAACAGTAATATCTTCACATAAAAAATAGATAAAAGCATTGTCAGAAAGTTCTTTGTGATGTGTGAATTCAACTCACAGAGTTGAACCTTCCTTTCATAGAGCAGTTTTGAAACACTCTTTTTCTAGAATCTGCAAGTAGATATTTAGAGCGCTTTGAGGCCTTCGTTGGAAACCGGACTATCTTCACGTAAAAAGTAGATAGAGGCATTCTCAGAAAACTTTTTTGTGATATGTAGATTCCACTCACAGCGTTGAACCTTTCTTTTGATAGAGCAGTTTTGAAAAATTCTTTTATCGAATCTGCAAGTAGACATTTGGGGTGCTTTGAGGGCTGTGGTGCAAAAGGAAATGTCTTCCCATGGAAACTAGACTGAAGCATTCTCAGCAACTTCTTCGTGAGGTTTGCACTCATCTCACAGTGTTGAACAGACCTTTCCATAGAGTAGTTTTGAAACACTATTTTTGTAGAATCTGCAACTGGATATTTGGACTGCTTTGAGGCCTTCATCGGAAACGGGAATATCTTCACATAAACACTAGAGAGAAGCATTCTCAGAAACTTCTTTGTCATCTGTCCATTCAACTCACAGAGTTGAACCTACCTTTTTATGGAGCAGTTTTGAAACACTCCTTTTGGAGAATCTGCAAGTGGATATTTGGAGCGCTTTGAGGCCTATGGTAGAAAAAGAAATATCTGCCTCTAAAAACCAGACAGAAGCATTCTGAGAAAAGTTCTTTGTGATGTTTGCATTCAACTAGGCAGAGTTGAACCTTCCTTTTGATAGGGCAGTTTGGAAACACTCTTTTTGTAGAATCTTCATGTGGATATCTGGAGCGGTTTGAGGCCTACGGTCAAAAAGGAAATATCTTCCTGGGAAAAATAGACGAAAGCATTCTCAGAAAGGGCTTTGTGATATGCGCATTCGACTCACCGAGTTGAAACTTTTTTTTGATACAGCAGTTTTGTAACACTCTGTAGAATCTGAAAGTGGATATTTGGAGCTCTTTGAGGGCTATGGCGGAAAAGAAAATATATTCACATTAAAGTAGACAGCAGCATTCTCAGAAACTTCTTTATGATGTTTGCATCAAACTCACAGAGTTGAACATACCTTTCCATAGAGCAGTTTTGAAACACTCTTTTTGTGGAATCCGCAAGTGGATATTTGGACCGCTTTGAGACCTTCGCTGGAAATGGGAATATCTTCACATATAAACTGGACTGAAGCATTCTCAGAAACTTCTTCGTGATGTGTGCATTCTACTCCCAAATATGAATCTTCCTTTTCATGAAGCAGTTTTGAAACACTCTATTTGTGCATTCTACAATTGGATGATTGGAACGCTTTGATGTCCATGGTAGAAAAGGAAATATCCTCATATAAAAACTAGACAGAAGGATTCACAGAAAATGTTTTGTGATGTGGGCATTCAAATCACGGAGTTGAATCTTTCTTTTGTTAGAGCAGTTTTGAAACACTGTTTCTGTGGAATCTGCCAGCAGACACTTGGAGCGCTTTGAGGGCTGTGGTGGAGAAGGAAATATCTTCCCATAAAAACTAGAAAGAAGCATTCTCAGAAACATTTATGTGAAGCGTGCATTCAACTCACAGAGTTGAACCTTCCTTTTGATAGAACAGTTTTGAAACACTCTTTTGAACAATTGCAGGTGAATCTTTGGAGCGCTTTGAAGCCTTTGTTGGAAATGGGAATATCTTCACACACAAACTAGCCAGAAGCATTCTCAGAAACTTCTTTGTGATGTGTGTGTTGAACCCAGAGAGATGAACCTTTCCTTTGATAGAGCAGTTTTGAAACGTGTTTTTGTAAGATCTGCAAGCGGATAATTGGCTTCGCTTTGTGTCCTTTGGTGGAAACGGGAATATCTTCTAATAAAAACTAGACAGAAATATTCTCAGAATCTTCTTTGTGATGTGGGCATTCAGCTAACACAGTTGAACGTTTCTTTTCACAGAGCAGTTTTGAAACACTCTTTTGGTAGAATCTGCCAGTGGATATTTGGAGCGCTTTGAGGGCTAATGTGCCAATGGAAATATCTGCCCCTAAAAACTAGACAGAAGCATTCTCAGAAACTACATTGTGATGTTTGCATTCGACTCACAGAGTTGAACATACCTCTTCATAGAGCAGTTTTTAAAACCTTTTTTGTAGAACCTGAAAGTTGATATTCGGACCACTTTGAAGCCTTCATAGGAAACAGTAATATCTTCACATAAAACCTAGATAGAAGCATTGTCAGAAAGTTCTTTGTGATGTGTGAATTCAACTCACAGAGTTGAACCTTCCTTTAATAGAGCAGTTTTGAAACACTCTTTTTCTAGAATCTGCCAGTAGATAATTGGAGCGCTTTGAGGCCTTCGTTGGAAACCGGAATATCTTCACATAAAAAGTAGATAGAGGCATTCTCAGAAACTTTTTCGTGATATGTGGATTCAACTCACAGCGTTGAAACTTTCTTTTGATAGAGCAGTTTTGTAAAACTCTTTTATCGAATCTGCAAGTAGACATTTGGAGTGCTTTGAGGGCTGTGGTGCAAAAGGAAATGTCTTCCCATAGAAACTAGACTGAAGCATTCTCAGCAACTTCTTTGTGACGTTTGCATTCAAATCACAGTGTTGAACATACCTTTGCATAGAGTAGTTTTGAAACACTATTTTTGTAGAATCTGCAAGTGGATATTTGGACTGCTTTGAGGCCTTCATCGGAAACGGGAATATCTTCACATAAACACTGGACAGAAGCATTCTCAGAAACTTCTTTGTGGTCTGTCCATTCAACTCACAGAGTTGAACCTTCCTTTTTATGGAGCAGTTTTGAAACACTGTTTTTGGAGAATCTGCAAGTGGATATTTGGAGCGCTTTGAGGCCTATGGTAGAAAAAGAAATATCTGCCTATGACAACTAGACAGAAGCATTCCGAGAAACTTCTTTGTGATGTTTGCATTCAACTAGCAGAGTTGAACCTTCCTTTTGGTAGGGCAGTTTGGAAACACTCTTTTTGTAGAATCTGCATGTGGATATCTGGAGCGGTTTGAGGCCTACGGTCAAAAAGGAAATATCTTCCTGGGAAAAATAGACGAAAGCATTCTCAGAAAGTGCTTTGTGATATGTGCATTCGACTCACCGAGTTGAAACTTTTTTTTGATAGAGCAGTTTTGAAACACTCTGTAGAATCTGAAAGTGGATATTTGGAGCTCTTTGAGGGCTATGGCGGAAAAGAAAATATATTCACATTAAAAAAGTAGACAGCAGCATTCTCAGAAACTTCTTTAGGATGTTTGCAGTAAACTCACAGAGTTGAACATACCTTTCCGTAGAGCAGTTTTGAAACACTCTGTTTGTGGGATCCGCAAGTGGATATTTGGACCCCTTTGAGACCTTTGCTGGAAACGGGAATATCTTCACATATAAACTAGACAGAAGCATTCTCAGAAACTTCTTCGTGATGTGTGCATTGTACTCCCAAATTTGAATCTTCCTTCTCATGGAGCAGTTTTGAAACACTCTGTTTGTGCAATCTACAATTGGAGAATTGGAAGGCTTGGATGCCCGTGGTAGAAAAGGAAATATCCTCATATAAAAACTAGACAGAAGGATTCACAGAAAATGCTTTGTGATGTGTGCATTCAAATCGCGGAGTTGAATCTTTCTTTTGTTAGAGCAGTTTTGAAACACTGTTTCTGTGGAATCTGCCAGCGGACACTTGGAGCGCTTTGAGGGCTATGGTGGAGAAGGAAATATGTTCACATAAAAACTAGAAAGAAGCATTCTCAGAAACATTTATGTGAAGCGTGCATTCAACTCACAGAGTTGAACCTTCCTTTCGATACAACAGTTTTGAAACACTCTTTTGAACAATTGCAGGTGAATCTTTGGAGCGCTTTGAAGCCTTTGTTGGAAATGGGAATATCTTCACACACAAACTAGCCAGAAGCATTCTCAGAAACTTCTTTGTGATGTGTGCGTTGAACCCAGAGAGATGAACCTTTCCTTGGATAGAGCAGTTTTGAAACGTGTTTTTGTAAGATCTGCAAGCGGATAATTGGCTTCGCTTTGTGTCCTTTGGTGGAAACGGGAATATCTTCTGATAAAAACTAGACAGAAATATTCTCAGAATCTCCCTTTGTGATGTGGGCATTCAACTAACACAGTTGAACATTTCTTTTCACAGAGCAGTTTTGAAACACTCTTTTGGTAGAATCTGCCAGTGGATATTTGGAGCGCTTGGAGGGCTATTGTGCCAATGGAAATATCTGCCCCTGAAAACTAGACAGAAGCATTCTCAGAAACTGCTTCGGGATGTTTGCATTCAACTCACAGAGTTGAACATACCTCTGCATAGAGCAGTTTTGAAAACCTCTTTTTGTAGAATCTGCAAGTGGATATTCGGACCACTTTGAGGCCTTCATAGGAAACAGTAATATCTTCACATAAAAACTAGATAGAAGCATTGTCAGAAAGTTCTTTGTGATGTGTGAATTCAACTCACAGAGTTGAACCTTCCTTTAATAGAGCAGTTTTGAAACACTCTTTTTCTAGAATCTGCCAGTAGATATTTGGAGCGCTTTGAGGCCTTCGTTGGAAACAGGAATATCTTCACATAAAAAGTAGATAGAGGCATTCTCAGAAACTTTTTTGTGATATGTAGATTCAACTCACAGCGTTGAACCTTTCTTTGGATGGAGCAGTTTTGAAAAACTCTTTTATCGAATCTGCAGTTAGACATTTGGGGTGCTTTGAGGGCTGTGGTGCAAAAGGAAATGTCTTCCCATAGAAACTAGACTGAAGCATTCTCAGCAACTTCTTGGTGACGTTTGCATTCATCTCACAGTGTTGAACATACCTTTCCATAGAGTGGTTTTGAATCACTGTTTTTGTAGAATCGGCAAGTGGATATTTGGACTGCTTTGAGGCCTTCATCGGAAACGGGAATATCTTCACATAAACACTAGAGAGAAGCATTCTCAGAAACTTCTTTGTCATCTGTCCATTCAACTCACAGAGTTGAACCTTCCTTTTTCTGGAGCAGTTTTGAAACACTCTTTTTGGAGAATCTGCAAGTGGATATTTGGAGCGCTTTGAGGCCTATGGTAGAAAAAGAAATATCTGCCCCTAAACACCAGACAGAAGCATTCCGAGAAACTTCTCTGTGATGTTTGCCTTCAACTAGCAGAGTTGAACCTTCCTTTTGATAGGGCAGTTTGGAAACACTCTTTTTGTAGAATCTGCATGTGGATATATGGAGCGGTTTGAGGCCTACGGTCAAAAAGGAAATATCTTCCTGGGATAAATAGACGAAAGCATTCTCAGAAACTGCTTTGTGATATGTGCATTCGACTCACCGAGTTGAAAATTTTTTTTGATAGAGCAGTTTTGAAACACTCTGTAGAATCTGAAAGTGGATATTTGGAGCTCTTTGAGGGCTACGGCGGCAAAGAAACTATATTCACATTAAAGTAGACAGCAGCATTCTCAGAAACTTCTTTAGGATGTTTGCAGTAAACTCACAGAGTTGAACATACCTTTCCGTAGAGCAGTTTTGAAACACTCTGTTTGTGGGATCCGCAAGTGGATATTTGGACCGCTTTGACACCTTTGCTGGAAATGGGAATATCTTCACATATAAACTAGACAGAAGCATTCTCAGAAACTTCTTCGTGATGTGTGCATTCTACTCCCAAATTTGAATCTTCCTTTTCATGAAGCAGTTTTGAAACACTCTGTTTGTGCATTCTACAATTGGATGATTGGAACGCTTTGATGTCCATGGTAGAAAAGGAAATATCCTCATATAAAAACTAGACAGAAGGATTCACAGAAAATGCTTTGTGATGTGTGCATTCAAATCACGGAGTTGAATCTTTCTTTTGTCAGAGCAGTTTTGAAACACTGTTTCTGTGGAATCTACCAGCGGACACTTGGAGCGCTTTGAGGGCTATGGTGGAGAAGGAAATATCTTCACATAAAAACTAGAAAGAAGCATTCTCGGAAACATTTATGTGAAGCGTGCCTTCAACTCACAGAGTTGAACCTTCCTTTTGATAGAACAGTTTTGAAACACTCTTTTGAACAATTGCAGGTGAATCTTTGGAGCGCTTTGAAGCCTTTGTTGGAAATGGGAATATCTTCACACACAAACTAGCCAGAAGAATTCTCAGAAACTTCTTTGTGATGTGTGCGTTGAACCCAGAGAGATGAACCTTTCCTTTGATAGAGCAGTTTTGAAACGTGTTTTTGTAAGATCGGCAAGCGGATAATTGGCTTCGCTTTGTGTCCTTTGGTGGAAACGGGAATATCTTCTAATAAAAACTAGACAGAAATATTCTCAGAATCTCCTTTGTGATGTGGGCATTCAACTAACACAGTTGAACATTTCTTTTCACAGAGCAGTTTTGAAACACTCTTTTGGTAGAATCTGCATGTGGATATTTGGAGCGCTTGGAGGACTATTGTGCCAATGGAAATATCTGCCCCTGAAAACTAGACAGAAGCATTCTCAGAAACTGCTTCGTGATGTTTGCATTCAACTCACAGACTTGAACATACCTCTGCATAGAGCAGTTTTGAAAACCTCTTTTTGTAGAATCTGCAAGTGGATATTCGGACCACTCTGAGGCCTTCATAGGAAACAGTAATATCTTCACATAAAAACTAGATAGAAGCATTGTCAGAAAGTTCTTTGTGATGTGTGAATTCAACTCACAGAGTTGAACCTTCCTTTAATAGAGCAGTTTTGAAACACTCTTTTTCTAGAATCTGCTAGTAGATATTTGGAGTGCTTGGAGGCCTTCTTTGGAAACCGGAATATCTTCACAGGAAATGTAGATAGAGGCATTCTCAGAAACTTTTTTGTGATATGTAGTTTCAACTCACAGCGTTGAACCTTTCTTTTGATAGAGCAGTTTTGAAAAACTCTTTTATCGAATCTGCCAGTAGACCTTTGGAGTGCTTTGAGGGCTGTGGTGCAAAAGGAAATGTCTTCCCATAGAAACTAGACTGAAGCATTCTCAGCAACTTCTTGGTGACGTTTGCATTCATCTCACAGTGTTGAACATACCTTTCCATAGAGTAGTTTTGAAACACTGTTTTTGTAGAATCGGTAAGTGAATATTTGGACTGCTTTGAGGCCTTCATCGGAAACGGGAATATCTTCACATAAACACTAGAGAGAAGCATTGTCGGAAACTTCTTTGTGATCTGTCCGTTCAACTCACAGAGTTGAACCTTCCTTTTTATGGAGCAGTTTTGAAACACTGTTTGTGGAGAATCTGCAAGTGGATATTTGGAGCGCCTTGAGGCCAATGGTAGAAAAAGAAATATCTGCCTCTAAATACTAGACTGAAGCATTCTGAGAAACTTCTTTGTGATGGTTGCATGCAACTACAAGAGTTGAACCTTCCTTTTGATAGGGCAGTTTGGAAACACTCTTTTTGTAGAATCTGCATGTGGATATCTGGAGCGATTTGAGGCCTATGGTCAAAAAGGAAATATTTTCCTGGGAAAAATAGACGAAAGCATTCTCAGAAAGTGCTTTGTGATATGTGCATTCGACTCACCGAGTTGAAACTTTTTTTTGATAGAGAAGTTTTGAAACACTCTGTAGAATCTGAAAGTGGATATTTGGAGCTCTTTGAGGGCTATGGCGGAAAAGAAAATATATTCACATTAAAAAAGTAGACAGCAGCATTCTCAGAAACTTCTTTAGGATGTCTGCAGTAAACTCACAGAGTTGAACATACCTTTCCGTAGAGCAGTTTTGAAACACTCTGTTTGTGGGATCCACAAGTGGATATTTGGACAGCTTTGAGATCTTTGCTGGAAATGGGAATATCTTCACATATAAACTAGACAGAAGGATTCACAGAAAATGCTTTGTGATGTGTGCATTCAAATCACGGAGTTGAATCTTTCTTTTATTAGAGCAGTTTTGAAACACTCTATTTGTGCAATCTACAATTGGATAATTGGAACCCTTTGATGCCCATGGTAGAAAATGAAATATCCTCATATAAAAACTAGACGGAAGGATTCACAGAAAATGCTTTGTGATGTGTGCATTCAGATCACGGAGTTGAATCTTTCTTTTGTTAGAGCTGTTTTGAAACACTGTTTCTGTGGAATCTGCCAGCGGACACTTGGAGCGCTTTGAGGGCTATGGTGGAGAAGGAAATATCTTCACATAAAAACTAGAAAGAAGCATTCTCAGAAACATTTATGTGAAGCGTGCATTCAACTCACAGAGTTGAACCTTCCTTTTGATACAACAGTTTTGAAACACTCTTTTGAACAATTGCAGGTGTATCTTTGGAGCGCTTTGAAGCCTTTGTTGGAAATGGGAATATCTTCACACACAAACTAGCCAGAAGCATTCTCAGAAACTTCTTTGTGATGTGTGCGTTGAACCCAGAGAGATGAACCTTTCCTTTGATAGAGCAGTTTTGAAACGTGTTTTTGTAAGATCGGCAAGCGGATAATTGGCTTCGCTTTGTGTCCTTTGGTGGAAACTGGCATGTCTTCTAATAAAAACTAGACAGAAATATTCTCAGAATCTCCTTTGTGATGTGGGCATTCAACTAACACAGTTGAACATTACTTTTCACAGAGCAGTTTTGAAACACTCTTTTGGTAGAATCTGCCAGTGGATATTTGGAGCGCTTGGAGGGCTATTGTGCCAATGGAAATATCTGCCCCTGAAAACTAGACAGAAGCATTCTCAGAAACTGCTTCGTGATGTCTGCATTCAACACACAGAGTTGAACATACCTCTTCACAGAGCAGTTTTGAAAACCTCTTTCTGTAGAATCTGCAAGTGGATATTCGGACCACTTTGAGGCCTTCATAGGAAACAGTAATATCTTCACATAAAAACTAGATAGAAGCATTGTCAGAAAGTTCTTTGTGATGTGGGAATTCAACACACAGAGTTGAACCTTCCTTTAATAGAGCAGTTTGAAACACTCTTTTTCTAGAATCTGCCAGTAGATATTTGGAGCGCTTTGAGGCCTTCGTTGGAAACCGGAATATCTTCACATAAAACGTAGATAGAGGCATTCTCAGAAACTTTTTTGTGATATGTAGATTCAACTCACAGCGTTGAACCTTTCTTTGGATGGAGCAGTTTTGAAAAACACTTTTATCGAATCTGCAGGTAGACATTTGGGGTGCTTTGAGGGCTGTGGTGCAAAAGGAAATGTCTTCCCATAGAAACTAGACTGAAGCATTCTCAGCAACTTCTTTGTGACGTTTGCATTCATCTCACAGTGTTAAACATACCTTTCCATAGAGTAGTTTTGAAGCACTATTTTTGTAGAATCTGCAAGTGGATATTTGGAATGCTTTGAGGCCTTCATCGGAAACGGGAATATCTTCACATAAACACTAGACAGAAGCATTCTCAGAAACTTCTTTGTGATCTGTCCATTCAACTCACAGAGTTGAACCTTCCTTTTTATGGAGCAGTTTTGAATCACTGTTTTTGTAGAATCTGCAAGTGGATATTTCGAGCGCTTTGAGGCCTATGGTAGAAAAAGAAATATCTGCCTCTAAAAACCAGACAGAAGCATTCTGAGAAACTTCTTTGTGATGTTTGCATTCAACTACCAGAGTTGAACCTTCCTTTTGATAGGGCAGTTTGGAAACAGTCTTTTTGTAGAATCTGCATGTGGATATCTGGAGCGATTTGAGGCCTACGGTCCAAAAGGAAATATCTTCCTGGGAAAAATAGACGAAAGCATTCTCAGTAAACTGCTTTGTGATATGTGCATTCGACTCACCGAGTTGAAACTTTTTTTTGATAGAGCAGTTTTGAAACACTCTGTAGAATCTGAAAGTGGATATTTGGAGCTCTTTGAGGGCTATGGCGGCAAAGAAACTATATTCACATTAAAGTAGACAGCAGCATTCTCAGAAACTTCTTTAGGATGTTTGCAGTAATCTCACAGAGTTGAACCTACCTTTCCGTAGAGCAGTTTTGAAACACTCTGTTTGTGGGATCCGCAAGTGGATATTTGGACCGCTATGAGACCTTTGCTGGAAATGGGAATATCTTCACATATAAACTAGACAGAAGCATTCTCAGAAACTTCTTGGTGATGTGTGCATTGCACTCCCAATTTTGAATCTTCCTTCTCATGGAGCAGTTTTGAAACACTCTGTTTGTGCAATCTACAATTGGATAATTGGAACGCTTGGATGCCCATGGTAGAAAAGGAAATATCCTCATATAAAAACTAGACAGAAGGATTCACAGAAAATGCTTTGTGATGTGTGCATTCAAATCACGGAGTTGAATCTTTCTTTTGTTAGAGCAGTTTTGAAACACTGTTTCTGTGGAATCTGCCAGCGGACACTAGGAGCGCTTTGAGGGCTACGGTGGAGAAGGAAATATCTTCACACAAAAACTAAAAAGAAGCATTCTCAGAAACATTTATGTGAAGCGTGCATTCAACTCACAGAGTTGAACCTTCCTTTTGATACAACAGTTTTGAAACACTCTTTTGAACAATTGCAGGTGAATCTTTGGAGCGCTTTGAAGCCTTTGTTGGAAATGGGAATATCTTCACACAAACTAGCCAGATGCATTCTCAGAAACTTCTTTGTGATGTGTGCGTTGAACCCAGAGAGATGAACCTTTCCTTTGATAGAGCAGTTTTGAAACGTGTTTTTGTAAGATCGGCAAGCGGATAATTGGCTTCGCTTTGTGTCCTTTGGTGGAAACGGGAATATCTTCTAATAAAATCTAGACAGAGATATTCTCAGAAACTTCTTTGTGATGTGGGCATTCAACTGACACAGTTGAACATTTCTTTTCACAGAGCAGTTTTGAAACACTCTTTTGGTCGAATCTGCCAGTGGATATTTGGAGCGCTTTGAGGGCTATTGTGCCAATGGAAATATCTGCCCCTAAAAACTAGACAGAAGCATTCTCAGAAACTGCTTTGTGATGTTTGCATTCAACTCACAGAGGTGAACATACCTCTTCATAGAGCAGTTTTGAAAACCTCTTTTTGTAGAATCTATAAGTGGATATTCGGACCACTTTGAGGTCTTCATAGGAAACAGTAATATCTTCACATAAAAACTAGAGAGAAGTATTGTCAGAAAGTTCTTTGTGATGTGTGAATTCAACTCACAGAGTTGAACCTTCCTTTAATAGAGCAGTTTTGAAACACTCTTTTTCTAGAATCTGCAAGTAGATATTTGGAGCGCTTTGAGGCCTTCGTTGGAAACTGGAATATCTTCACATAAAAAGTAGATAGAGGCATTCTCAGAAACTTTTTTGTGATATGTAGATTCAACTCACAGCATTGAACCTTTCTTTGGATGGAGCAGTTTTGAAAAACTCTTTTATCGAATCTGCAGGTAGACATTTGGGGTGCTTTGAGGGCTGTGGTGCAAAAGGAAATGTCTTCCCATAGAAACTAGACTGAAGCATTCTCAGCAACTTCTTGGTGACGTTTGCATTCATCTCACAGTGTTGAACATACCTTTCCATAGAGTGGTTTTGAAACACTGTTTTTGTAGAATCGACAAGTGGATATTTGGACTGCTTTGAGGCCTTCATCGGAAACGGGAATATGTTCACATAAACACTAGAGAGAAGCATTCTCAGAAACTTCTTTGTGATCTGTCCATTCAACTCACAGAGTTGAACCTTCCTTTTTATGGAGCAGTTTTGAAACACTGTTTGTGAAGAATCTGCAAGTGGATATTTGGAGCGCCTTGAGGCCAATGGTAGAAAAAGAAATATCTGCCTCTAAATACTAGACTGAAGCATTCTGAGAAACTTCTTTGTGATGTTTGCATTCAACTACCAGAGTTGAACCTTCCTTTTGATAGGGCAGTTTGGAAACACTCATTTTGTAGCATCTGCATGTGGATATCTGGAGCGATTTGAGGCCTACGGTCAAAAAGGAAATATCTTCCTGGGAAAAATAGACGAAAGCATTCTCAGAAACTGCTTTGTGATATGTGCATTCGAATCACCGAGTTCAAACTTTTTTTTCATAGAGCAGTTTTGAAACACTCTGTAGAATCTGAAAGTGGCTATTTGGAACTCTTTGAGGGCTATGGCGGAAAAGAAAATATATTCACATTAAATTAGACAGCAGCATTCTCAGAAACTTCTTTAGGATGTCTGCAGTAAACTCACAGAGTTGAACATACCTTTCCGTAGAGCAGTTTTGAAACACTCTGTGGGATCCACAAGTGGATATTTGGACAGCTTTGAGATCTTTGCTGGAAATGGGAATATCTTCACATATAAACTAGACAGAAGCATTCTCAGAAACTTCTTCGTGATGTGTGCATTGTACTCCCAAATTTGAATCTTCCTTCTCATGGAGCAGTTTTGAAACACTCTGTTTGTGCAATCTACACTTGGATAATTGGAACGCTTGGATGCCCATGGTAGAAAAGGAAATATCGTCATATAAAAACTAGACAGAAGGATTCACAGAAAATGCTTTGTGATGTGTGCATTCAAATCACGGAGTTGAATCTTTCTTTTGTCAGAGCAGTTTTGAAACACTGTTTCTGTGGAATCTGCCAGCGGACACTTTGAGCGCTTTGAGGGCTATGGTAGAGAAGGAAATATCTTCCCATAAAAACTAGAAAGAAGCATTCTCAGAACCATTTATGTGAAGCGTGCGTTCTACTCACAGAGTTGAACCTTCCTTTTGATAGAACAGTTTTGAAACACTCTTTTGAACAATTGCAGGTGAATATTTGGAGGGCTTTGAAGCCTTTGTTGGAAATGGGAATATCTTCACACACAAACTAGCCAGAAGCATTCTCAGAAAATTCTTTGTGATGCGTGCGTTGAACCCAGAGAGATGAACCTTTCCTTTGATAGAGCAGTTTTGAAACGTGTTTTTGTAAGATCTGCAAGCGGATAATTGGCTTCGCTTTGTGTCCTTTGGTGGGAACGGGAATATCTTCTAATAAAAACTAGACAGAAATATTCTCAGAATCTCCTTTGTGATGTGGGCATTCAACTAACACAGTTGAACATTTCTTATCACAGAGCAGTTTTGAAACACTCTTTTGGTAGAATCTGCCAGTGGATATTTGGAGCGCTTGGAGGGCTATTGTGCCAATGGAAATATCTGCCCCTGAAAACTAGACAGAAGCATTCTCAGAAACTGCTTCGGGATGTTTGCATTCAACTCACAGAGTTGAACATACCTCTGCATAGAGCAGTTTTGAAAACCTCTTTTTGTAGAATCTGCAAGTGGATATTCGGACCACTTTGAGGCCTTCATGGGAAACAGTAATATCTTCACATAAAAACTACATAGAAGCATTGTCCGGAAGTTCTTTGTGATGTGTGAATTCAACTCACAGAGTTGAAACTTCCTTTAATAGAGCAGTGTTGAAACACTCTTTTTCTAGAATCTGCAAGTAGATATTTGGAGCGCTTGGAGGCCTTCGTTGTAAACCGGAATATCTTCACAGGAAATGTAGATAGAGGCATGCTCAGAAACTTTTATGTCATATGTAGATTCAACTCACAGCGTTGAACCTTTCTTTTGATAGAGCAGTTTTGAAAAACTCTTTTATCGAATCTGCAAGTAGACATTTGGAGTGCTTTGAGGGCTCTGGTGCAAAAGGAAATGTCTTCCCATAGAAACTAGACTGAAGCATTCTCAGCAACTTCTTGGTGACGTTTGCATTCACCTCACAGTGTTGAACATACCTTTCCATAGAGTGGTTTTGAAACACAGTTTTTGTAGAATCGGCAAGTGGATATTTGGACTGCTTTGAGGCCTTCATCGGAAACGGGAATATCTTCACATAAACACTAGAGAGAAGCATTCTCAGAAACTTCCTTGTGGTCTGTCCATTCAACTCACAGAGTTGAACCTTCCTTTTTATGGAGCAGTTTTGAAACACTGTTTTCGGAGGATCTGCAAGTGGATATTTGGAGCGCTTTGAGGCCTATGGTAGTAAAAGAAATATCTGCCTATGACAACTAGACAGAAGCATTCCGAGAAACTTCTCTGTGATGTTTGCATTCAACTAGCAGAGTTGAACCTTCCTTTTGATAGGGCAGTTTGGAGACACTCTTTTTGTAGAATCTGCATGTGGATATCTGGAGCGGTTTGAGGCCTACGGTCAAAAAGGAAATATCTTCCTGGGAAAAATAGACGAAAGCATTCTCAGAAACTGCTTTGTGATATGTGCATTCGACTCACCGAGTTGAAACTTTTTTTTGATAGAGCAGTTTTGAAACACTCTGTAGAATCTGAAAGTGGATATTTGGAGCTCTTTGAGGGCTATGGCGGCAAAGAAACTATATTCACATTAAAGTAGACAGCAGCATTCTCAGAAACTTCTTTAGGATGTTTGCAGTAAACTCACAGAGTTGAACCTACCTTTCCGTAGAGCAGTTTTGAAACACTCTGTTTGTGGGATCCACAAGTGGATATTTGGACCGCTTTGAGACCTTTGCTGGAAATGGGAATATCTTCACATATAAACTAGACAGAAGCATTCTCAGAAACTTCTTCGTGATGTGTGCATTCTACTCCCAAATTTGAATCTTCCTTTTCATGAAGCAGTTTTGAAACACTCTATTTGTGCAATCTACAATGGGATAATTGGAACGCTTTGATGCCCATGGTAGAAAAGGAAATATCCTCATATAAAAACTAGACAGAAGGATTCACAGAAAATGCTTTGTGATGTGTGCATTCAAATCACGGAGTTGAATCTTTCTTTTGTTAGATCAGTTTTGAAACACTGTTTCTGTGGAATCTGCCAGCGGACACTTGGAGCGCTTTGAGGGCTATGGTGGAGAAGGAAATATCTTCACATAAAAACTAGAAAGAAGCATTCTCAGAACCGTTTATGTGAAGCGTGCATTCAACTCACAGAGTTGAACCTTCCTTTTGATAGAACAGTTTTGAAACACTCTTTTGAACAATTGCAGGTGAATATTTGGAGGGCTTTGAAGCCTTTGTTGGAAATGGGAATATCTTCACACACAAACTAGCCAGAAGCATTCTCAGAAACTTCTTTGTGATGTGTGCGTTGAACCCAGAGAGATGAACCTTTCCTTTGATAGAGCAGTTTTGAAACGTGTTTTTGTAAGATCTGCAAGCGGATAGTTGGCTTAGCTTTGTGTCCTTTGGTGGAAACGGGAATATTTTCTAATAAAAACTAGACAGAAATATTCTCAGAATCTTCTTTGTGATGTGGGCATTCAACTAACACAGTTGAACCTTTCTTTTCACAGAGCAGTTTTGAAACACTCTTTTGCTAGAATCTGCCAGTGGATATTTAGAGCGCTTTGAGGGCTATTGTGCCAACGGAAATATCTGCCCCTAAAAACTAGACAGAAGCATTCTCAGAAACTACTTTGTGATGTTTGCATTCAACTCACAGAGTTGAACATACCTCTTCATAGAGCAGTTTTGAAAACCTCTTTTTGTAGAATCTGCAAGTGGATATTCGGACCACTTTGAGGCCTTCATAGGAAACAGTAATACCTTCACATAAAAACTAGATAGAAGCATTGTCAGAAAGTTCTTTGTGATGTGTGAATTCAACTCACAGAGTTGAACCTTCCATTAATAGAGCAGTTTTGAAACACTCTTTTTCTAGAATCTGCAAGTAGATATTTGGAGCGCTTTGAGGCCTTCGTTGGAAACCGGAATATCTTCACATAAAAAGTAGATAGAGGCATTCTCAGTAAACTTTTTTGTGATATGTAGATTCAACTCACAGCGTTGAACCTTTCTTTGGATGGAGCAGTTTTGAAAAACCCTTTTATCGAATCTGCAGGTAGACATTTGGGGTGCTTTGAGGGCTGTGGTGCAAAAGGAAATGTCTTCCCATAGAAACTAGACTGAAGCATTCTCAGCAACTTCTTTGTGACGTTTGCATTCATCTCACAGTGTTGAACATACCTTTCCATAGAGTAGTTTTGAAACACTGTTTTTGTAGAATCGGCAAGTGGATATTTGGACTGCTTTGAGGCCTTCATCGGAAACGGGAATATCTTCACATAAACACTAGAGAGAAGCATTCTCAGAAACTTCTTTGTGATCTGTCCATTCAACTCACAGAGTTGAACCTTCCTTTTTATGGAGCAGCTTTGAAACACTCTTTTTGGAGAATCTGCAAGTGGATATTCGGAGCGCTTTGAGGCCTATGGTAGAAAAAGAAACATCTGCCTCTAAAAACTAGACTGAAGCATTCTGAGAAACTTCTTTGTGATGTTTGCTTTCAACTACCAGAGTTGAACCTTCCTTTTGATAGGGCAGTTTGGAAACACTCTTTTTGTAGAATCTGCATGTGGATATCTGGAGCGATTTGAGGCCTACAGTCAAAAAGGAAATATCTTCCTGGGAAAAATAGACGAAAGCATTCTCAGAAACTGCTTTGTGATATGTGCATTCGACTCTCCGAGTTGAAACTTTTTTTTGATAGAGCAGTTTTGAAACACTCTGTAGAATCTGAAAGTGGATATTTGGAGCTCTTCGAGGGCTATGGCGGAAAAGAAAATATATTCACATTAAACTAGACAGCAGCATTCTCAGAAACTTCTTTAGGATGTTTGCAGTAAACTCACAGAGTTGAACCTACCTTTCCGTAGAGCAGTTTTCAAACACTCTGTTTGTGGGATCCGCAAGTGGATATTTGGACCGCTTTGAGACCTTTGCTGGAAATGGGAATATCTTCACATATAAACTAGACAGAAGCATTCTCAGAATCTTCTTCGTGATGTGTGCATTCTACTCCCGAATTTGAATCTTCCTTTTCATGAAGCAGTTTTGAAACACTCTGTTTGTGCAATCCACAATTGGATAAATGGAACGCTTTGATGCCCATGGTAGAAAAGGAAATATCCTCATATAAAAACTAGACAGAAGCATTCACAGAAAATGCTTTTTGATGTGTGCATTCAAATCACGGAGTTGAATCTTTCTTTTGTTAGAGCAGTTTTGAAACACTGTTTCTGTGGAATCTGCCAGCGGACACTTGGAGCGCTTTGAGGGCTATGGTGGAGAAGGAAATATCTTCACATAAAAACTAGAAAGATGCATTCTCAGAAACATTTATGTGAAGCGTGCATTCAACTCACAGAGTTGAACCTTCCTTTTGATAGAACAGTTTTGAAACACTCTTTTGAACAATTGCAGGTCAATATTTGGAGCGCTTTGAAGCCTTTGCTGGAAATGGGAATATCTTCACGCACAAAGTAGCCAGAAGCATTCTCAGAAACTTCTTTGTGATGTGTGCGTTGAACCCAGAGAGATGAACCTTTCCTTTGATAGAGCAGTTTTGAAACGTGTTTTTGTAAGATCGGCAAGCGGATAATTGGCTTCGCTTTGTGTCCTTTGGTGGAAACGGGAATATCTTCTAACAAAAACTAGACAGAAATATTCTCAGAATCTTCTTTGTGATGTGGGCATTCAACTAACACAGTTGAACGTTTCTTTTCACAGAGCAGTTTTGAAACACTCTTTTGGTAGAATCTGCCAGTGGATATTTGGAGCGCTATGAGGGCTATTGTGCCAACGGAAATATCTGCCCCTAAAAACTAGACAGAAGCATCCTCAGAAACTACTTTTTGATGTTTGCATTCAACTCACAGAGTTGAACATACCCCTTCATAGAGCTGTTTTTAAAACCTCTTTTTGTAGAATCTGCAAGTGGATATTTGGACCACTTTGTGACCTTTCCTGGAAATGGAAATATCTTCACCTAAAAACTAGACAGAAGCATTGTCAGGAAGTTCTTTGTGATGTGTGAATTCAACTCACAGAGTTGAACCTTCCTTTAATAGAGCAGTTTTGAAACACTCTTTTTCTAGAATCTGCAAGTAGATATTTGGAGCGCTTGGAGGCCTTCTTTGGAAACCGGAATATCTTCACAGGAAATGTAGATAGAGGCATTCTCAGAAACTTTTTTTGTGATATGTAGATTCAACTCACAGCGTTGAACCTTTCTTTGGATGGAGCAGTTTTGAAAACCTCTTTTATCGAATCTGCAGGTAAACATTTGGGGTGCTTTGAGGGCTGTGGTGCAAAAGGAAATGTCTTCCCATAGAAACTAGACTGAAACATTCTCAGCAACTTCTTTGTGACGTTTGCATTCATCTCACAGCATTGAACATACCTTTCCAAAGAGTAGTTTTGAAACACTATTTTTGTAGAATCTGCAAGTGGATATTTGGACTGCTTTGAGGCCTTCATCGGAAACGGGAATATCTTCACATAAACACTAGAGAGAAGCATTCTCAGAAACTTCTTTGTGATCTGTCCATTCAACTCACAGAGTTGAACCTTCCTTTTAATGGAGCAGTTTTGAAACACTGTTTTTGGAGAATCTTCAAGTAGCTATTTGGAGCGCTTTGTGGCCTATGGTAGAAAAAGAAATATCTGCCTATAACAACTAGACAGAAGCATTCTGAGAAACTTCTTTGTGATGTTTGCATTCAACTACCAGAGGTGAACCTTCCTTTTGATAGGGCAGTTTGGAAACACTCTTTTTGTAGAATCTGCATGTGGATATCTGGAGCGATTTGAGGCCTACGGTCCAAAAGGAAATCTCTTCCTGGGAAAAATAGACGAAAGCATTCTCAGAAACTGCTTTGTGATATGTGCATTCGACTCTCCGAGTTGAAACTTTTTTTTGATAGAGCAGTTTTGAAACACTCTGTAGAATCTGAAAGTGGATATTTGGAGCTCTTTGAGGGCTATGGCGGAAAAGAAAATATATTCACATTAAACTAGACAGAAGCATTCCCAGAAACTTCTTTAGGATGTTTGCAGTAAACTCACAGAGTTGAACATACCTTTCCGTAGAGCAGTTTTGAAACACTCTGTTTGTGGGATCCGCAAGTGGATATTTGGACCGCTTTGAGACCTTTGCTGGAAACGGGAATATCTTCACATATAAACTGGACAGAAGCATTCTCAGAAACTTCTTCGTGATGTGTGCATTCTACTCCCAAATTTGAATCTTCCTTTTCATGAAGCAGTTTTGAAACACTCTGTTTGTGCAATCCACAATTGGATAATTGGAACGCTTTGATGCCCATGGTAGAAAAGGAAATATCTTCATATAAAAACTAGACACAAGGATTCACAGAAAATGCTTTGTGATGTGTGCATTCAAATCACGGAGTTGAATCTTTCTTTTGTCAGAGCAGTTTTGAAACACTGTTTCTGTGGAATCTGCCAGCGGACACTTGGAGCGCTTTGAGGGCTACGGTGGAGAAGGAAATATCTTCCCATAAAAACTAGAAAGAAGCATTCTCAGAAACATTTATGTGAAGCGTGCATTCCACTCACAGAGTTGAACCTTCCTTTTGATACAACAGTTTTGAAACACTCTTTTGAACAATTGCAGGTGAATCTTTGGAGCGCTTTGAAGCCTTTGTTGGAAATGGGAATATCTTCACACACAAACTAGCCAGAAGCATTCTCAGAAACTTCTTTGTGATGTGTGCGTTGAACCCAGAGAGATGAACCTTTCCTTTGAAAGAGCAGTTTTGAAACGTGTTTTTGTAAGATCTGCAAGCGGATAGTTGGCTTCGCTTTGTGTCCTTTGCTGGAAACGGGAATATCTTCTAATAAAAACTAGACAGAAATATTCTCAGAATCTTCTTTGTGATGTGGGCATTCAACTAACAGAGTTGAACGTTTCTTTTCACAGAGCAGTTTTGAAACACTCTTTTGGTAGAATCTGTCAGTGGATATTTGGAGCGCTTTGAGGGCTATTGTGCCAACGGAAATATCTGCCCCTAAAAACTAGACAGAAGCATTCTCAGAAACTACTTCGTGATGTTCGCATTCAACTCACAGAGTTGAACATACCTCTTCATAGAGCAGATTTGAAAACCTCTTTCTGTAGAATCTGCAAGTGGATATTCGGACCACTTTGAGGCCTTCATAGGAAACAGTAATATCTTCACATAAAAACTAGATAGAAGCATTGTCAGAAAGTTCTTGGTGATGTGTGAATTCAACTCACAGAGTTGAACCTTCCTTTAATAGAGCAGTTTTGAAACACTCTTTTTCTAGAATCTGCAAGTAGATATTTGGAGCGCTTTGAGGCCTTCGTTGGAAACCGGAATATCTTCACAGGAAAAGTAGATAGAGGCATTCTCAGAAACTTTTTTGTGATATGTAGATTCCACTCACAGCGTTGAACCTTTCTTTGGATGGAGCAGTTTTGAAAAACTCTTTTATCGAATCTGCAGGTAGACATTTGGGGTGCTTTGAGGGCTGTGGTGCAAAAGGAAATGTCTTCCCATAGAAACTAGACTGAAGCATTCTCAGCAACTTCTTGGTGACGTTTGCATTCATCTCACAGTGTTGAACATACCTTTCCATAGAGTGGTTTTGAAACACTGTTTCTGTAGAATCGGCAAGTGGATATTTGGACTGCTTTGAGGCCTTCATCGGAAACGGGAATATCTTCACATAAACACTAGAGAGAAGCATTCTCAGAAACTTCTTTGTGATCTGTCCATTCAACTCACAGAGTTGAACCTTCCTTTTCATGGAGCAGTTTTGAAACACTGTTTGTGGAGAATCTGCAAGTGGATATTTGGAGCGCCTTGAGGCCAATGGTAGAAAAAGAAATATCTGCCTCTAAATACTAGACTGAAGCATTCCGAGAAACTTCTCTGTGATGTTTGCATTCAACTAGCAGAGTTGAACCTTCCTTTTGATAGGGCAGTTTGGAAACACTCTTTTTGTAGAATCTGCATGTGGATATCTGGAGCGGTTTGAGGCCTACGGTCAAAAAGGAAATATCTTCCTGGGATAAATAGACGAAAGCATTCTCAGAAACTGCTTTGTGATATGTGCATTCCACTCACCGAGTTGAAACTTTTTTTGATAGAGCAGTTTTGAAACACTTTGTAGAATCTCAAAGTGGATATTTGGAGCTCTTTGAGGGCTATGGCGGAAAAGAAAATATATTCACATTAAACTTGACATCAGCATTCTCAGAAACTTATTTATGATGTTTGCACTAAACTCACAGAGTTGAACATACCTTTCCGTAGAGCAGTTTTGAAACACTCTGTTTGTGGGATCCGCAAGTGGATATTTGGACCGCTTTGAGACCTTTGCTGGAAATGGGAATATCTTCACATATAAACTAGACAGAAGCATTCTCAGAAACTTCTTCGTCACGTGTGCATTCTACTCCCAGCTTTGAATCTTCCTTCTCATGAAGCAGTTTTGAAAGACTCTATTTGTGCAATCTACAATTGGATAATTGGAACGCTTTGATGCCCATGGTAGAGAAGGAAATATCCTCATATAAAAACTAGACAGAAGGATTCACAGAAAATGCTTTGTGATGTGTGCATTCAAATCACGGAGTTGAATCTTTCTTTTGTTAGAGCAGTTTTGAAACACTGTTTCTGTGGAATCTGCCAGCGGACACTTGGAGTGCTTTGAGGGCTGTGGTGGAGAAGGAAATATCTTCCCATAAAAACTAGAAAGAGGCATTCTCAGAAACTTTTGTGTGATATGTAGATTCAACTCACAGCGTTGAACCTTCCTTTTGATAGAACAGTTTTGAAACACTCTTTTGAACAATTGTAGGTGAATATTTCGAGGGCTTTGAAGCCTTTGTTGGAAATGGGAATATCTTCACACACAAAGTAGCCAGAAGCATTCTCAGAAACTTCTTTGTGAGGTGTGCGTTGAACCCAGAGAGAAGAACCTTTCCTTTGATAGAGCAGTTTTGAAACGTGTTTTTGTAAGATCGGCAAGCGGATAATTGGCTTCGCTTTGTGTCCTTTGGTGGAAACGGGAATATCTTCTAATAAAAACTAGACAGAAATATTCTCAGAATCTCCTTTGTGATGTGGGCATTCAACTAACACAGTTGAACATTTCTTTTCACAGAGCAGTTTTGAAACACTCTTTTGGTAGAATCTGCCAGTGGATATTTGGAGCGCTTTGAGGGCTGTTGTGCCAATGGAAATATCTGCCCCTAAAATCTAGACAGAAGCATTCTCAGAAACTGCTTCGTGATGTTTGCATTCAACTCACAGGGTTGAACATACCTCTGCATAGAGCTGTTTTGAAAACCTCTTTTTGTAGAATCTGCAAGTGGATATTCGGACCACTTTGAGGCCTTCATAGGAAACAGTAATATCTTCACATAAAAACTAGATAGAAATATTCTCAGAATCTTCTTTGTGATGTGGGCATTAAACTCACAGATTTGAACCTTCCTTTAATAGAGCAGTTTTGAAACACACTTTTTCTAGAATCGGCAAGTAGATCTTTGGAGCGCTTTGAGGCCTTCGTTGGAAACCGGAATATCTTCACAGGAAAAGTAGATAGAGGCATTCTCAGAAACTTTTTCGTGATATGTGGATTCAACTCACAGCGTTGAACCTTTCTTTTGATAGAGCAGTTTTGTAAAACTCTTTTATCGAATCTGCAAGTAGACATTTGGAGTGCTTTGAGGGCTGTGGTGCAAAAGGAAATGTCTTCCCATAGAAAGTAGACTGAAGCATTCTCAGCAACTTCTTTGTGACGTTTGCATTCATCTCACAGTGTTGAACATACCTTTCCATAGAGAAGTTTTGAAACACTAATTTTGTAGAATCTGCAAGTGGATATTTGGAGTGCTTTGAGGCCTTCATCGGAAACGGGAATATCTTCACATAAACACTAGACAGAAGCATTCTCAGAAACTTCTTTGTCATCTGTCCATTCAACTCACAGAGTTGCACCTTCCTTTTTATGGAGCAGTTTTGAAACACTCCTTTTGGAGAATCTGCAAGTGGATATTTGGAGCGCTTTGAGGCCTATGGTAGAAAAAGAAATATCTGCCTCTAAAAACCAGACAGAAGCATTCCGAGAAAAGTTCTTTGTGATGTTTGCATTCAACTAGCACAGTTGAACCTTCCTTTTGATAGGGCAGTTTGGAAACACTCTTTTTGTAGAATCTGCATGTGGATATCTGGAGCGGTTTGAGGCCTACGGTCAAAAAGGAAATATCTTCCTGGGAAAAATAGACGAAAGCATTCTCAGAAACTGCTTTGTGATATGTGCATTCGACTCACCGAATTGCAACTTTTTTTGGATAGAGCAGTTTTGAAACACTCTGTAGAATCTGAAAGTGGATATTTGGAGCTCTTTGAGGGCTATGGCGGAAAAGAAAATATATTCACTTTAAACTAGACAGCAGCATTCTCAGAAACTTCTTTAGGATGTTTGCAGTAAACTCACAGAGTTGAACATACCTTTCCGTAGAGCAGTTTTGAAACACTCTGTTTGTGGGATCCGCAAGTGGATATTTGGACCGCTTTGAGACCTTTGCTGGAAATGGCAATATCTTCACGTATAAACTAGACAGAAGCATTCTCAGAAACTTCTTCGTGAAGTGTGCAGTCTACTCCGGAATTTGAATCTTCCTTTTCATGAAGCAGTTTTGAAACACTCTGTTTGTGCAATCCACAATTGGATAATTGGAACGCTTTGATGCCCATGGTAGAAAAGGAAATATACTCATATAAAAACTAGACAGAAGGATTCACAGAAAATGCTTTGTGATGTGTGCATTCAAATCACAGAGTTGAATCTTTCTTTTGTTAGAGCAGTTTTGAAACACTGTTTCTGTGGAATCTGCCAGCGGACACTTGGAGCGCTTTGAGGGCTACGGTGGAGAAGGAAATATCTTCACATAAAAACTAGAAAGAAGCATTCTCAGAAACATTTATGTGAAGCGTGCATTCAACTCACAGAGTTGAACCTTCCTTTTGATAGAACAGTTTTGAAACACTCTTTTGAACAATTGCAGGTGAATCTTTGGAGCGCTTTGAAGCCTTTGTTGGAAATGGGAATATCTTCACACACAAACTAGCCAGAAGCATTCTCAGAAACTTCTTTGTGATGTGTGCGTTGAACCCAGAGAGATGAACCTTTCCTTTGATAGAGCAGTTTTGAAACGTGTTTTTGTAAGATCGGCAAGCAGATAATTGGCTTCGCTTTGTGTCCTTTGGTGGAAACGGGAATATCTTCTAATAAAAACTAGACAGAAATATTCTCAGAATCTCCTTTGTGATGTGGGCATTCAACTAACACAGTTGAACATTTCTTTTCACAGAGCAGTTTTGAAACACTCTTTTGGTAGAATCTGCCAGTGGATATTTGGAGCGCTTGGAGGGACTACTGTGCCAATGGAAATATCTGCCCCTGAAAACTAGACAGAAGCATTCTCAGAAACTACTTCGTGATGTTTGCAATCAACTCACAGAGTTGAACATACCTCTTCACAGAGCAGTTTTGAAAACCTCTTTTTGTAGAATCTGCAAGTGGATATTCGGAGCACTTTGAGGCCTTCATAGGAAACAGTAATATCTTCGCATAAAAACTAGATAGAAGCATTGTCAGGAAGTTCTTTGTGATGTGTGAATTCAACTCACAGAGTTGAACCTTCCTTTAATAGAGCAGTTTTGAAACACTCTTTTTCTAGAATCTGCAAGTAGATATTTGGAGCGCTTGGAGGCCTTCGTTGGAAACCGGAATATCTTCACAGGAAATGTAGATAGAGGCATTCTCAGAAACTTTTTCGTGATATGTGGATTCACCTCACAGCGTTGAACCTTTCTTTTGATAGAGCAGTTTTGGAAAACTCTTTTATCGAATCTGCAAGTAGACATTTGGAGTGCTTTGAGGGCTGTGGTGCAAAAGGAAATGTCTTCCCATAGAAACTAGACTGAAGCATTCTCAGCAACTTCTTGGTGACGTTTGCATTCATCTCACAGTTTTGAACATACCTTTCCATAGAGTGGTTTTGAAACACTGTTTTTGTATAATCGGCAAGTGGATATTTGGACTGCTTTCAGGCCTTCATCGGAAACGGGAATATCTTCACATAAACACTAGAGAGAAGCATTCTCAGAAACCTCTTTGTGGTCTGTCCATTCAACTCACAGAGTTGAACCTTCCTTTTTATGGAGCAGTTTTGAAACCCTGTTTTTGGAGAATCTGCAAGTGGATATTTGGAGCGCTTTGAGGCCTATGGTAGAAAAAGAAATATCTGCCTATGACAACTAGACAGAAGCATTCCGAGAAAAGTTCTTTGTGATGTTTGCATTCAACTACCAGAGTTGAACCTTCCTTTTGATAGGGCAGTTTGGAAACACTCTTTTTGTAGAATCTGCATGTGGATATCTGGAGCGGTTTGAGGCCTACGGTCAAAAAGGAAATATCTTCCTGGGAAAAATAGACAAAAGCATTCTCAGAAACTGCTTTGTGATATGTGCATTCGACTCACCGAGTTGAAACTTTTTTTTGATAGAGCAGATTTGAAACTCTCTGTAGAATCTGAAAGTGGATATTTGGAGCTCTTTGAGGGCTATGGCGGAAAAGAAAAGATATTCACATTAAACTAGACAGCAGCATTCCCAGAAACTTCTTTAGGATGTTTGCAGTAAACTCACAGAGTTGAACATACCTTTCCGTAGAGCAGCTTTGAAACACTCTCTTTGTGGGATCCGCAAGTGGATATTTGGACTGCTTTGAGACCTTTGCTGGAAACGGGAATATCTTCACATATAAACTGGACAGAAGCATTCTCAGAAACTTCTTCGTGATGTGTGCATTCTACTCCCGAATTTGAATCTTCCTTTTCATGAAGCAGTTTTGAAACACTCTGTTTGTGCAATCCACAATTGGATAATTGGAACGCTTTGATGCCCATGGTAGAAAAGGAAATATCCTCATATAAAAACTAGACACAAGGATTCACAGAAAATCCTTTGTGATGTGTGCATTCAAATCACGGAGTTGAATCTTTCTTTTGTGAGAGCAGTTTTGAAACACTGTTTCTGTGGAATCTGCCAGCGGACTCTTGGAGCTCTTTGAGGGCTATGGTGGAGAAGGAAATATCTTCCCATAAAAACTAGAAAGAAGCATTCTCAGAAACATTTATGTGAAGCGTGCATTCAACTCACAGAGTTGAACCTTCGTTTTGATACAACAGTTTTGAAACACTCTTTTGAACAATTGCAGGTGAATCTTTGGAGCGCTTTGAAGCCTTTGTTGGAAATGGGAATATCTTCACACACAAACTAGCCAGAAGCATTCTCAGAAACTTCTTTGTGATGTGTGCGTTGAACCCAGAGAGATGAACCTTTCCTTGGATAGAGCAGTTTTGAAACGTGTTTTTGTAAGATCTGCAAGCGGATAATTGGCTTCGCTTTGTGTCCTTTGGTGGAAACGGGAATATCTTCTAATAAAAACTAGACGGAAATATTCTCAGAATCTCCTTTGTGATGTGGGCATTCAACTAACACAGTTGAACATTTCTTTTCACAGAGCAGTTTTGAAACACTCTTTTGGGAGAATCTGCCAGTGGATATTTGGAGCGCTTGGAGGGCTATTGTGCCAATGGAAATATCTGCCCCTGGAAACTAGACAGAAGCATTCTCAGAAACTACATTGTGATGTTTGCATTCGAATCACAGAGTTGAACATACCTCTTCATAGAGCAGTTTTGAAAACCTTTTTTGTAGAATCTGAAAGTGGATATTCGGACCACTTTGAGGCCTTCATAGGAAACATTAATATCTTCACATAAAAACTAGATAGAAGCATTGTCAGAAAGTTCTTTGGGATGTGTGAATTCAACTCACAGAGTTGAACCTTCCTTTAATAGAGCAGTTTTGAAACACTCTTTTTCTAGAATCTGCAAGTAGATATTTGGAGCGCTTTCAGGCCTTCTTTGGAAACCGGAATATCTTCACATAAAAAGTAGATAGAGGCATTCTCAGAAACTTTTTCGTGATATGTGGATTCAACTCACAGCGTTGAACCTTTCTTTTGATAGAGCAGTTTTGTAAAACTCTTTTATCGAATCTGCAAGTAGACATTTGGACTGCTTTGAGGGCTGTGGTGCAAAAGGAAATGTCTTCCCATAGAAACTAGACTGAAGCATTCTCAGCAACTTCTTGGTGACGTTTGCATTCATCTCACAGTGTTGAACATACCTTTCCATAGAGTAGTTTTGAAACACTGTTTGTGTAGAATCGGTAAGTGGATATTTGGACTGCTTTGAGGCCTTCATCGGAAACGGGAATATCTTCACATAAACACTAGAGAGAAGCATTCTCAGAAACTTCTTTGTGATCTGTCCATTCAACTCACAGAGTTGAACCTTCCTTTTTATGGAGCAGTTTTGAAACACTGTTTTTGGAGGATCTGCAAGTGGATATTTGGAGCAATTTGAGGCCTATGGTAGAAAAAGAAATATCTGCCTCTAAAAACTAGACAGAAGCATTCCGAGAAACTCCTCTGTGATGTTTGCATTGAACTAGCAGAGTTGAACCTTCCTTTTGATAGGGCAGTTTGGAAACACTCTTTTTGTAGAATCTGCATGTGGATATCTGGAGCGGTTTGAGGCCTACGGTCAAAAAGGAAATATCTTCCTGGGAAAAATAGACGAAAGCATTCTCAGAAACTGCTTTGTGATATGTGCATTCGACTCACCGATTTGAAACTTTTTTTTGATAGAGCAGTTTTGAAACACTCTGTAGAATCTGAAAGTGGATATTTGGAGCTCTTTGAGGGCTATGGCGGAAAAGAAAATATATTCACATTAAACTAGACAGCAGCATTCTCAGAAACTTCTTTAGGATGTTTACAGTAAACTCACAGAGTTGAACATACCTTTCCGTAGAGCAGTTTTGAAACACTCTGTTTGTGGGATCCGCAAGTGGATATTTGGACCGCTTTGAGACCTTTGCTGGAAATGGGAATATCTTCACATATAAACTAGACAGAAGCATTCTCAGAAACTTCTTCGTGATGTGTGCATTCTACTCCCGAATTTGAATCTTCCTTTTTATGAAGCAGTTTTGAAACACTCTGTTTGTGCAATCCACAATTGGATAATTGGAACGCTTTGATGCCCATGGTAGAAAAGGAAATATCCTCATATAAAAACTAGACAGAAGGATTCACAGAAAATGCTTTGTGATGTGTGCATTCAAATCACGGAGTTGAATCTTTCTTTTGTTAGAGCAGTTTTGAAACACTGTTTCTGTGGAATCTGCCAGCGGACACTTGGAGCGCTTTGAGGGCTACGGTGGAGAAGGAAATATCTTCACATAAAAAATAGAAAGAAGCATTCTCAGAAACATTTATGTGAAGCGTACATTCAACTCACAGAGTTGAACCTTCCTTGTGATACAACAGTTTTGAAACACTCTTTTGAACAATTGCAGGTGAATCTTTGGAGCGCTTTGAAGCCTTTGTTGGAAATGGGAATATCTTCACACACAAACTAGCCAGAAGCATTCTCAGAAACTTCTTTGTGATGTGTGCGTTGAACCCAGAGAGATGAACCTTTCCTTGGATAGAGCAGTTTTAAAACGTGTTTTTGTAAGATCTGCAAGCGGATAATTGGCTTCGCTTTGTGTCCTTTGGTGGGAACGGGAATATCTTCTAATAAAAACTAGACAGAAATATTCTCAGAATCTCCTTTGTGATGTGGGCATTCAACTAACACAGTTGAACATTTCTTTTCACAGAGCAGTTTTGAAACACTCTTTTGGTCGAATCTGCCAGTGGATATTTGGAGCGCTTTGAGGGCTGTTGTGCCAATGGAAATATCTGCCCCTAAAATCTAGACAGAAGCATTCTCAGAAACTGCTTCGTGATGTTTGCATTCAACTCACAGACTTGAACATACCTCTGCATAGAGCAGTTTTGAAAACCTCTTTTTGTAGAATCTGCAAGTGGATATTCGGACCACTCTGAGGCCTTCATGGGAAACAGTAAAATCTTCACATAAAAACTAGATAGAAGCATTGTCAGAAAGTTCTTTGTGATGTGTGAATTCAACTCACAGAGTTGAACCTTCCTTTAATAGAGCAGTTTTGAAACACTCTTTTTCTAGAATCTGCAAGTAGATATTTGGAGCGCTTTGAGGCCTTCGTTGGAAACCGGAATATCTTCACATAAAACGTAGATAGAGGCATTCTCAGAAACTTTTTTGTGATATGTAGATTCAACTCACAGCATTGAACCTTTCTTTGGATGGAGCAGTTTTGAAAAACCCTTTTATCGAATCTGCAGGTAGACATTCGGGGTGCTTTGAGGGCTGTGGTGCAAAAGGAAATGTCTTCCCATAGAAACTAGACTGAAGCATTCTCAGCAACTTCTTTGTGACGTTTGCATTCATCTCACAGTGTTGAACATACCTTTCCATAGAGTAGTTTTGAAACACTATCTTTGTAGAATCTGCAAGTGGATATTTGGACTGCTTTGAGGCCTTCATCGGAAACGGGAATATCTTCACATAAACACTAGAGAGAAGCATTCTCAGAAACTTCTTTGTCATCTGTCCATTCAACTCACAGAGTTGAACCTTCCTTTTTATGGAGCAGTTTTGAAACACTCCTTTTGGAGAATCTGCAAGTGGATATTTGGAGCGCTTTGAGGCCTATTGTAGAGAAAGAAATATCTGCCTCTAAAAACCAGACAGAAGCATTCCGAGAAACTTCTTTGTGATGTTTGCATTCAACTAGCAGAGTTGAACCTTCCTTTTGATAGGGAAGTTTGGAAACACTCTTTTTGTAGAATCTGCATGTGGATATCTGGAGCGGTTTGAGGCCTACGGTCAAAAAGGAAATATCTTCCTGGGAAAAATAGACGAAAGCATTCTCAGAAAGTGCTGTGTGATATGTGCATTCGACTCACCGAGTTGAAACTTTTTTTTGATAGAGCAGTTTTGAAACACTCTGTAGAATCTGAAAGTGGATATTTGGAGCTCTTTGAGGGCTATGGCGGAAAAGAAAATATATTCACATTAAAGTAGACAGCAGCATTCTCAGAAACTTCTTTAGGATGTTTGCAGTAAACTCACAGAGTTGAACATACCTTTCCGTAGAGCAGTTTTGAAACACTCTGTTTGTGGGTTCCGCACGTGGATATTTGGACCGCTTTGAGACCTTTGCTGGAAATGGGAATATCTTCACATATAAACTAGACAGAAGCATTCTCAGAAACTTCTTCGTGATGTGTGCATTCTCCTCCCGATTTCGAATCTTCCTTTTCATGAAGCAGTTTTGAAACACTCTGTTTGTGCAATCCACAATTGGATAATTGGAACGCTTTGATGCCCATGGTAGAAAAGGAAATATCCTCATATAAAAACTAGACAGAAGGATTCACAGAAAATGCTTTGTGATGTGTGCATTCAAATCACAGAGTTGAATCTTTCTTTTGTCAGAGCAGTTTTGAAACACTGTTTCTGTGGAATCTGCCAGCGGACACTTGGAGCGCTTTGAGGGCTGTGGTGGAGAAGGAAATATCTTCCCATAAAAACTAGAAAGAAGCATTCTCAGAAACATTTATGTGAAGCGTGCATTCAACTCACAGAGTTGAACCTTCCTTTTGATAGAAGAGTTTTGAAACACTCTTTTGAACAATTGCAGGTGAATCTTTGGAGCGCTTTGAAGCCTTTGTTGGAAATGGGAATATCTTCACACACAAACTAGCCAGAAGCATTCTCAGAAACTTCTTTGTGATGTGTGCGTTGAACCCAGAGAGATGAACCTTTCCTTTGATAGAGCAGTTTTGAAACGTGTTTTTGTAAGATCGGCAAGCGGATAACTGGCTTCGCTTTGTGTCCTTTGGTGGAAACGGGAATATCTTCTAATAAAAACTAGACAGAAATATTCTCACAATCATCTTTGTAATGTGGGCATTCAACTAACACAGTTGAACATTTCTTTTCACAGAGCAGTTTTGAAACACTCTTTTGCTAGAATCTGCCAGTGGATACTTGGAGCGCTTTGAGGGCTATTGTGCCAATGGAGATATCTTCCCCTAAAAACTAGACAGAAGCATTCTCAGAAACTGCTTTGGGATGTTTGCATTCAACTGACAGAGTTGAACATACCTCTTCATAGAGCAGTTTTGAAAACCTCTTTTTGTAGAATCTGCAAGTGGATATTCGGACCACTTTGAGGCCTTCATAGGAAACAGTAATATCATCACATAAAAACTAGATAGAAGGATTGTCAGAAAGTTCTTTGTGATGTGTGAATTCAACTCACAGAGTTGAACCTTCCTTTAATAGAGCAGTTTTGAAACAGTCTTTTTCTAGAATCTGCCAGTAGATATTTGGAGCGCTTTGAGGCCTTCGTTGGAAACCGGAATATCTTCACATAAAAAGTAGATAGAGGCATTCTCAGAAACTTTTTTGTGATATGTAGATTCAACTCACAGCGTTGAACCTTTCTTTGGATGGAGCAGTTTTGAAAAACTCTTTTATCGAATCTGCAGGTAGACATTCGGGGTGCTTTGAGGGCTGTGGTGCAAAAGGAAATGTCTTCCCATAGAAACTAGACTGAATCATTCTCAGCAACTTCTTGGTGACGTTTGCATTCATCTCACAGTGTTGAACATACCTTTGCATAGAGTAGTTTCAAAACACTATTTTTGTAGAATCTGCAAGTGGACATTTGGACTGCTTTGAGGCCTTCATCGGAAACGGGAATATCTTCACATAAACACTAGACAGAAGCATTCTCAGAAACTTCTTTGTGATCTGCCCATTCAACTCACAGAGTTGAACCTTCCTTTTTATGGAGCAGTTTTGAAACACTGTTTTTGGAGAATCTGCAAGTGGATATTTGGAGCGCTTTGAGGCCTATGGTAGGAAAAGAAATATCTGCCTCTAAAAACTAGACAGAAGCATTCCGAGAAACTTCTTTGTGATGTTTGCATTCAACTAGCAGAGTTGAACCTTCCTTTTGATAGGGCAGTTTGGAAACACTCTTTTTGTAGAATCTCCATGTGGATATCTGGAGCGGTTTGAGGCCTACGGTCAAAAAGGAAATATCTTCCTGGGAAAAATAGACGAAAGCATTCTCAGAAACTGCTTTGTGATATGTGCATTCGACTCACCGATTTGAAACTTTTTTTGGATAGAGCAGTTTTGAAACACTCTGTAGAATCTGAAAGTGGATATTTGGAGCTCTTTGAGGGCTATGGCGGAAAAGAAAATATATTCACATTAAACTAGACAGCAGCATTCTCAGAAACTTCTTTAGGATGTTTGCAGTAAACTCACAGAGTTGAACATACCTTTCCGTAGAGCAGTTTTGAAACCCTCTGTTTGTGGGATCCGCAAGGGGATATTTGGACCGCTTTGAGACCTTTGCTGGAAATGGGAATATCTTCACATATAAACTAGACAGAAGCATTCTCAGAAACTTCTTCGTGATGTGTGCATTCTACTCCCGAATTTGAATCTTCCTTTTCATGAAGCAGTTTTGAAACAATCTGTTTGTGCAATCCACAATTGGATAATTGGAACGCTTTGATGCCCATGGTAGAAAAGGAAATATCCTCATATAAAAACTAGACAGAAGGATTCACAGAAAATGCTTTGTGTTGTGTGCATTCAAATCACGGAGTTGAATCTTTCTTTTGTCAGAGCAGTTTTGAAACACTGTTTCTGTGGAATCTGCCAGCGGACACTTGGAGCGCTTTGAGGGCTGTGGTGGAGAAGGAAATATCTTCCCATAAAAACTAGAAAGAAGCATTCTCAGAAACATGTATGTGAAGCGTGAATTCAACTCACAGTGTTGAACCTTCCTTTTGATAGAACAGTTTTGAAACACTCTTTTGAACAATTGCAGGTGAATCTTTGGAGCGCTTTGAAGCCTTTGTTGGAAATGGGAATATCTTCACACACAAACTAGCCAGAAGCATTCTCAGAAACTTCTTTGTGATGCGTGCGTTGAACCCAGAGAGATGAACCTTTCCTTTGATAGAGCAGTTTTGAAACGTGTTTTTGTAAGGTCTGCAAGCGGATAATCGACTTCGCTTTGTGTCCTTTGGTGGAAACGGGAATATCTTCTAATAAAAACTAGACAGAAATATTCTCAGAATCTCCTTTGTGATGTGGGCATTCAACTAACACAGTTGAACATTTCTTTTCACAGAGCAGTTTTGAAACACTCTTTTGGTAGAATCTGCCAGTGGATATTTGGAGCACTTGGAGGGCTATTGTGCCAATGGAAATATCTGCCCCTGAAAACTAGACAGAAGCATTCTCAGAAACTACTTCATGATGTTTGCATTCAACTCAGAGAGTTGAACATACCTCTTCACAGAGCAGTTTTGAAAACCTCTTTTTGTAGAATCTGCAAGTGGATATTCGGAGCACTTTGAGGCCTTCATAGGAAACAGTAATATCTTCGCATAAAAACTAGATAGAAGCATTGTCAGAAAGTTCTTTGTGATGTGTGAATTCAACTCACAGAGTTGAACCTTCCTTTAATAGAGCAGTTTCGAAACACTCTTTTTCTAGAATCTGCAAGTAGATATTTGGAGCGCTTTGAGGCCTTCGATGAAAACCGGAATATCTTCACAGGAAAAGTAGATAGAGGCATTCTCAGAAACTTTTTCGTGATATGTGGATTCAACTCACAGCGTTGAACCTTTCTTTTGATAGAGCAGTGTTGTAAAACTCTTTTATCGAATCTGCAAGTAGACATTTGGAGTGCTTTGGGGGCTGTGGTGCAAAAGGAAATGTCTTCCCATAGAAACTAGACTGAAGCTTTCTCAGCAACTTCTTGGTGACGTTTGCATTCATCTCACAGTGTTGAACATACCTTTCCATAGAGTGGTTTTGAAACACTGTTTTTGTAGAATCGGCAAGTGGATATTTGGACTGCTTTGAGGCCTTCATCGGAAACGGGAATATCTTCACATAAACACTAGAGAGAAGCATTCTCAGAAACTTCTTTGTGATCTGTCCATTCAACTCACAGAGTTGAACCTTCCTTTTTATGGAGCAGTTTTGAAACACTGTTTGTGGAGAATCTGCAAGTGGATATTTGGAGCGCCTTGAGGCCAATGGTAGAAAAAGAAATATCTGCCTCTAAATACTAGACTGAAGCATTCTGAGAAACTTCTTTGTGATGTTTGCATTCAACTACCAGAGTTGAACCTTCCTTTTGATAGGGCAGTTTGGAAACACTCATTTGTAGAATCTGCATGTGGATATCTGGAGCGATTTGAGGCCTACGGTCAAAAAGGAAATATCTTCCTGGGAAAAATAGACGAAAGCATTCTCAGAAACTGCTTTGTGATATGTGCATTCCACTCTCCGAGTTGAAACTTTTTTTTGATAGAGCAGTTTTGAAACACTCTGTAGAATCTGAAAGTGGATATTTGGAGCTCTTTGAGGGCTATGGCGGAAAAGAAAATATATTCACATTAAAGTAGACAGCAGCATTCTCAGAGACTTCTTTAGGATGTTTGCAGTAAACTCACAGAGTTGAACATACCTTTCCGTAAAGCAGTTTTGAAACCCTCTGTTTGTGGGATCTGCAAGTGGATATTTGGACCGCTCTGAGACCTTTGCTGGAAATGGGAATATCTTCACATATAAACTAGACAGAAGCATTCTCAGAAACTTCTTCGTGATGTGTGCATTCTACTCCCAAATTTGAATCTTCCTTCTCATGAAGCAGTTTTGAAACACTCTATTTGTGCAATCTACAATTGGATAATTGGAACCCTTTGATGCCCATGGTAGAAAAGGAAATATCCTCATATAAAAACTAGACAGAAGGATTCACAGAAAATGCTTTGTGATGTGTGCATTCAAATCACGGAGTTGAATCTTTCTTTTGTTAGAGCAGTTTTGAAACACTGTTTCTGTGGAATCTGCCAGCGGACACTTGGAGCGCTTTGAGGGCTACGGTGGAGAAGGAAATATCTTCACATAAAAACTAGAAAGAAGCATTCTCAGAACCATTTATGTGAAGCGTGCATTCAACTCACAGAGTTGAACCTTCCTTTTGATAGAACAGTTTTGAAACACTCTTTTGAACAATTGCAGGTGAATATTTGGAGGGCTTTGAAGCCTTTGTTGGAAACGGGAATATCTTCACACACCAACTAGCCAGAAGCATTCTCAGAAACTTGTTTGTGATGTGTGCGTTGAACCCAGAGAGATGAACCTTTCCTTCGATAGAGCAGTTTTGAAACGTGTTTTTGTAAGATCGGCAAGCGGATAATTGGCTTCGCTTTGTGTCCTTTGGTGGAAACGGGAATATCTTATAATAAAAACTAGACAGAAATATTCTCAGAATCTTCTTTGTGATGTGGGCATTCAACTAACACAGTTGAACGTTTCTTTTCACAGAGCAGTTTTGAAACACTCTTTTGGTAGAATCTGTCAGTGGATATTTGGAGCGCTTTGAGGGCTATTGTGCCAACGGAAATATCTGCCCCTAAAAACTAGACAGAAGCATTCTCAGAAACTGCTTCGTGATGTTTGCATTCAACTCACAGACTTGAACATACCTCTGCATAGAGCAGTTTTGAAAACCTCTTTTTGTAGAATCTGCAAGTGGATATTCGGACCACATTGAGGCCTTCATAGGAAACAGTAATATCTTCACATAAAAACTAGATAGAAGCATTGTCAGAAAGTTCTTTGTGATGTGTGAATTCAACTCACAGAGTTGAACCTTCCTTTAATAGAGCAGTTTTGAAACACTCTTTTTCTAGAATCTGCAAGTAGATATTTGGAGCGCTTTGAGGCCTTCGTTGGAAACCGGAATATCTTCACATAAAAAGTAGGTAGAGGCATTCTCAGAAACTTTTTTGTGACATGTAGATTCAACTCACAGCGTTGAACCTTTCTTTTGATAGAGCAGTTTTGAAAAACTCTTTTATCGAATCTGCAAGTAGACATTTGGAGTGCTTTGAGGGCTGTGGTGCAAAAGGAAATGTCTTCCCATAGAAACTAGACTGAAGCATTCTCAGCAACTTCTTTGTGACGTTTGCATTCATCTCACAGTGTTGAACATACCTTTCCATAGAGTAGTTTTGAAGCACTATTTTTGTAGAATCTGCAAGTGGATATTTGGACTGCTTTGAGGCCTTCATCGGAAACGGGAATACCTTCACATAAACACTAGACAGAAGCATTCTCAGAAACTTCTTTGTGGTCTGTCCATTCAACTCACAGAGTTGAACCTTCCTTTTTATGGAGCAGTTTTGAAACACTGTTTTTGGAGGATCTGCAAGTGGATATTTGGAGCGCTTTGAGGCCCATGGTAGAAAAAGAAATATCTGCCTATGACAACTAGACAGAAGCATTCCGAGAAACTTCCTTGCGATGTTTGCATTCAACTAGCAGAGTAGAACCTTCCTTTTGATAGGGCAGTTTGGAAACACTCTTTTTGTAGAATCTGCATGTGGATATCTGGAGCGGTTTGAGGCCTACGGTCAAAAAGGAAATATCTTCCTGGGAAAAATAGACGAAAGCATTCTCAGAAACTGCTTTGTGATATGCGCATTCGACTCACCTAGTTGAAACTTTTTTTTGATAGAGCAGTTTTGAAACACTCTGTAGAATCTGAAAGTGGATATTTGGAGCTCTTTGAGGGCTATGGCGGAAAAGAAAATATATTCACATTAAAGTAGACAGCAGCATTCCCAGAAACTTCTTTAGGATGCTTGCAGTAAACTCACAGAGTTGAACATACCTTTCCGTAGAGCAGTTTTGAAACACTCTGTTTGTGGGATCCGCAAGTGGATATTTGGACCGCTTTGAGACCTTTGCTGGAAACGGGAATATCTTCACATATAAACTAGACAGAAGCATTCTCAGAAACTTCTTCGTGATGTGTGCATTCTACTCCCAAATTTGAATCTTCCTTTTCATGAAGCAGTTTTGAAACACTCTATTTATGCAATCTACAATTGGATAATTGGAACGCTTTGATGCCCGTGGTAGAAAAGGAAATATCCTCATATAAAAACTAGACAGAAGGATTCACAGAAAATGCTTTGTGATGTGTGCATTCAAATCACGGAGTTGAATCTTTCTTTTCTTAGAGCAGTTTTGAAACACTGTTTCTGTGGAATCTGCCAGCGGACACTTGGAGCCCTTGGAACGCTATGGTGGAGAAGGAAATATCTTCACATAAAAACTAGAAAGAAGCATTCTCAGAAACATTTATGTGAAGCGTGCATTCAACTCACAGAGTTGAACATTTCGTTTGATAGAACAGTTTTGAAACACTCTTTTGAACAATTGCAGGTGAATCTTTGGAGCGCTTTGAAGCCTTTGTTGGAAATAGGAATATATTCACACACAAACTAGCCAGAAACATTCTCAGAAACTTCTTTGTAATGTGTGCGTTGAACCCAGAGAGATGAACCTTTCCTTTGATAGAGCTGTTTTGAAACGTGTTTTTCTAACATCTGCAAGCGGATAATTGGCTTCGCGTTGCGTCCTTTGGTGGAAACGGGAATATCTTCTAATAAAAACTAGACAGAAATATTCTCAGAATCTTCTTTGTGATGTGGGCATTCAACTAACACAGTTGAACATTTCTTTTCACAGAGCAGTTTTGAAAGACTCTTTTGGTAGAATCTGCCAGTGGATATTTGGAGCGCTTTGAGGGCTATTGTGCCAATGGAAATATCTTCCCCTAAAAACTAGACAGAAGCATTCTCAGAAACTGCTTCGTGATGTTTGCATTCAACTCACAGGGTTGAACATACCTCTGCATAGAGCAGTTTTGAAAACCTCTTTTTGAAGAATCTGCAAGTGGATATTCGGACCACTTTGAGGCCTTCATAGGAAACAGTAATATCTTCACATAAAAACTAGATAGAGTAAGCATTGTCAGAAAGTTCTTTGTGATGTGTGAATTCAACTCACAGAGTTGAACCTTCCTTTAATAGAGCAGTTTTGAAACACTCTTCTTCTAGAATCTGCAAGTAGATATTTGGAGCGCTTTGAGGCCTTCGTTGGAAACCGGAATATCTTCACAGAAAAAGTAGATAGAGGCATTCTCAGAAACTTTTTTTGTGATATGTAGATTCAACTCACAGCGTTGAACCTTTCTTTGGATGGAGCAGTTTTGAAAACCTCTTTTATCGAATCTGCAGGTAGACATTCGGGGTGCTTTGAGGGCTGTGGTGCAAAAGGAAATGTCTTCCCATAGAAACTAGACTGAAGCATTCTCAGCAACTTCTTGGTGACGTTTGCATTCACCTCACAGTGTTGAACATACCTTTCCATAGAGTGGTTTTGAAACACTGTTTTTGTAGAATCGGCAAGTGGATATTTGGACTGCTTTGAGGCCTTCATCGGAAACGGGAATATCTTCACATAAACACTAGAGAGAAGCATTCTAAGAAACTTCTTTGTGATCTGTCCATTCAACTCACAGAGTTGAACCTTCCTTTTTATGGAGCAGTTTTGAATCACTGTTTTTGGAGAATCTGCAAGTGGATATTTGGAGCGATTTGAGGCCTATGGTAGAAAAAGAAATATCTGCCTCTAAAATCCAGACAGAAGCATTCTGAGAAACTTCTCTGTGATGTTTGCATTCAACTACCAGAGGTGAACCTTCCCTTTGATAGGGCAGTTTGGAAACACTCATTTGGAGAATCTGCATGTGGATATCTGGAGCGATTTGAGGCCTACGGTCCAAAAGGAAATATCTTCCTGGGAAAAATAGACGAAAGCATTCTCAGGAACTGCTTTGTGATATGTGCATTCGACTCTCCGAGTTGAAACTTTTTTTGGATAGAGCAGCTTTGAAACACTCTGTAGAATCTGAAAGTGGATATTTGGAGCTCTTTGAGGGCTATGGCAGAAAAGAAAAGATATTCACATTAAACTAGACAGCAGCATTCCCAGAAACTTCTTTAGGATGTTTGCAGTAAACTCACAGAGTTGAACATACCTTTCCGTAGAGCAGCTTTGAAACACTCTGTGTGTGGGATCCGCAAGTGGATATTTGGACCGCTTTGAGACCTTTGCTGGAAACGGGAATATCTTCACAGATAAACTGGACAGAAGCATTCTCAGAAACTTCTTCGTGATGTGTGCATTCTACTCCCAAATTTGAATCTTCCTTTTCATGAAGCAGTTTTGAAACACTCCGTTTGTGTAATCTACAATTGGATAACTGGAACGCTTTGATGCCCATTGTAGAAAAGGAAATAACCTCATATAAAAACTAGACAGAAGGATTCACAGAAAATGCTTTGTGATTTGTGCATTCAAATCACGGAGTTGAATCTTTCTTTTGTTAGAGCAGTTTTGAAACACTGTTTCTGTGGAATCTGCCAGCGGACACTTGGAGCGCTTTGAGGGCTATGGTGGAGAAGGAAATATCTTCACATAAAAACTAGAAAGAGGCATTCTCAGAAACTTTTGTGTGATATGTAGATTCAACTCACAGCGTTGAACCTTCCTTTTGATAGAACAGTTTTGAAACACTCTTTTGAACAATTGCAGGTGAATATTTGGAGCGCTTTGAAGCCTTTGTTGGAAATGGGAATATCTTCACACACAAAGTAGCCAGAAGCATTCTCAGAAACTTCTTTGTGATGTGTGCGTTGAACCCAGAGAGATGAACCTTTCCTTTGATAGAGCAGTTTTGAAACGTGTTTTTGTAAGATCGGCAAGCGGATAATTGGCTTCGCTTTGTGTCCTTTCGTGGAAACGGGAATATCTTCTAATAAAAACTAGACAGAAATATTCTCAGAATCTCCTTTGTGATGTGGGCATTCAACTAACACAGTTGAACATTTCTTTTCACAGAGCAGTTTTGAAACACTCTTTTGGTAGAATCTGCCAGTGGATATTTGGAGCGCTTGGAGGGCTGTTGTGCCAATGGAAATATCTGCCCCTGAAAACTAGACAGAAGCATTCTCAGAAACTGCTTTGTGATGTTTGCATTCAACTCACAGAGTTGAACATACCTTTTCATAGAGCAGTTTTGAAAACCTCTTTTTGTAGAATCTGCAAGAGGATATTCGGACCACTTTGAGGCCTTCATAGGAAACAGTAATATCTTCACATAAAAACTAGATGGAAGCATTGTCAGGAAGTTCTTTGTGATGTGTGAATTCAACTCACAGAGTTGAACTTTCCTTTAATAGAGCAGTGTTGAAACACTCTTTTTCTAGAATCTGCAAGTAGATATTTGGAGCGCTTGGAGGCCTTCGTTGTAAACCGGAATATCTTCAGAGGAAATGTAGATAGAGGCATTCTCAGAAACTTTTTCGTGATATGTGGATTCAACTCACAGCGTTGAACCTTTCTTTTGATAGAGCAGTTTTGTAAAACTCTTTTATCGAATCTGCAAGTAGACATTTGGAGTGCTTTGGAGGCTGTGGTGCAAAAGGAAATGTCTTCCCATAGAAACTAGACTGAAGCATTCTCAGCAACTTCCTTGTGACGTTTGCATTCATCTCACAGTGTTGAACATACCTTTCCATAGAGCAGTTTTGAAACACTATTTTTGTAGAATCTGCAAGTGGATATTTGGACTGCTTTGAGGCCTTCATCGGAAACGGGAATATCTTCACATAAACACTAGACAGAAGCATTCTCAGAAACTTCTTTGTGGTCTGTCCATTCAACTCACAGAGTTGAACCTTCCTTTTTATGGAGCAGTTTTGAAACACTGTTTTTGGAGGATCTGCAAGTGGATATTTGGAGCGCTTTGAGGCCTATGGTAGAAAAAGAAATATCGGCCTATGACAACTAGACAGAAGCATTCTGAGAAACTTCTTTGTGATGTTTGCATTCAACTACCAGAGTTGAACCTTCCTTTTAATAGGGCAGTTTGGAAACACTCTTTTTGTAGAATCTGCATGTGGATATCTGGAGCGATTTGAGGCCTACGGTCCAAAAGGAAATATCTTCCTGGGAAAAATAGACGAAAGCATTCTCAGAAACTGCTTTGTGATATGTGCATTCGACTGACCGAGTTGAAACTTTTTTTTGATAGAGCAGTTTTGAAACACTCTGTAGAATCTGAAAGTGGATATTTGGAGCTCTTTGAGGGCTATGGCGGCAAAGAAACTATATTCACATTAAAGTAGACAGCAGCATTCTCAGAAACTTCTTTAGGATGTCTGCAGTAAACTCACAGAGTTGAACATACCTTTCCGTAGAGCAGTTTTGAAACACTCTGTTTGTGGGGTCCGCAAGTGGATATTTGGACAGCTTTGAGATCTTTGCTGGAAATGGGAATATCTTCACATATAAACTAGACAGAAGCATTCTCAGAAACTTCTTCGTGATGTGTGCATTCTACTCCCGAATTTGAATCTTCCTTTTCATGAAGCAGTTTTGAAACACTCTGTTTGTGCAATCCACAATTGGATAATTGGAACACTTTGATGCCAATGGTAGAAAAGGAAATAGCCTCATATAAAAACTAGACAGAAGGATTCACAGAAAATGCTTTGTGATGTGTGCATTCAAATCACGGAGTTGAATCTTTCTTTTGTCAGAGTAGTTTTGAAACACTGTTTCTGTGGGATCTGCCAGCGGACACTTGGAGCGCTTTGAGGGCTGTGGTGGAGAAGGAAATATCTTCCCATAAAAACTAGAAAGAAGCATTCTGAGAACCATTTATGTGAAGCGTGCGTTCAACTCACAGAGTTGAACCTTCCTTTTGATAGAACAGTTTTGAAACACTCTTTTGAACAATTGCAGGTGAATATTTGGAGGGCTTTGAAGCCTTTGTTGGAAATGGGAATATCTTCACACACAAACTAGCCAGAAGCATTCTCAGAAACTTCTTTGTGATGTGTGCGTTGAACCCAGAGAGATGAACCTTTCCTTTGATAGAGCAGTTTTGAAACGTGTTTTTGTAAGATCTGCAAGCGGATAATTGGCTTCGCTTTGTGTCGCTTGGTGGAAACGGGAATATCTTCTAATAAAAACTAGACAGAAATATTCTCAGAATCTTCTTTGTGATGTGGGCATTCAACTAACACAGTTGAAACTTTCTCTTCACAGAGCAGTTTTGATACACTCTTTTGGTAGAATCTGCCAGTGGATATTTGGAGCGCTTTGAGGACTATTGTGCCAACGGAAATATCTGCCCCTAAAAACTAGACAGAAGCATTCTCAGAAATTACTTTGTGATGTTTGCATTCAACTCACAGATTTGAAAATACCTCCTCATAGAGCAGTTTTGAAAACATCTTTTTGTAGAATCTGCAAGTGGATATTCGGACCACTTTGAGGCCTTCATAGGAAACAGTAATATCTTCACAGAAAAACTAGATAGAAGCATTGTCAGAAAGTTCTTTGTAATGTGTGAATTCAACTCACAGAGATGAACCTTCCTTTAATAGAGCAATTTTGAAACACTCTTTTTCCAGAGTCTGCAAGTAGATATTTGGAGCGCTTTGAGGCCTTCGTTGGAAACCGGAATACCTTCACATAAAAAGTAGATAGAGGCATTCTCAGAAACTTTTTTGTGATATGTAGATTCATCTGACAGCGTTGAACCTTTCTTTTGATAGAGCAGTTTTGAAAAACTCTTTTGTCGAATCTGCAAGTAGACATTTGGAGTGCTTTGAGGGCTGTGGTGCCAAAGGAAATGTCTTCCCATGGAAACTAGACTGAAGCATTCTCAGCAACTTCTTTGTGACGTTTGCATTCATCTCACAGTGTTGAACATATCTTTCCATAGAGTAGTTTTGAAACACTGTTTTTGTAGAATCGGCAAGTGGATATTTGGACTGCTTTGAGGCCTTCATCGGAAACGGGAATATCTTCACATAAACACTAGAGAGAAGCATTCTCAGAAACTTCTTTGTCATCTGTCCATTCAACTCACAGAGTTGAAACTTCCTTTTTATGGAGCAGTTTTGAAACACTCCTTTTGGAGAATCTGCAAGTGGATATTTGGAGCGCTTTGAGGCCTACGGTAGAAAAAGAAATATCTGCCTCTAAAAACCAGACAGAAGCATTCCGAGAAACTTCTTTGTGATGTTTGCATTCAACTAGCAGAGTTGAATCCTTCCTTTTGCATAGGGCAGTTTGGAAACTCTCTTTTTGTAGAATCTGCATGTGGATATCTGGAGCGGTTTGAGGCCTACGGTCAAAAAGGAAATATCTTCCTGGGAAAAATAGACGAAAGCATTCTCAGAAACTGCTTTGTGATATGTGCATTCGACTCACCGAGTTGAAACTTTTTTTTGATAGAGCAGTTTTGAAACACTCTGTAGAATCTGAAAGTGGATATTTGGAGCTCTTTGAGGGCTATGGCGGAAAAGAAACTATATTCACATTAAAGTAGACAGCAGCATTCCCAGAAACTTCTTTAGGATGTTTGCAGTAAACTCACAGACTTGAACATACCTTTCCGTAGAGCAGTTTTGAAACACTCTGTTTGTGGGATCCGCAAGTGGATATTTGGACCCCTTTGAGACCTTTGCTGGAAACGGGAATATCTTCACATATAAACTAGACAGAAGCATTCTCAGAAATTTCTTGGTGATGTGTGCATTGTACTCCCAAATTTGAATCTTCCTTCTCATGGAGCAGTTTTCAAACACTCTGTTTGTGCAATCTACAATTGGAGAATTGGAACGCTCGGAGGCCCGTGGTAGAAAAGGAAATATCCTCATATAAAAACTAGACAGAAGGATTCACAGAAAATGCTTTGTGATGTGTGCATTCAAATCACGGGGTTGAATCTTTCTTTTGTTAGAGCAGTTTTGAAACACTGTTTCTGTGGAATCTGCCAGCGGACACTTGGAGCGCTTTGAGGGCCATGGTGGAGAAGGAAATATCTTTCCATAAAAACTAGAAAGAAGCATTCTCGGAAACATTTATGTGAAGCATGCATTCAACTCACAGAGTTGAACCTTCCTTTTGATAGAACAGTTTTGAAACACTCTTTTTAACAATTGCAGGTGAATCTTTGGAGCGCTTTGAAGGCTTTGTTGGAAATGGGAATATCTTCACACACAAACTAGCCAGAAGCATTCTCAGAAACTTCTTTGTGATGTGTGCGTTGAACCCAGAGAGATGAACCTTTCCTTTGATAGAGCAGTTTGGAAACGTGTTTTTGTAAGATCTGCAAGCTGATAATTGGCTTCGCTTTGTGTCCTTTGGTGGAAACGGGAATATCTTCTAATAAAAACTAGACAGAAATATTCTCAGAATCTTCTTTGTGATGTGGGCATTCAACTAACACAGTTGAACCTTTCTTTTCACAGAGCAGTTTGGAAACACCCTTTTGGTAGAATCTGCCAGTGGATATTTGGAGCGCTTTCAGGGCTATTGTGCCAACGGAAATATCTGCCCCTAAAAACTAGACAGAAGCATTCTCAGAAACTGCTTCGTGATGTTTGCATTCAACTCACAGGGTTGAACATACCTCTGCATAGAGCAGTTTTGAAAACCTCTTTTTGTAGAATCTGCAAGTGGATATTCGGACCACTTTGAGGCCTTCATAGGAAACAGTAATATCTTCACATAAAAACTAGATAGAAGCATTGTCAGAAAGTTCTTTGTGATGTGTGAATTCAACTCACAGCGTTGAACCTTCCTTTATTAGAGCAGTTTTGAAACACTCTTTTTCTAGAATCTGCCAGTAGATATTTGGAGCGCTTTGAGGCCTTCGTTGGAAACCGGAATATCTTCACATAAAACGTAGATAGAGGCATTCTCAGAATCTCTTTGTGATATGTAGATTCAACTCACAGCGTTGAACCTTTCTTTCGATGGAGCAGTTTTGAAAAACTCTTTTATCGAATCTGCAGGTAGACATTTGGGGTGCTTTGAGGGCTGTGGTGCAAAAGGAAATGTCTTCCCATAGAAACTAGACTGAAAGCATTCTCAGCAACTTCTTTGTGACGTTTGCATTCATCTCACAGTGTTGAACATACCTTTCCATAGAGTAGTTTTGAAACACTGTTTTTGTAGAATCGGCCAGTGGATATTTGGACTGCTTTGAGGCCTTCATCGGAAACGGGAATATCTTCACATAAACACTAGAGAGAAGCATTCTCAGAAACTTCTTTGTGATCTGTCCATTCAACTCACAGAGTTGAACCTTCCTTTTTATGGAGCAGTTTTGAAACACTCCTTTGGGAGAATCTGCAGGTGGATATTTGGAGCGCTTTGAGGCCTATGGTAGAAAAAGAAATATCTGCCTCTAAAAACCAGACAGAAGCATTCCGAGAAACTTCTTTGCGATGTTTGCATTCAACTAGCAGAGTTGAACTTTCCATTTGATAGGGCAGTTTGGAAACACTCTTTTTGTAGAATCTGCATGTGGATATCTGGAGCGGTTTGAGGCCTATGGTCAAAAAGGAAATATCTTCCTGGGAAAAATAGACGAAAGCATTCTCAGAAACTGCTTTGTGATATGCGCATTCAACTCACCGAGTTGAAACTTTTTTTTGATAGAGCAGTTTTGAAACACTCTGTAGAATCTGAAAGTGGATATTTGGAGCTCTTTGAGGGCTATGGCGGAAAAGAAAATATATTCACATTAAAGTAGACAGCAGCATTCTCAGAAACTTCTTTAGGATGTTTGCAGTAAACTCACAGAGTTGAACCTACCTTTCCGTAGAGCAGTTTTGAAACACTCTGTTTGTGGGATCCGCAAGTGGATATTTGGACCGCTTTGAGACCTTTGCTGGAAATGGGAATATCTTCACATATAAACTAGACAGAAGCATTCTCAGAAACTTCTTTGTGATGTGTGCATTGTACTCCCAAATTTGAATCTTCCTTCTCATGGAGCAGTTTTGAAACACTCTGTTTGTGCAATCTACAATTGGATAATTGGAACGCTTTGATGCCCATGGTAGAAAAGGAAATATCCTCATATAAAAACTAGACAGAAGGATTCACAGAAAATGCTTTGTGATGTGTGCATTCAAATCACGGAGTTGAATCTTTCTTTTGTCAGAGCAGTTTTGAAACACTGTTTCTGTGGAATCTGCCAGCGAACACTTGGAGCGCTTTGAGGGCTATGGTGGAGAAGGAAATATCTTCCCATAAAAACTAGAAAGAAGCATTCTCAGAACCATTTATGTGAAGCGTGCGTTCAACTCACAGAGTTGAACCTTCCTTTTGATAGAACAGTTTTGAAACACTCTTTTGAACAATTGCAGGTGAATATTTGGGGGGCTTTGAAGCCTTTGTTGGAAATGGGAATATCTTCACACACAAACTAGCCAGAAGCATTCTCAGAAACTTCTTTGTGATGTGCGCGTTGAACCCAGAGAGATGAACCTTTCCTTTGATAGAGCAGTTTTGAAACGTGTTTTTGTAAGATCGGCAAGCGGATAATTGGCTTCGCTTTGTGTCCTTTGGTGGAAACGGGAATATCTTCTAATAAAAACTAGACAGAAATATTCTCACAATCATCTTTGTGATGTGGGCATTCAACTAACACAGTTGAACATTTCTTTTCACAGAGCAGTTTGGAAACACTCTTTTGCTAGAATCTGCCAGTGGATACTTGGAGCGCTTTGAGGGTATTGTGCCAATGGAAATATCTTCCCCTAAAAACTAGACAGAAGCATTCTCAGAAACTACTTTGTGATGTTTGCATTCAACTCACAGAGTTGAACATACCTCTTCATAGAGCAGTTTTGAAAACCTCTTTTTGTAGAATCTGCAAGTGGATATTCGGACCACTTTGAGGCCTTCATAGGAAACAGTAATATCTTCACATAAAAACTAGATAGAAATATTCTCAGAATCTTCTTTGTGATGTGGGCATTAAACTCACAGATTTGAACCTTCCTTTAATAGAGCAGTTTTGAAACACACTTTTTCTAGAATCTGCAAGTAGATATTTGGAGCGCTTTGAGGCCTTCGTTGGAAACCGGAATATCTTCACAGGAAAAGTAGATAGAGGCATTCTCAGAAACTTTTTTGTGATATGTAGATTCAACTCACAGCGTTGAACCTTTCTTTGGATGGAGCAGTTTTGAAAAACTCTTTTATCGAATCTGCAGGTAGACATTTGGGGTGCTTTGAGGGCTCTGGTGCAAAAGGAAAAGTCTTCCCATAGAAACTAGACTGAAGCATTCTCAGCAACTTCTTGTTGACGTTTGCATTCATCTCACAGTGTTGAACATACCTTTCCATAGAGTGGTTTTGAAACACTGTTTTTGTAGAATCGGCAAGTGGATATTTGGACTGCTTTGAGGCCTTCATCGGAAACGGGAATATCTTCCATAAACACTAGAGAGAAGCATTCTCAGAAACTTCTTTGTGGTCTGTCCATTCAACTCACAGAGTTGAACCTTCCTTTTTATGGAGCAGTTTTGCAACACTGTTTTCGGAGAATCTGCAAGTGGATATTTGGAGCGCTTTGAGGCCTATGGTAGAAAAAGAAATATCTGCCTATGACAACTAGACAGAAGCATTCTGAGAAACTTCTTTGTGATGTTTGCATTCAACTACCAGAGGTGAACCTTCCTTTTGATAGGGCAGTTTGGAAACACTCTTTTTGTAGAATCTGCATGTGGATATCTGGAGCGATTTGAGGCCTACGGTCCAAAAGGAAATATCTTCCTGGGAAAAATAGACGAAAGCATTCTCAGAAACTGCTTTGTGATATGTGCATTCGACTCTCCGAGTTGAAACTTTTTTTGGATAGAGCAGTTTTGAAACACTCTGTAGAATCTGAAAGTGGATATTTAGAGCTCTTTGAGGGCTATGGCGGAAAAGAAAAGATATTCACATTAAACTAGACAGCAGCATTCTCAGAAACTTCTTTAGGATGTTTGCAGTAAACTCACAGAGTTGAACATACCTTTCCGTAGAGCAGTTTTGAAACACTCTGTTTGTGGGATCTGCAAGTGGATATTTGGACCGCTTTGAGACCTTTGCTGGAAATGGGAATATCTTCACGTATAAACTAGACAGAAGCATTCTCAGAAACTTCTTCGTGATGTGTGCATTGTTCTCCCAAATTTGAATCTTCCTTCTCATGGAGCAGTTTTGAAACACTCTGTTTGTGCAATCTACAATTGGAGAATTGGAACGCTTGCATGCCCGTGGTAGAAAAGGAAATATCCTCATATAAAAACTAGACAGAAGGATTCACAGAAAATGCTTTGTGATGTGTGCATTCAAATCACGGAGTTGAATCTTTCTTTTGTTAGAGCAGTTTTGAAACACTGTTTCTGTGGAATCTGCCAGCGGACACTTGGAGCGCTTTGAGGGCTGTGGTGGAGAAGGAAATATCTTCCCATAAAAACTAGAAAGAAGCATTCTCAGAAACATTTATGTGAAGCGTGCATTCAACTCACAGAGTTGTACCTTCCTTTTGATACAACAGTTTTGAAACACTCTTTTGAACAATTGCAGGTGAATCTTTGGAGCGCTTTGAAGCCTTTGTTGGAAATGGGAATATCTTCACACACAAACTAGCCAGAAGCATTCTCAGAAACTTCTTTGTGATGTGTGCGTTGAACCCAGAGAGATGAACCTTTCCTTTGATAGAGCAGTTTTGAAACGTGTTTTTGTAAGATCGGCAAGCGGATAATTGGCTTCGCTTTGTGTCCTTTGGTGGAAACGGGAATATCCTCTAATAAAAACTAGACAGAGATATTCTCAGAAACTTCTTTGTGATGTGGGCATTCAACTAACACAGTCGAACATTTCTTTTCACAGAGCAGTTTTGAAACACTCTTTTGGTCGAATCTGCCAGTGGATATTTGGAGCGCTTTGAGGGCTATTATGCCAATGGAAATATCTGCCCCTAAAAACTAGACAGAAGCATTCTCAGAAACTGTTTTGTGATGTTTGCATTCAACTCACAGAGGTGAACATACCTCTTCATAGAGCAGTTTTGAAAACCTCTTTTTGTAGAATCTGCAAGTGGATATTCGGACCACTTTGAGGCCTTCATAGGAAACAGTAATATCTTCACATAAAAACTAGATAGAAGCATTGTCAGAAAGTTCTTTGTGATGTGTGAATTCAACTCACAGAGTTGAACCTTCCTTTAATAGAGCAGTTTTGAAACACTCTTTTTCTAGAATCTGCAAGTAGATATTTGGAGCGCTTTGAAGCCTTCGTTGGAAACCGGAATATCTTCACATAAAAAGTAGATAGAGACATGCTCAGAAACTTTTATGTCATATGTAGATTCAACTCACAGCGTTGAACCTTTCTTTTGATAGAGCAGTTTTGAAAAACTCTTTTATCGAATCTGCAAGTAGACATTTGGAGTGCTTTGAGGGCTCTGGTGCAAAAGGAAATGTCTTCCCATAGAAACTAGACTGAAGCATTCTCAGCAACTTCTTTGTGACGTTTGCATTCATCTCACAGTGTTGAACATACCTTTCCATAGAGTACTTTTGAAACACTGTTTTTGTAGAATCTGCAAGTGGATATTTGGACTGCTTTGAGGCCTTCATCGGAAACGGGAATATCTTCACATAAACACTAGAGAGAAGCATTCTCAGAAACTTCTTTGTCATCTGTCCATTCAACTCACAGAGTTGAACCTTCCTTTTTATGGAGCAGTTTTGAAACACTCCTTTTGGAGAATCTGCAAGTGGATATTTGGAGCGCTTTGAGGCCTATGGTAGAAAAAGAAATATCTGCCTCTAAAAACCAGACAGAAGCATTCCGAGAAACTTCTTTGTGATGTTTGCATTCAACTAGCAGAGTTGAACCTTCCTTTTGATAGGGCAGTTTGGGAACACTCTTTTTGTAGAATCTGCATGTGGATATCTGGAGCGGTTTGAGGCCTACGGTCAAAAAGGAAATATCTTCCTGAGAAAAATAGACGAAAGCATTCTCAGAAACTGCTTTGTGATATGTGCATTCGACTCACCGAGTTGAAACTTTTTTTGGATAGAGCAGTTTTGAAACACTCTTTAGAATCTGAAAGTGGATATTTGGAGCTCCTTGAGGGCTATGGCGGAAAAGAAAATATATTCACATTAAACTAGACAGCAGCATTCTCAGAAACTTCTTTAGGATGTTTGCAGTAAACTCACAGAGTTGAACCTACCTTTCCATAGAGCAGTTTTGAAACACTCTGTTTGTGGGATATGCAAGTGGATATTTGGACAGCTTTGAGAACTTTGCTGGAAATGGGAATATCTTCACATATAAACTAGACAGAAGCATTCTCAGAAACTTCTTCGTGATGTGTGCATTCTACTCCCGAATTTGAATCTTCCTTTTCATGAAGCAGTTTTGAAACACTCTGTTTGTGCAATCCACAATTGGATAATTGGAACGCTTTGATGCCCATGGTAGAAAAGGAAATATCCTCATATAAAAACTAGACAGAAGGATTCACAGAAAATGCTTTGTGATGTGTGCATTCAAATCACGGAGTTGAATCTTTCTTTTGTTAGAGCAGTATTGAAACACTGTTTCTGTGGAATCTGCCAGCGGACACTTGGAGCGCTTTGAGGGCTACGGTGGAGAAGGAAATATCTTCACATAAAAACTAGAAAGAAGCATTCTCAGAAACATGTATGTGAAGCGTGAATTCAACTCACAGTGTTGAACCTTCCTTTTGATAGAACAGTTTTGAAACACTCTTTTGAACAATTGCAGGTGAATCTTTGGAGCGCTTTGAAGCCAGTGTTGGAAATGGGAATATCTTCACACACAAACTAGCCAGAAGCATTCTCAGAAACTTCTTTGTGATGTGTGCGTTGAACCCAGAGAGATGAACCTTTCCTTTGAAAGAGCAGTTTTGAAACGTGTTTTTGTAAGATCTGCAAGCGGATGGTTGGCTTCGCTTTGTGTCCTTTGGTGGAAACGGGAATATCTTCTAATAAAAACTAGACAGAAAATATTCTCAGAATCTTCTTTGTGATGTGGGCATTCAACTAACACAGTTGAACATTTCTTTTCACAGAGCAGTTTTGAAACACTCTTTTGGTAGAATCTGCCAGTGGATATTTGGAGCGCTTGGAGGGCTATTGTGCCAATGGAAATATCTGCCCCTGAAAACTAGACAGAAGCATTCTCAGAAACTACTTCGTGATGTCTGCATTCAACACACAGAGTTGAACATACCTCTTCACAGAGCAGTTTTGAAAACCTCTTTCTGTAGAATCTGCAAGTGGATATTCGGACCACTTTGAGGCCTTCATAGGAAACAGTAATATCTTCACATAAAAACTAGATAGAAGCATTGTCAGAAAGTTCTTTGTGATGTGTGAATTCAACTCACAGAGTTGAACCTTCCTTTAATAGAGCAGTTTTGAAACACTCATTTTCTAGAATCTGCAAGTAGATATTTGGAGCGCTTTGAGGCCTTCGTTGGAAACCGGAATATCTTCACAGGAAATGTAGATAGAGGCATTCTCAGAAACTTTTTCGTGATATGTGGATTCAACTCACAGCGTTGAACCTTTCTTTTGATAGAGCAGTTTTGTAAAACTCTTTTATCGAATCTGCAAGTAGACATTTGGAGTGCTTTCAGGGCTGTGGTGCAAAAGGAAATGTCTTCCCATAGAAACTAGACTGAAGCCTTCTCAGCAACTTCATTGTGACGTTTGCATTCATCTCACAGTGTTGAACATACCTTTCCATAGAGTAGTTTTGAAGCACTATTTTTGTAGAATCTGCAAGTGGATATTTGGACTGCTTTGAGGCCTTCATCGGAAACGGGAATATCTTCACATAAACACTAGACAGAAGCATTCTCAGAAACTTCTTTGTGGTCTGTCCATTCAACTCACAGAGTTGAACCTTCCTTTTTATGGAGCAGTTTTGAAACACTGTTTTTGGAGGATCTGCAAGTGGATATTTGGAGCGCTTTGAGGCCTATGGTAGAAAAAGAAATATCTGCCTATGACAACTAGACAGAAGCATTCCGAGAAACTTCTTTGTGATGTTTGCATTCAACTAGCAGAGTTGAACCTTCCTTTTGATGGGGCAGTTTGGAAACACTCTTTTTGTAGAATCTGCATGTGGATATCTGGAGCGGTTTGAGGCCTACGGTCAAAAAGGAAATATCTTCCTGGGAAAAATAGACGAAAGCATTCTCAGAAGCTGCTTTGTGATATGTGCATTCAACTCACCGAGTTGAAACTTTTTTTGGATAGAGCAGTTTTGAAACACTCTGTAGAATCTGAAAGTGGATATTTGGAGCTCTTTGAGGGCTATGGCGGAAAAGAAAATATATTCACATTAAACTAGACAGCAGCATTCTCAGAGACTTCTTTAGGATGTTTGCAGTAAACTCACAGAGTTGAACATACCTTTCCGTAAAGCAGTTTTGAAACCTTCTGTTTGTGGGATCTGCAAGTGGATATTTGGACCGCTTTGAGACCTTTGCTGGAAATGGGAATATCTTCACATATAAACTAGACAGAAACATTCTCAGAAACTTCTTCGTGACGTGTGCATTGTACTCCCAAATTTGAATCTTGCTTCTCATGGAGCAGTTTTGAAACACTCTGTTTGTGCAATCTACAATTGGAGAATTGGAAGGCTTGGATGCCCGTGGTAGAAAAGGAAATATCCTCATATAAAAACTAGACAGAAGGATTCACAGAAAATGCTTTGTGATGTGTGCATTCAAATCACGGGGTTGAATCTTTCTTTAGTCAGAGCAGTTTTGAAACACTGTTTCTGTGGAATCTGCCAGCGGACACTTGGAGCGCTTTCAGGGCTATGGTGGAGAAGGAAATATCTTCCCATAAAAACTAGAAAGAAGCATTCTCAGAAACATTTATGTGAAGCGTGCATTCAACTCACAGAGTTGAACCTTCCTTTTGATAGAAGAGTTTTGAAACACCCTTTTGAACAATTGCAGGTGAATCTTTGGAGCGCTTTGAAGCCTTTGTTGGAAATGGGAATATCTTCACACACAAACTAGCCAGAAGCATTCTCAGAAACTTCTTTGTGATGTGTGCGTTGAACCCAGAGAGATGAACCTTTCCTTTGATAGAGCAGTTTTGAAACGTGTTTTTGTAAGATCTGCAAGCGGATAATTGGCTTCGCTTTGTGTCCTTCGGTGGAAACGGGAATATCTTCTAATAAAAACTAGACAGAGATATTCTCAGAAACTTCTTTGTGATGTGGGCATTCAACTAACACAGTCGAACATTTCTTTTCACAGAGCAGTTTTGAAACACTCTTTTGGTCGAATCTGCCAGTGGATATTTGGAGCGCTTTGAGGGCTATTGTGCCAATGGAAATATCTGCCCCTAAAAACTAGACAGAAGCATTCTCAGAAACTACTTCGTGATGTCTGCATTCAACACACAGAGTTGAACATACCTCTTCAGAGAGCAGTTTTGAAAACCTCTTTCTGTAGAATCTGCAAGTGGATATTCGGACCACTTTGAGGCCTTCATAGGAAACAGTAATATCTTCACATAAAAACTAGATAGAAGCATTGTCAGAAAGTTCGTTGTGATGTGTGAATTTAACTCACAGAGTTGAAGCTTCCTTTAATAGAGCAGTTTTGAAACACTCTTTTTCTAGAGTCTGCAAGTAGATATTTGGAGCGCTTTGAGGCCTTCGTTGGAAACCGGAATATCTTCACATAAAAAGTAGATAGAGGCATTCTCAGAAACTTTTTTGTGATATGTAGATTCAACTCACAGCGTTGAACCTTTCTTTTGATAGAGCAGTTTTGAAAAACGCTTTTATCGAATCTGCCAGTAGACCTTTTGAGTGCTTTGAGGGCTGTGGTGCAAAAGGAAATGTCTTCCCATAGAAACTAGACTGAAAGCATTCTCAGCAACTTCTTGGTGACGTTTGCATTCATCTCACAGTGTTGAACATACCTTTCCATAGAGTAGTTTTGAAACACTGTTTTTGTAGAATCGGCAAGTGGATATTTGGACTGCTTTGAGGCCTTCATCGGAAACGGGAATATCTTCACATAAACACTAGAGAGAAGCATCCTCAGAAACTTATTTGTCATCTGTCCATTCAACTCACAGATTTGAACCTTCCTTTTTCTGCAGCAGTTTTGAAACACTCTTTTTGGAGAATCTGCAAGTGGATATTTGGAGCGCTTTGAGGCCTATGGTAGAAAAAGAAATATCTGCCTCTAAAAACCAGACAGAAGCATTCTGAGAAACTTCTTTGTGATGTTTGCCTTCAACTACCAGAGTTGAACCTTCCTTTTGATAGGGCAGTTTGGAAACACTCTTTTTGTAGAATCTGCATGTGGATATCTGGAGCGATTTGAGGCCTACGGTCCAAAAGGAAATGTCTTCCTGGGAAAGATAGACGAAAGCATTCTCAGAAAGTGCTTTGTGATATGCGCATTCGACTCACCGAGTTGAAACTTTTTTTTGATACAGCAGTTTTGAAACACTCTGTAGAATCTGAAAGTGGATATTTGGAGCTCTTTGAGGGCTATGGCGGAAAAGAAAATATATTCACATTAAAGTAGACAGCAGCATTCTCAGAAACTTCTTTAGGATGTTTGCAGTAAACTCGCAGAGTTGAACATACCTTTCCGTAGAGCAGTTTTGAAACACTCTGTTTGTGGGATCCGCAAGTGGATATTTGGACCGCTTTGAGACCTTTGCTGGAAATGGGAATATCTTCACGTATAAACTAGACAGAAGCATTCTCAGAAACTTCTTCGTGATGTGTGCATTCTACTCCCGAATTTGAATCTTCCTTTTCATGAAGCAGTTTTGAAACACTCTGTTTGTGCAATCCACAATTGGATAATTGGAACGCTTTGATGTCCCATGGTAGAAAAGGAAATATCCTCATATAAAAACTAGACAGAAAGATTCACAGAAAATGCTTTGTGATGTGTGCATTCAAATCACGGAGTTGAATCTTTCTTTTGTCAGAGCAGTTTTGAAACACTGTTTCTGTGGAATCTGCCAGCGGACACTTGGAGCACTTTGAGGGCTATGGTGGAGAAGGAAATATCTTCCCATAAAAACTAGAAAGAAGCATTCTCAGAACCATTTATGTGAAGCATGCATTCAACTCATAGAGTTGAACTTTCCTTTTGATAGAACAGTTTTGAAACACTCTTTTGAACAATTGCAGGTGAATATTTGGAGGGCTTTGAAGCCTTTGTTGGAAACGGGAATATCTTCACACACGAACTAGCCAGAAGCATTCTCAGAAACTTCTTTGTGATGTGTGCGTTGAACCCAGAGAGATGAACCTTTCCTTTGATAGAGCAGTTTTGAAACGTGTTTTTGTAAGATCTGCAAGCGGATAATTGGCTTCGCTTTGTGTCCTTTGGTGGAAACGGGAATATCTTCTAATAAAAACTAGACAGAGCGATATTCTCAGAAACTTCTTTGTGATGTGGGCATTCAACTAATGCAGTTGAACATTTCTTTTCACAGAGCAGTTTTGAAACACTCTTTTGGTCGAATCTGCCAGTGGATATTTGGAGCGCTTTGAGGGCTATTGTGCCAATGGAAATATCTGCCCCTAAAAACTAGACAGAAGAATTCTCAGAAACTGCTTCGGGATGTTTGCATTCAACTCACAGAGTTGAACATACCTCTGCATAGAGCAGTTTTGAAAACCTCTTTTTGTAGAATCTGCAAGTGGATATTCGGACCACTTTGAGGCCTTCATGGGAAACAGTAATATCTTCACATAAAAACTAGATAGAAGCATTGTCAGAAAGTTCTTTGTGATGTGTGAATTCAACTCACAGAGTTGAACCTTCCTTTAATAGAGCAGTTTTGAAACACTCTTTTTCTAGAATCTGCCAGTAGATATTTGGAGCGCTTTGAGGCCTTCGTTGGAAACCGGAATATCTTCACATAAAAAGTAGATAGAGGCATTCTCAGAAACTTTTTTGTGATATGTAGATTCAGCTCACAGCGTTGAACCTTTCTTTTGATAGAGCAGTTTTGAAAAACTCTTTTATCGAATCTGCCAGTAGACATTTGGAGTGCTTTGAGGGCTGTGGTGCAAAAGGAAATGTCTTCCCATGGAAACTAGACTGAATCATTCTCAGCAACTTCTTGGTGACGTTTGCATTCATCTCACAGTGTTGAACATACCTTTGCATAGAGTAGTTTTGAAACACTATTTTTGTAGAATCTGCAAGTGGACATTTGGACTGCTTTGAGGCCTTCATCGGAAACGGGAATATCTTCACATAAACACTAGACAGAAGCATTCTCAGAAACTTCTTTGTGGTCTGTCCATTCAACTCACAGAGTTGAACCTTCCTTTATATGGAGCAGTTTTGAAACCCTGTTTTTGGAGAATCTGCAAGTGGATATTTGGAGCGCTTTGAGGCCTATGGTAGAAAAAGAAATATCTGCCTATCACAGCTAGACAGAAGCATTCTGAGAAAGTTCTTTGTGATGTTTGCATTCAACTACCAGGGTTGAACCTTCCTTTTGATAGGGCAGTTTGGAAACACTCTTTTTGTAGAATCTGCATGTGGATATCTGGAGCGATTTAAGGCCTAAGGTCCAAAAGGAAATATCTTCCTGGGAAAAATAGACGAAAGCATTCTCAGAAAGGGCTTTGTGATATGCGCATTCGACTCACCGAGTTGAAACTTTTTTTTGATAGAGCAGTTTTGAAACACTCTGTAGAACCTGAAAGTGGATATTTGGAGCTCTTTCAGGGCTATGGCGGAAAAGAAAATATATTCACATTAAAGTAGACAGCAGCATTCTCAGAAACTTCTTTAGGATGTTTGCAGTAAACTCACAGAGTTGAACCTACCTTTCCGTAGAGCAGTTTTGAAACACTCTGTTTGTGGGATCCGCAAGTGGATATTTGGGACCGCTTTGAGACCTTTGCTGGAAATGGGAATATCTTCACATATAAACTAGACAGAAGCATTCTCAGAAACTTCTTCGTGATGTGTGCATTGTACTCCCAAATTTGAATCTTCCTTCTTATGGAGCAGTTTTGAAACACTCTGTTTGTGCAATCTACAATTGGAGAATTGGAACGCTTGGATGCCCGTGGTAGAAAAGGAAATATCCTCATATAAAAACTAGACAGAAGGATTCACAGTAAAATGCTTTGTGATGTGTGCATTCAAATCACGGAGTTGAATCTTTCTTTTGTCAGAGCAGTTTTGAAACACTGTTTCTGTGGAATCTGCCAGCGGACACTTGGAGCGCTTTGAGGGCTATGGTGGAGAAGGAAATATCTTCCCATAAAAACTAGAAAGAAGCATTCTCAGAAACATTTATGTGAAGCGTGCATTCAGCTCACAGAGTTGAACCTTCCTTTTGATAGAACAGTTTTGAAACACTCTTTTGAACAATTGCAGGTGAATCTTTGAGCGCTTTGAAGCCTTTGTTGGAAATGGGAATATCTTCACACACAAACTAGCCAGAAGCATTCTCAGAGACTTCTTTGTGATGTGTGCGTTGAACCCAGAGAGATGAACCTTTCCTTTGATAGAGCAGTTTTGAAACGTGTTTTTGTAAGATCTGCAAGCGGATAGTTGGCTTCGCTTTGTGTCCTTTGGTGGAAACGGGAATATCTTCTAATAAAAACTAGACAGAAATATTCTCACAATCGTCTTTGTGATGTGGGCATTCAACTAACACAGTTGAACATTTCTTCTCACAGAGCAGTTTTGAAACACTCTTTTGCTAGAATCTGCCAGTGGATACTTGGAGCACTTTGAGGGCTATTGTGCCAATGGAGATATCTTCCCCTAAAAACTAGACAGAAGCATTCTCAGAAACTGCTTCGGGATGTTTGCATTCAACTCACAGAGTTGAACATACCTCTGCATAGAGCAGTTTTGAAAACCTCTTTTTGTAGAATCTGCAAGTGGATATTCGGACCACTTTGAGGCCTTCATGGGAAACAGTAATATCTTCACATAAAAACTAGATAGAAGCATTGTCAGAAAGTTCTTTGTGATGTGTGAATTCAACTCACAGAGTTGAACCTTCCTTCAATAGAGCAGTTGTGAAACACTCTTTTTCTAGAATCTGCAAGTAGATACTTGGAGCGCTTTGAGGCCTTCGTTGGAAACCGGAATATCTTCACAGGAAAAGTAGATAGAGGCATTCTCAGAAACTTTTTTGTGATATGTAGATTCAACTCACAGCGTTGAACCTTTCTTTTGATAGAGTAGTTTTGAAAAACTCTTTTATCGAATCTGCAAGTAGACATTTGGAGTGCTTTGAGGGCTGTGGTGCAAAAGGAAATGTCTTCCCATAGAAACTAGACTGAAATCATTCTCAGCAACTTCTTGGTGACGTTTGCATTCATCTCACAGTGTTGAACATACCTTTGCATAGAGTAGTTTCGAAACACTATTTTTGTAGAATCTGCAAGTGGACATTTGGACTGCTTTGAGGCCTTCATCGGAAACGGGAATATCTTCACATAAACACTAGACAGAAGCATTCTCAGAAACTTCTTGTCATCTGTCCATTCAACTCACAAAGTTGAACCTTCCTTTTTATGGAGCAGTTTTGAAACACTCCTTTTGGAGAATCTGCAAGTGGATATTTGGAGCGCTTTGAGGCCTATGGTAGAAAAAGAAATATCTGCCTCTAAAAACCAGACAGAAGCATTCTGAGAAACTTCTTTGTGATGTTTGCATTCAACTACCAGAGTTGAACCTTCCTTTTGATAGGGCAGTTTGGAAACACTCTTTTTGTAGAATCTGCATGTGGATATCTGGAGCGATTTGAGGCCTGCGGTCAAAAAGGAAATATCTTCCTGGGAAAAATAGACGAAAGCATTCTCAGAAACTGCTTTGTGATATGTGCATTCGACTCACCGAGTTGAAACTTTTTTTTGGTAGAGCAGTTTTGAAACACTCTGTAGAATCTGAAAGTGGATATTTGGAGCTCTTTGAGGGCTATGGCGGAAAAGAAAATATATTCACATTAAAGTAGACAGCAGCATTCCCAGAAACTTCTTTAGGATGTTTGCTGTAAACTCACAGAGTTGAACATACCTTTCCGTAGAGCAGCTTTGAAACACTCTGTGTGTGGGATCCGCAAGTGGATATTTGGACCGCTTTGAGACCTTTGCTGGAAACGGGAATATCTTCACATATAAACTGGACAGAAGCATTCTCAGAAACTTCTTCGTGATGTGTGCATTCTACTCCCAAATTTGAATCTTCCTTTTCATGAAGCAGTTTTGAAACACTCTATTTGTGCATTCTACAATTGGATGATTGGAACGCTTTGATGCCCATGGTAGAAAAGGAAATATCCTCATATAAAAACTAGACAGAAAGATTCACAGAAAATGCTTTGTGATGTGTGCATTCAAATCACGGAGTTGAATCTTTCTTTTGTTAGAGCAGTTTTGAAACACTGTTTCTGTGGAATCTGCCAGCGGACACTTGGAGCGCTTTGAGGGCTATGGTGGAGAAGGAAATATCTTCACATAAAAACTAGAAAGAAGCATTCTCAGAACCATTTATGTGAAGCGTGCATTCAACTCACAGAGTTGAACCTTCCTTTTGATAGAACAGTTTTGAAACACTCTTTTGAACAATTGCAGGTGAATATTTGGAGGGCTTTGAAGCCTTTTTTGGAAATGGGAATATCTTCACACACAAACTAGCCAGAAGCATTCTCAGAAACTTCTTTGTGATGTGTGCGTTGAACCCAGAAGAGATGAACCTTTCCTTTGATAGAGCAGTTTTGAAACGTGTTTTTGTAAGATCTGCAAGCGGATAGTTGGCTTCGCTTTGTGTCCTTTGGTGGAAACGGGAATATCTTCTAATAAAAACTAGACAGAGATATTCTCAGAAATTTCTTTGTGATGTGGGCATTCAACTAACACAGTCGAACATTTCTTTTCACAGAGCAGTTTTGAAACACTCTTTTGGTCGAATCTGCCAGTGGATATTTGGAGCGCTTTGAGGGCTATTGTGCCAATGGAAATATCTGCCCCTAAAAACTAGACAGAAGCATTCTCAGAAACTGCTCTGTGATGTTTGCATTCAACTCACAGAGTTGAACATACCTCTTCATAGAGCACTTTTGGAAACCTCTTTTTGTAGAATCTGCAAGTGGATATTCGGACCACTTTGAGGCCTTCATAGGAAACGGTAATATCTTCACATAAAAACTAGATAGAAGCATTGTCAGAAAGTTCTTTGTGATGTGTGGATTCAACTCACAGAGTTGAACCTTCCTTTAATAGAGCAGTTTTGAAACACTCTTTTTGTAGAATCTGCAAGTGGATATTTGGAGCGCTTTGAGGCCTTCGTTGGAAACCGGAATATCTTCACAGGAAAAGTAGATAGAGGCATTCTCAGAAACTCTTTGTGATATGTAGATTCAACTCACAGCGTTGAACCTTTCTTTGGATGGAGTAGTTTTGAAAAACTCTTTTATCGAATCTGCAGGTAGACATTTGGGGTGCTTTGAGGGCTGTGGTGCAAAAGGAAATGTCTTCCCATAGAAACTAGACTGAAGCATTCTCAGCAACTTCTTGGTGACGTTTGCATTCATCTCACAGTGTTGAACATACCTTTCCATAGAGTGGTTTTGAAACACTGTTTTTGTAGAATCGGCTAGTGGATATTTGGACAGCTTTCAGGCCTTCATCGGTAACGGGAATATCTTCACATAAACACTAGAGAGAAGAATTCTCAGAAACTTCTTTGTGATCTGTCCATTCAACTCACAGAGTTGAACCTTCCTTTTTATGGAGCAGTTTTGAAACACTGTTTGTGGAGAATCTGCAGGTGGATATTTGGAGCGCCTTGAGGCCAATGGTAGAAAAAGAAATATCTGCCTCTAAATACTAGACTGAAGCATTCTGAGAAACTTCTTTGTGATGTTTGCATTCAACTACCAGAGTTGAACCTTCCTTTTGATAGGGCAGTTTGGAAACACTCTTTTTGTAGAATCTGCATGTGGATATCTGGAGCGATTTGAGGCCTACGGTCCAAAAGGAAATATCTTCCTGGGAAAAATAGACGAAAGCATCCTCAGAAACTGCTTTGTGATATGTGCATTCGACTCACCGAGTTGAAACTTTTTTTGGATAGAGCAGTTTTGAAACACTCTGTAGAATCTGAAAGTGGATATTTGGAGCTCTTTGAGGGCTATGGCGGAAAAGAAAATATATTCACATTAAACAAGACAGCAGCATTCCCAGAAACTTCTTTAGGATGTTTGCAGTAAACTCACAGAGTTGAACATACCTTTCCGTAGAGCAGTTTTGAAACACTCTGTTTGTGGGATCCGCAAGTGGATATTTGGACCGCTGTGAGACCTTTGCTGGAAACGGGAATATCTTCACATATAAACTAGACAGAAGCATTCTCAGAAACTTCTTCGTGATGTGTGCATTGTACTCCCAAATTTGAATCTTCCTTCTCATGGAGCAGTTTTGAAACACTCTGTTTGTGCAATCTACAATTGGATAATTGGAACGCTTGGATGCCCATGGTAGAAAAGGAAATATCCTCATATAAAAACTAGATCAGAAGGACTCACAGAAAATGCTTTGTGATATGTGCATTCAGATCACGGAGTTGAATCTTTCTTTTGTTAGAGCAGTTTTGAAACACTGTTTCTGTGGAATCTGCCAGCGGACACTTGGAGCGCTTTGAGGGCTATGGTGGAGAAGGAAATATCTTCACATAAAAACTAGAAAGAAGCATTCTCAGAACCATTTATGTGAAGCGTGCGTTCAACTCACAGAGTTGAACCTTCCTTTTGATAGAACAGTTTTGAAACACTCTTTTGAACAATTGCAGGTGAATATTTGGAGGGCTTTGAAGCCTTTGTTGGAAATGGGAATATCTTCACACACAAACTAGCCAGAAAGCATTCTCAGAAACTTCTTTGTGATGTGTGCGTTGAACCCAGAGAGATGAACCTTTCCTTTGATAGAGCAGTTTTGAAACGTGTTTTTGTAAGATCTGCAAGCGGATAATTGGCTTCGCTTTGTGTCCTTTGGTGGAAACGGGAATATCTTCTAATAAAAACTAGACAGAAATATTCTCAGAATCTTCTTTGTGATGTGGGCATTCAGCTAACACAGTTGAACGTTTCTTTTCACAGAGCAGTTTTGAAACACTCTTTTGGTAGAATCTGCCAGTGGATATTTGGAGCGCTTTGAGGGCTATTGTGCCAATGGAAATATCTGCCCCTAAAAACTAGACAGAAGCATTCTCAGAAATTGCTTTGTGATGTTGGCATTCAACTCACAGAGTTGAACATACCTCTTCATAGAGCAGTTTTGAAAACCTCTTTTTGTAGAATCTGCAAGTGGATATTCGGACCACTTTGAGGCCTTCATAGGAAACAGTAATATCTTCACATAAAAACTAGATAGAAGCATTGTCAGAAAGTTCTTTGTGATGTGTGAATTCAACTCACAGAGTTGAACCTTCCTTTAATAGAGCAGTTTTGAAACACTCTTTTTCTAGAATCTGCAAGTAGATATTTGGAGCCCTTTGAGGCCTTCTTTGGAAACTGGAATATCTTCACATAAAAAGTATATAGAGGCATGCTCAGAAACTTTTTTGTCATATGTAGATTCAACTCACAGCGTTGAACCTTTCTTTTGATAGAGCAGTTTTGAAAAACTCTTTTATCGATTCTGCAAGTAGACATTTGGAGTGCTTTGAGGGCTCTGGTGCAAAAGGAAATGTCTTCCCATAGAAACTAGACTGAAGCATTCTCAGCAACTTCTTTGTGACGTTTGCATTCATCTCACAGTGTTGAACATACCTTTCCATAGAGTAGTTTTGAAACACTGTTTTTGTAGAATCGGCCAGTGGATATTTGGACTGCTTTGAGGCCTTCATCGGGAACGGGAATATCTTCACATAAACACTAGAGAGAAGCATTCTCAGAAACTTCTTTGTCATCTGTCCATTCAACTCACAGAGTTGAACCTTCCTTTTTATGGAGCAGTTTTGAAACACTCCTTTTGGAGAATCTGCAGGTGGATATTTGGAGCGCTTTGAGGCCTATGGTAGAAAAAGAAATATCTGCCTCTAAAAACCAGACAGAAGCATTCTGAGAAAAGTTCTTTGTGATGTCTGCATTCAACTAGCAGAGTTGAACCTTCCTTTTGATAGGGCAGTTTGGAAACACTCTTTTTGTAGAATCTGCATGTGGATATCTGGAGCGGTTTGAGGCCTACGGTCAAAAAGGAAATATCTTCCTGGGAAAAATAGACGAAAGCATCCTCAGAAACTGCTTTGTGATATGTGCATTCGACTCACTGAGTTGAAACTTTTTTTGGATAGAGCAGTTTTGAAACACTCTGTAGAATCTGAAAGTGGATATTTGGAGCTCTTTGAGGGCTATGGCGGAAAAGAAAATATATTCACATTAAACTAGACAGCAGCATTCTCAGAAACTTCTTTAGGATGTTTGCAGTAAACTCACAGAGTTGAAACCTACCTTTCCGTAGAGCAGTTTTGAAACACTCTGTTTGTGGGATCCGCAAGTAGATATTTGGACCGCTTTGAGACCTTTGCTGGAAATGGGAATATCTTCACATATAAACTAGACAGAAGCATTCTCAGAAACTTCTTCGTGATGTGTGCATTCTACTCCCAAATTTGAATCTTCCTTTTCATGAAGCAGTTTTGAAACACTCTATTTGTCCAATCTACAATGGGATAATTGGAACGCTTTGATGCCCATGGTAGAAAAGGAAATATCCTCATATAAAAACTAGACAGAAGGATTCACAGAAAATGCTTTGTGATGTGTGCATTCAAATCACGGAGTTGAATCTTTCTTTTGTTAGAGCAGTTTTGAAACACTGTTTCTGTGGAATCTGCCAGCGGACACTAGGAGCGCTTTGAGGGCTATGGTGGAGAAGGAAATATCTTCACATAAAAACTAGAAAGAAGCATTCTCAGAACCATTTATGTTAAGCGTGCATTCAACTCACAGAGTTGAACCTTCCTTTTGATAGAACAGTTTTGAAACACTCTTTTGAACAATTGCAGGTGAATATTTGGAGGGCTTTGAAGCCTTTGTTGGAAATGGGAATATCTTCACACACAAACTAGCCAGAAGCATTCTCAGAAACTTCTTTGTGATGTGTGCGTTGAACCCAGGGAGATGAACCTTTCCTTTGATAGAGCAGTTTTGAAACGTGTTTTTGTAAGATCTGCAAGCGGATAGTTGGCTTCGGTTTGTGTCCTTTGGTGGAAACGGGAATATCTTCTAATAAAAACTAGACAGAAATATTCTCAGAATCTTCTTTGTGATGTGGGCATTCAGCTAACACAGTTGAACGTTTCTTTTCACAGAGCAGTTTTGAAACACTCTTTTGGTAGAATCTGCCAGTGGATATTTGGAGCGCTTTGAGGGCTATTGTGCCAACGGAAATATCTGCCCCTAAAAACTAGACAGAAGCATTCTCAGAAACTGCTTTGGGATGTTTGCATTCAACTCACAGAGTTGAACATACCTCTTCATAGAGCAGTTTTGAAAACCTCTTTTTGTAGAATCTGCAAGTGGATATTCGGACCACTTTGAGGCCTTCATAGGAAACAGTAATATCATCACATAAAAACTAGATAGAAGCATTGTCAGAAAGTTCTTTTTGATGTGTGAATTCAACTCACAGAGTTGAACCTTCCTTCAATAGAGCAGTTGTGAAACACTCTTTTTCTAGAATCTGCAAGTAGATACTTGGAGCGCTTTGAGGCCTTCGTTGGAAACCGGAATATCTTCACAGGAAAAGTAGATAGAGGCATGCTCAGAAACTTTTTTGTCATATGTAGATTCAACTCACAGCGTTGAACCTTTCTTTTGATAGAGCAGTTTTGAAAAACTCTTTTATCGAATCTGCAAGTAGACATTTGGAGTGCTTTGACGGCTCTGGTGCAAAAGGAAATGTCTTCCCATAGAACCTAGACTGAATCATTCTCAGCAACTTCTTGGTGACGTTTGCATTCATCTCACAGTGTTGAACATACCTTTGCATAGAGTAGTTTCGAAACACTATTTTTGTAGAATCTGCAAGTGGACATTCGGACTGCTTTGAGGCCTTCATCGGAAACGGGAATATCTTCACATAAACACTAGACAGAAGCATTCTCAGAAACTTCTTTGTGGTCTGTCCATTCAACTCACAGAGTTGAACCTTCCTTTTTATGGAGCAGTTTTGAAACACTGTTTTCGGAGGATCTGCAAGTGGATATTTGGAGCGCTTTGAGGCCTATGGTAGTAAAAGAAATATCTGCCTATGACAACTAGACAGAAGCATTCCGAGAAAAGTTCTTTGTGATGTTTGCATTCAACTAGCAGAGTTGAACCTTCCTTTTGATAGGGCAGTTTGGAAACACTCTTTTTGTAGAATCTGCATGTGGATATCTGGAGCGGTTTGAGGCCTACGGTCAAAAAGGAAATATCTTCCTGGGAAAAATAGACGAAAGCATTCTCAGCAAAGGGCTTTGTGATATGCGCATTCGACTCACCGAGTTGAAACTTTTTTTTGATAGAGCAGTTTTGAAACACTCTGTAGAACCTGAAAGTGGATATTTGGAGCTCTTTCAGGGCTATGACGGAAAAGAAAATATATTCACATTAAAGTAGACAGCAGCATTCTCAGAAACTTCTTTAGGATGTTTGCAGTAAACTCACAGAGTTGAACCTACCTTTCCGTAGAGCAGTTTTGAAACACTCTGTTTGTGGGATCCGCAAGTGGATATTTGGACCGCTTTGAGACCTTTGCTGGAAATGGGAATATCTGCACATTTAAACTAGACAGAAGCATTCTCAGAAACTTCTTCGTGATGTGTGCATTCTCCTCCCGAATTTGAATCTTCCTTTTTATGAAGCAGTTTTGAAACACTCTGTTTGTGCAATCCACAATTGGATAATTGGAACGCTTTGATGCCCATGGTAGAAAAGGAAATATCCTCATATAAAAACTAGACAGAAGGATTCACAGAAAATGCTTTGTGATGTGTGCATTCAAATCACGGAGTTGAATCTTTCTTTTGTCAGAGCAGTTTTGAAACACTGTTTCTGTGGAATCTGCCAGCGGACTCTTGGAGCTCTTTGAGGGCTATGGTGGAGAAGGAAATATCTTCCCATAAAAACTAGAAAGAAGCATTCTCAGAAACATTTATGTGAAGCGTGCATTCAACTCACAGAGTTGAACCTTCCTTTTGATACAACAGTTTTGAAACACTCTTTTGAACAATTGCAGGTGAATCTTTGGAGCGCTTTGAAGCCTTTGTTGGAAATGGGAATATCTTCACACACAAACTAGCCAGAAGTATTCCCAGAAACTTCTTTGTGATGTGTGCGTTGAACCCAGAGAGATGAACCTTTCCTTTGATAGAGCAGTTTTGAAACGTGTTTTTGTAAGATCTGCAAGCGGATAATTGGCTTTGCTTTGTGTCCCTTGGTGGAAACGGGAATATCTTCTAATAAAAACTAGACAGAGATATTCTCAGAAACTTCTTTGTGATGTGGGCATTCAACTAACACAGTCGAACATTTCTTTTCATGAAGCAGTTTTGAAACACTCTTTTGGACGAATCTGCCAGTGGATATTTGGAGCGCTTTGAGGGCTATTGTGCCAATGGAAATATCTGCCCCTAAAAACTAGACAGAAGCATTCTCAGAAACTGCTTTGGGATGTCTGCATTCAACTCACAGAGTTGAACATACCTCTTCATAGAGCAGTTTCGAAAACCTCTTTTTGTAGAATCTGCAAGTGGATATTCGGAACACTTTGAGGCCTTCATAGGAAACAGTAATATCATCACATAAAAACTAGATAGAAGCATTGTCAGAAAGTTCTTTGTGATGTGTGAATTCAACACACAGAGTTGAACCTTCCTTTAATAGAGCAGTTTTGAAACACTCTTTTTCTAGAATCTGCCAGTAGATATTTGGAGCGCTTTGAGGCCTTCGTTGGAAACCGGAATATCTTCACATAAAACGTAGATAGAGGCATTCTCAGAAACTTTTTCGTGATATGTGGATTCAACTCACAGCGTTGAACCTTTCTTTTGATAGAGCAGTTTTGTAAAACTCTTTTATCGAATCTGCAAGTAGACATTTGGAGTGCGTTGAGGGCTGTGGTGCAAAAGGAAATGTCTTCCCATAGAAAGTAGACTGAAGCATTCTCAGCAACTTCTTGGTGACGTTTGCATTCATCTCACAGTGTTGAACATACCTTTACATAGAGTGGTTTTGAAACACTGTTTTTGTAGAATCGGCAAGTGGATATTTGGACTGCTTTGAGGCCTTCATCGGAAACGGGAATATCTTCACTTAAACACTAGAGAGAGAAGCATTCTCAGAAACTTCTTTGTGGTCTGTCCATTCAACTCACAGAGTTGAACCTTCCTTTTTATGGAGCAGTTTTGAAACACTGTTTTTGGAGGATCTGCAAGTGGATATTTGGAGCGCTTTGAGGCCTATGGTAGAAAAAGAAATATCTGCCTATGACAACTAGACAGAAGCATTCTGAGAAACTTCTTTGTGATGTTTGCATTCAACTACCAGAGTTGAACCTTCCTTTTGATAGGGCAGTTTGGAAACACTCTTTTTGTAGAATCTGCATGTGGATATCTGGAGCGATTTGAGGCCTATGGTCAAAAAGGAAATAACTTCCTGGGAAAAATAGACGAAAGCATTCTCAGAAACTGCTTTGTGATATGTGCATTCGACTCACCGAGTTGAAACTTTTTTTTGATAGAGCAGTTTTGAAACACTCTGTAGAATCTGAAAGTGGATATTTGGAGCTCTTTGAGGGCTATGGCAGAAAAGAAAATATATTCACATTAAAGTAGACAGCAGCATCCTCAGAAACTTCTTTATGATGTTTGCATTAAACTCACAGAGTTGAACATACCTTTCCATAGAGCAGTTTTGAAACACTCTTTTTGGGGAATCCGCAAGTGGATATTTGGACCGCTTTGAGACCTTTGCTGGAAATGGGAATATCTTCACATATAAACTAGACAGAAGCATTCTCAGAAACTTCTTGGTGATGTGTGCATTGTACTCCCAAATTTGAATCTTCCTTCTCATGGAGCAGTTTTGAAACACTCTGTTTGTGCAATCTACAATTGGAGAATTGGAACGCTTGGATGCCCGTGGTAGAAAAGGAAATATCCTCATATAAAAACTAGACAGAAGGATTCACAGAAAATGCTTTGTGATGTGTGCATTCAAATCACGGAGTTGAATCTTTCTTTTGTCAGAGCAGTTTTGAAACACTGTTTCTGTGGAATCTGCCAGCGGACACTTGGAGCGCTTTGAGGGCTACGGTGGAGAAGGAAATATCTTCACATAAAAACTAGAAAGAAGCATTCTCAGAAACATTTCTGTGAAGCATGCATTCAACTCACAGAGTTGAACCTTCCTTTTGTTAGAACAGTTTTGAAAAACTCTTTTGAACAATTGCAGGTGAATATTTGGAGCGCTTTGAAGCCTTTGCTGGAAATGGGAATATCTTCACGCACAAAGTAGCCAGAAGCATTCTCAGAAACTTCTTTGTGATGTGTGCGTTGAACCCAGAGAGATGAACCTTTTCCTTTGATAGAGCAGTTTTGAAACGTGTTTTTGTAAGATCGGCAAGTGGATAATTGGCTTCGCTTTGTGTCCTTTGTTGGAAACGGGAATATCTTCTAATAAAAACTAGACAGAAATATTCTCACAATCATCTTTGTGATGTGGGCATTCAACTAACACAGTTGAACATTTCTTTTCACAGAGCCGTTTTGAAACACTCTTTTGCTAGAATCTGCCAGTGGATACTTGGAGCGCTTTGAGGGCTATTGTGCCAATGGAGATATCTTCCCCTAAAAACTAGACAGAAGCATTCTCAGAAACTACATTGTGATGTTTGCATTCGACTCACAGAGTTGAACATACCTCTTCATAGAGCAGTTTTGAAAACCTTTTTTGTAGAACCTGAAAGTGGATATTCGGTCCTCTTTGAAGCCTTCATAGGAAACAGTAATATCTTCACATAAAACCTAGCTAGAAGCATTGTCAGAAAGTTCTTTGTGATGTGTGAATTCAACTCACAGAGTTGAACCTTCCTTTAATAGAGAAGTTTTGAAACACTCTTTTTCTAGAATCTGCAAGTAGATATTTGGAGCGCTTGGAGGCCTTCGTTGGAAACCGGAATATCTTCACAGGAAATGTAGATAGAGGCATGCTCAGAAACTTTTTTGTCATATGTAGATTCAACTCACAGCGTTGAACCTTTCTTTTGATAGAGCAGTTTTGAAAAACTCTTTTATCGAATCTGCAAGTAGACATTTGGAGTGCTTTGAGGGCTCTGGTGCAAAAGGAAATGTCTTCCCATAGAAAGTAGACTGAAGCATTCTCAGCAACTTCTTGGTGACGTTTGCATTCATCTCACAGTGTTGAACATACCTTTCCCTAGAGTGGTTTTGAAACACTGTTTTTGTAGAATCGGCAAGTGGATATTTGGACTGCTTTGAGGCCTTCATCGGAAAAGGGAATATCTTCACATAAACACTAGAGAGAAGCATTCTCAGAAACTTCTTTGTGGTCTGTCCATTCAACTCACAGAGTTGAACCTTCCTTTTTATGGAGCAGTTTTGAAACACTGTTTTCGGAGAATCTGCAAGTGGATATTTGGAGCGCTTTGAGGCCTATGGTAGAAAAAGAAATATCTGCCTATGACAACTAGACAGAAGCATTCTGAGAAACTTCTTTGTGATGTTTGCATTGAACTACCAGAGGTGAACCTTCCTTTTGATAGGGCAGTTTGGAAACACTCTTTTTGTAGAATCTGCATGTGGATATCTGGAGCGATTTGAGGCCTACGGTCCAAAAGGAAATATCTTCCTGGGAAAAATAGACGAAAGCATTCTCAGAAACTGCTTTGTGATATGTGCATTCGACTCACCGAGTTGAAACTTTTTTTGGATAGAGCAGTTTTGAAACACTCTGTAGAATCTGAAAGTGGATATTTGGAGCTCTTTGAGGGCTATGGCGGAAAAGAAAAGATATTCACATTAAACTAGACAGCAGCATTCCCAGTAAACTTCTTTAGGATGTTTGCAGTAAACTCACAGAGTTGAACATACCTTTCCGTAGAGCAGTTTTGAAACACTCTGTTTGTGGGATCCGCAAGTGGATATTTGGACCGCTTTGAGACCTTTGCTGGAAACGGGAATATCTTCACATATAAACTGGACAGAAGCATTCTCAGAAACTTCCTCGTGATGTGTGCATTCTACTCCCGAATTTGAATCTTCCTTTTCATGAAGCAGTTTTGAAACACTCTGTTTGTGCGATCCACAATTGGATAATTGGAACGCTTTGATGCCCATGGTAGAAAAGGAAATATCCTCATATGAAAACTAGACAGAAGGATTCACAGAAAATGCTTTGTGATGTGTGCATTCAAATCACGGAGTTGAATCTTTCTTTTGTTAGAGCAGTTTTGAAACACTCTTTCTGTGGAATCTGCCAGCGGACACTTGGAGCGCTTTGAGGGCTATGGTGGAGAAGGAAATATCTTCACATAAAAACTAGAAAGAAGCATTCTCAGAAACATTTATGTGAAGCGTGCATTCAACTCACAGCAGTTGAACCTTCCTTTTGATACAACAGTTTTGAAACACTCTTTTGAACAATTGCAGGTGAATCTTTGGAGCGCTTTGAAGCCTTTGTTGGAAATGGGAATATCTTCACACACAAACTAGCCAGAAGCATTCTCAGAAACTTCTTTGTGATGTGTGTGTTGAACCCAGAGAGATGAACCTTTCCTTCGATAGAGCAGTTTTGAAACGTGTTTTTGTAAGATCGGCAAGCGGATAATTGGCTTCGCTTTGTGTCCTTTGGTGGAAACGGGAATATCTTCTAATAAAAACTAGACAGAAATATTCTCAGAATCTTCTTTGTGATGTGGGCATTCAACAAACACAGTTGAACGTTTCTTTTCACAGAGCAGTTTTGAAACACTCTTTTGGTAGAATCTGCCAGTGGATATTTGGAGCGCTTTGAGGGCTATTGTGCCAATGGAAATAACTTCCCCTAAAAACTAGACAGAAGCATTCTCAGAAACTGCTTTGTGATGTTTGCATTCAACTCACAGAGTTGAACCTACCTCTTCATAGAGCAGTTTGGAAAACCTCTTCTTGTAGAATCTGCAAGTGGATATTCGGACCACTTTGAGGCTTTCATAGGAAACAGTAATATCTTCACATAAAAACTAGATAGAAGCATTGTCAGAAAGTTCTTTGTGATGTGTGAATTCAACTCACAGAGTTGAACCTTCCTTTAATAGAGCAGTTTTGAAACACTCTTCTTCTAGAATCTGCAAGTAGATATTTGGAGCGTTTTGAGGCCTTCGTTGGAAACCGGAATATCTTCACAGAAAAAGTAGATAGAGGCATTCTCAGAAACTTTTTCGTGATATGTGGATTCAACTCAAAGCGTTGAACCTTTCTTTTGATAGAGCAGTTTTGTAAAACTCTTTTATCGAATCTGCAAGTAGACATTTGGAGTGCTTTGGGGGCTGTGGTGCAAAAGGAAATGTCTTCCCATAGAAACTAGACTGAAGCATTCTCAGCAACTTCTTTGTGACGTTTGCATTCATCTCACAGTGTTGAACATACCTTTCCATAGAGTAGTTTTGAAACACTGTTTTTGTAGAATCGGGAAGTGGATATTTGGACTGCTTTGAGGCCTTCATCGGAAACGGGAATATCTTCACATAAACACTAGAGAGAAGCATCCTCAGAAACTTCTTTGTCATCTGTCCATTCAACTCACAGAGTTGAACCTTCCTTTTTCTGGAGCAGTTTTGAAACACTCTTTTTGGAGAATCTGCAAGTGGATATTTGGAGCGCTTTGAGGCCTATGGTAGAAAAATAAATATCTGCCTCTAAAAACCAGACAGAAGCATTCCGAGAAACTTCTTTGTGATGTTTGCATTCAACTAGCAGAGTTGAACCTTTCTTTTGATAGGGCAGTTTGGAAACACTCTTTTTGTAGAATCTGCATGTGGATATCTGGAGCGGTTTGAGGCCTACGGTCAAAAAGGAAATATCTTCCTGGGAAAAATAGACGAAAGCATTCTCAGAAACTGCTTTGTGATATGGGCATTCGACTCACCGAGTTGAATCTTTTTTTTGATAGAGCAGTTTTGAAACACTCTGTAGAATCTGAAAGTGGATATTTGGAGCTCTTTGAGGGCTATGGCGGAAAAGAAAATATATTCACATTAAACTAGAGAGGAGCATTCTCAGAAACTTCTTTAGGATGTTTGCAGTAAACTCACAGAGTTGAACATACCTTTCCGTAGAGCAGTTTTGAAACACTCTGTTTGTGGGATCCGCAAGTGGATATTTGGACCGCTTTGAGAACTTTGCTGGAAATGGCAATATCTTCACGTATTAACTAGACAGAAGCATTCTCAGAAACTTCTTCGTGATGTGTGCATTCTACTCCCGAATTTGAATCTTCCTTTTCATGAAGCAGTTTTGAAACACTCTGTTTGTGCAATCCACAATTGGATAATTGGAACGCTTTGATGCCCATGGTAGAAAAGGAAATATCCTCATATAAAAACCAGACGGAAGGATTCACAGAAAATGCTTTGTGATGTGTGCATTCAAATCGCGGAGTTGAATCTTTCTTTTGTTAGAGCAGTTTTGAAACACTGTTTCTGTGGAATCTGCCAGCGGACACTTGGAGCGCTTTGAGGGCTATGGTGGAGAAGGAAATATCTTCACATAAAAACTAGAAAGAAGCATTCTCAGAAACATTTATGTGAAGCGTGCATTCAACTCACAGAGTTGAACCTTCCTTTTGATACAACAGTTTTGAAACATTCTTTTGAACAATTGCAGGTGAATCTTTGGAGCGCTTTGAAGCCTTTGTTGGAAATGGGAATATCTTCACACACAAACTAGCCAGAAGCATTCTCAGAAACTTCTTTGTGATGTGTGCGTTGAACCCAGAGAGATGAACCTTTCCTTCGATAGAGCAGTTTTGAAACGTGTTTTTGTAAGGTCGGCAAGCGGATAAATGGCTTCGCTTTGTGTCCTTTGGTGGAAACGGGAATATCTTCTAATAAAAACTAGACAGAAATATTCTCAGAATCTCCTTTGTGATGTGGGCATTCAACTAACACAGTTGAACATTTCTTTTCACAGGGCAGTTTTGAGACACTCTTTTGGTAGAATCTGCCAGTGGATATTTGGAGCGCTTTGAGGGCTGTTGTGCCAATGGAAATATCTGCCCCTAAAATCTAGACAGAAGCATTCTCTGAAACTACTTTGTGATGTTTGCATTCAACTCACAGAGTTGAACATACCTCTTCATAGAGCAGTTTTGAAAACCTCTTTTTGAAGAATCTGCAAGTGGATATTCGGACCACTTTGAGGCCTTCATAGGAAACAGTAATATCTTCACATAAAAACTAGATAGAAGCATTGTCAGAAAGTTCTTTGTGATGTGTGAATTCAACTCACAGAGTTGAAACTTCCTTTAATAGAGCAGTTTTGAAACACTCTTTTTCTAGAATCTGCAAGTAGATATTTGGAGCGCTTTGAGGCCTTCTTTGGAAACCGGAATATCTTCACATAAAAAGTAGATAGAGGTATTCTCAGAAACTTTTTTGTGATATGTAGATTCAACTCACAGCGTTGAACCTTTCTTTTGATAGAGCAGTTTTGAAAAACTCTTTTATCGAATCTGCATGTGGACATTTGGAGTGCTTTGAGGGCTGTGGTGCAAAAGGAAATGTCTTCACATAGAAACTAGACTGAAGCATTCTCAGCAACTTCTTTGTGACGTTTGCATTCATCTCACAGTGTTGAACATACCTTTCCATAGAGTAGTTTTGAAACACTATTTTTGTAGAATCTGCAAGTGGATATTTGGACTGCTTTGAGGCCTTCATCGGAAACGGGAATATCTTCACATAAACACTAGACAGAAGCATTCTCAGAAACTTCTTTGTGATCTGTCCATTCAACTCACAGAGTTGAACCTTCCTTTTTATGGAGCAGTTTTGAAACACTGTTTTTGGAGAATCTGCAAGTAGATATTTGGAGCGCTTTGTGGCCTATGGTAGAAAAAGAAATATCTGCCTATAACAGCTAGACAGAAGCATTCCGAGAAACTTCTCTGTGATGTTTGCCTTCAACTAGCAGAGTTGAACCTTCCTTTTGATAGGGCAGTTTGGAAACACTCTTTTTGTAGAATCTGCATGTGGATATCTGGAGCGGTTTGAGGCCTACGGTCAAAAAGGAAATATCTTCCTGGGAAAAATAGACGAAAGCATTCTCAGAAACTGCTTTGTGATATGTGCATTCGACTGACCGAGTTGAAACTTTTTTTTGATAGAGCAGTTTTGAAACACTCTGTAGAATCTGAAAGTGGATATTTGGAGCTCTTTGAGGGCTATGGCGGAAAAGAAACTATATTCACATTAAAGTAGACAGCAGCATTCTCAGCAAACATCTTTAGGATGTTTGCAGTAAACTCACAGAGTTGAACATACCTTTCCGTAAAGCAGTTTTGAAACCCTCTGTTTGTGGGATCTGCAAGTGGATATTTGGACCGCTTTGAGACCTTTGCTGGAAATGGGAATATCTTCACATATAAACTAGACAGAAGCATTCTCAGAAACTTCTTCGTGATGTGTGCATTGTACTCCCAAATTTGAATCTTCCTTCTCATGGAGCAGTTTTGAAACACTCTGTTTGTGCAATCTACAATTGGAGAATTGGAACGCTTGGATGCCCGTGGTAGAAAAGGAAATATCCTCATACAAAAACTAGACAGAAGGATTCACAGAAAATGCTTTGTGATGTGTGCATTCAAATCACGGAGTTGAATCTTTCTTTTGTTAGAGCAGTTTTGAAACACTGTTTCTGTGGAATCTGCCAGGGGACACTTGGAGCGCTTTGAGGGCTATGGTGGAGAAGGAAATATCTTCACATAAAAACTAGAAAGAAATATTCTCAGAAATCTTCTTTGTGATGTGGGCATTCAACTAACACAGTTGAACATTTCTTTTCACAGAACAGTTTTGAAACACTCTTTTGAACAATTGCAGGTGAATCTTTGGAACGCTTTGAAGCCTTTGTTGGAAATAGGAATATATTCACACACAAACTAGCCAGAAGCATTCTCAGAAACTTCTTTGTGATGTGTGCGTTGAACCCAGAGAGATGAACCTTTCCTTTGATAGAGCAGTTTTGAAACGTGTTTTTGTAAGATCTGCAAGCAGATAATTGGCTTCGCTTTGTGTCCTTTGGTGGAAACGGGAATATCTTCTAATAAAAACTAGACAGAAATATTCTCAGAATCTCCTTTGTGATGTGGGCATTCAACTAACACAGTTGAACATTTCTTTTCACAGAGCAGTTTTGAAACACTCTTTTGGTAGAATCTGCCAGTGGATATTTGGAGCGCTTGGAGGGCTATTGTGCCAATGGAAATATCTGCCCCTAAAAACTAGACAGAAGCATTCTCAGAAACTACTTCGTGATGTTTGCATTCAACACACAGAGTTGAACATACCTCTTCACAGAGCAGTTTTGAAAACCTCTTTCTGTAGAATCTGCAAGTGGATATTCGGACCACTTTGAGGCCTTCATAGGAAACAGTAATATCTTCACATAAAAACTAGACAGAAGCATTGTCAGAAAGTTCTTTGTGATGTGTGAATTCAACTCACAGAGTTGAACCTTCCTTTAATAGAGCAGTTTTGAAACACTCTTTTTCTAGAATCTGCAAGTAGATATTTGGAGCGCTTTGAGGCCTTCGTTGGAAACCGGAATATCTTCACATAAAAAGTAGATAGAGGCATGCTCAGCAAACTTTTTTGTCATATGTAGATTCAACTCACAGCGTTGAACCTTTCTTTTGATAGAGCAGTTTTGAAAAACTCTTTTATCGAATCTGCAAGTAGACATTTGGAGTGCTTTGAGGGCTCTGGTGCAAAAGGAAATGTCTTCCCATAGAAACTAGACTGAAGCATTCTCAGCAACTTCTTGGTGACGTTTGCATTCATCTCACAGTGTTGAACATACCTTTAGATAGAGTGGTTTTGAAACACTGTTTTTGTAGAATCGGCAAGTGGATATTTGGACTGCTTTGAGGCCTTCATCGGAAACGGGAATATCTTCACATAAACACTAGAGAGAAGCATTCTCAGAAACTTCTTTGTCATCTGTCCATTCAACTCACAGAGTTGAACCTTCCTTTTTATGGAGCAGTTTTGAATCACTCCTTTTGGAGTATCTGCAGGTGGATATTTGGAGCGCTTTGAGGCCTATGGTAGAAAAAGAAATATCTGCCTCTAAAAACCAGACAGAAGCATTCTGAGGAAACTTCTTTGTGATGTTTGCATTCAACTACCAGAGTTGAACCTTCCTTTTGATAGGGCAGTTTGGAAACAGTCTTTTTGTAGAATCTGCATGTGGATATCTGGAGCGATTTGAGGCCTACGGTCCAAAAGGAAATATCTTCCTGGGAAAAATAGACGAAAGCATCCTCAGAAACTGCTTTGTGATATGTGCATTCGACTCACCGAGTTGAAACTTTTTTTGGATAGAGCAGTTTTGAAACACTCTGTAGAATCTGAAAGTGGATATTTGGAGCTCTTTGAGGGCTATGGCGGAAAAGAAAATATATTCACATTAAACTAGACAGCAGCATTCCCAGAAACTTCTTTAGGATGTTTGCAGTAAACTCACAGAGTTGAACATACCTTTCCGTAGAGCAGTTTTGAAACACTCTGTTTGTGGGATCCGCAAGTGAATATTTGGACCCCTTTGAGACCCTTGCTGGAAACGGGAATATCTTCACATATAAACTAGACAGAAGCATTCTCAGAAACTTCTTTGTGATGTGTGCATTCTACACCCAAATTTGAATCTTCCTTTTCATGAAGCAGTTTTGAAACACTCTATTTGTGCAATCTACAATTGGATAATTGGAAATCTTTGATGCCCATGGTAGAAAAGGAAATATCCTCATATAAAAACTAGACAGAAGGATTCACAGAAAATGCTTTGTGATGTGTGCATTCAAATCACGGAGTTGAATCTTTCTTTTGTTAGAGCAGTTTTGAAACACTGTTTCTGTGGAATCTGCCAGCGGACACTTGGAGCGCTTTGAAGGCTATGGTGGAGAAGGAAATATCTTCACATAAAAACTAGAAAGAAGCATTCTCAGAAACATTTATGTGAAGCGCGCATTCAACTCACAGAGTTGAACCTTCCTTTTGATACAACAGTTTTGAAACACTCTTTTGAACAATTGCAGGTGAATCTTTGGAGCGCTTTGAAGCCTTTGTTGGAAATGGGAATATCTTCACACTCAAACTAGCCAGAAGCATTCCCAGAAACTTCTTTGTGATGTGTGCGTTGAACCCAGAGAGATGAACCTTTCCTTTCATAGAGCAGTTTTGAAACGTGTTTTTGTAAGATCGGCAAGCGGATAAGTGGCTTCGCTTTGTGTCCTTTGGTGGAAACGGGAATATCTTCTAATAAAAACTAGACAGAAATATTCTCAGAATCTTCTTTGTGATGTGGGCATTCAACTAACACAGTTGAACATTTCTTTTCACAGAGCAGTTTTGAAACACTCTTTTGGTAGAATCTGCCAGTGGATATTTGGAGCGCTTTGAGGGCTATTGTGCCAATGGAAATATCTGCCCCTAAAAACTAGACAGAAGCATTCTCAGAAACTGCTTCGTGATGTTTGCATTCAACTCACAGACTTGAACATACCTCTGCATAGAGCAGTTTTGAAAACCTCTTTTTGTAGAATCTGCAAGTGGATATTCGGACCACTTTGAGGCCTTCATAGGAAACAGTAATATCTTCACATAAAAACTAGATAGAAGCATTGTCAGAAAGTTCTTTGTGATGTGTGAATTCAACTCACAGAGTTGAACCTTCCTTTAATAGAGCAGTTTTGAAACACTCTTTTTCTAGAATCTGCAAGTCGATATTTGGAGCGCTTTGAGGCCTTCTTTGGAAACCGGAATATCTTCACATAAAAAGTAGATAGAGGCATTCTCAGAAACTTTTTTGTGATATGTAGATTCAACTCACAGCGTTGAACCTTTCTTTGGATGGAGCAGTTTTGAAAAACCCTTTTATCGAATCTGCAGGTAGACATTTGGGGTGCTTTGAGGGCTGTGGTGCAAAAGGTAATGTCTTCCCATAGAAACTAGACTGAAGCATTCTCAGCAACTTCTTTGTGACGTTTGCATTCATCTCACAGTGTTGAACATACCTTTCCATAGAGTAGTTTTGAAACACTATTTTTGTAGAATCTGCAAGTGGATATTTGGACTGCTCTGAGGCCTTCATCGGAAACGGGAATATCTTCACATAAACACTAGACAGAAGCATTCTCAGAAACTTCTTTGTGGTCTGTCCATTCAATTCACAGAGTTGAACCTTCCTTTTTATGGAGCAGTTTTGAAACACTGTTTTTGGAGAATCCGCAAGTGGATATTTGGAGCGCTTAGAGGCCTATGGTAGAAAAAGAAATATCTGCCTATGACAACTAGACAGAAGCATTCTGAGAAACTTCTTTGTGATGTTTGCATTCAACTACCAGAGTTGAACCTTCCTTTTGATAGGGCAGTTTGGAAACACTCTTTTCGCAGAATCTGCATGTGGATATCTGGAGCGATTTGAGGCCTACTGTCCAAAAGGAAATATCTTCCTGGGAAAAATAGACGAAAGCATTCTCAGAAACTGCTTTGTGATATGTGCATTCGACTCACCGAGTTGAAACTTTTTTTGGATAGAGCAGTTTTGAAACACTCTGTAGAATCTGAAAGTGGATATTTGGAGCTCTTTGAGGGCTATGGCGGAAAAGAAAATATATTCACATTAAACTAGACAGCAGCATTCTCAGAAACTTCTTTAGGATGTTTGCAGTAAACTCAAAGAGTTGAACATACCTTTCCGTAGAGCAGTTTTGAAACACTCTGTTTGTGGGATCCGCAAGTGGATATTTGGACCGCTTTGAGACCTTTGCTGGAAATGGGAATACCTGCACATTTACACTAGACAGAAGCATTCTCAGAAACTTCTTCGTGATGTGTGCATTCTACTCCCAAATTTGAATCTTCCTTTTCATGAAGCAGTTTTGAAACACTCTGTTTGTGCAATCCACAATTGGATAATTGGAACGCTTTGATGCCCATGGTAGAAAAGGAAATATCCTCATATAAAAACTAGACACAAGGATTCACAGAAAATGCTTTGTGATGTGTGCATTCAAATCACGGAGTTGAATCTTTCTTTTGTCAGAGCAGTTTTGAAACACTGTTTCTGTGGAATCTGCCAGCGGACACTTGGAGCGCTTTGAGGGCTATGGTGGAGAAGGAAATATCTTCCCTAAAAATTAGAAAGAAGCATTCTCAGAAACATTTATGTGAAGCGTGCATTCAACTCACAGAGTTGAACCTTCCCTTTCATACAACAGTTTTGAAACACTCTTTTGAACAATTGCAGGTGAATCTTTGGAGCGCTTTGAAGCCTTTGTTGGAAATGGGAATATCTTCACACACAAACTAGCCAGAAGCATTCTCAGAAACTTCTTTGTGATGTGTGCGTTGAACCCAGAGAGATGAACCTTTCCTTTGATAGAGCAGTTTTGAAACGTGTTTTTGTAAGATCTGCAAGCGGATAATTGGCTTCGCTTTGTGTCCTTTGGTGGAAACGGGAATATCTTCTAATAAAAACTAGACAGAAATATTCTCAGAATCTTCTTTGTGATGTGGGCATTCAACTAACACAGTTGAACCTTTCTTTTCACAGAGCAGTTTTGAAACACCCTTTTGGTAGAATCTGCCAGTGGATATTTGGAGCGCTTTGAGGGCTATTGTGCCAACGGAAATATCTGCCCCTAAAAACTAGACAGAAGCATTCTCAGTAAACTACTTTGTGATGTTTGCATTCAACTCACAGAGTTGAACATACCTCTTCATAGAGCAGTTTTGAAAACCTCTTTTTGTAGAATCTGCAAGTGGATATTCGGACCACTTTGAGGCCTTCATAGGAAACAGTAATATCTTCACATAAAAACTAGATAGAAGCATTGTCAGAAAGTTCGTTGTGATGTGTGAATTCAACTCACAGAGTTGAAGCTTCCTTTAATAGAGCAGTTTTGAAACACTCTTTTTCTAGAATCTGCAAGTAGATATTTGGAGCGCTTTGAGGCCTTCGTTGGAAACCGGAATATCTTCACATAAAAAGTAGATAGAGGCATTCTCAGAAACTTTTTGTGATATGTAGATTCAACTCACAGCGTTGAACCTTTCTTTGGATGGAGCAGTTTTGAAAAACTCTTTTATCGAATCTGCAGGTAGACATTTGGGGTGCTTTGAGGGCTGTGGTGCAAAAGGAAATGTCTTCCCATAGAAACTAGACTGAAGCATTCTCAGCAACTTCTTGGTGACGTTTGCATTCATCTCACAGTGTTGAACATACCTTTCCATAGAGTGGTTTTGAAACACTGTTTTTGTATAATCGGCAAGTGGATATTTGGACTGCTTTCAGGCCTTCATCGGAAACGGGAATATCTTCACATAAACACTAGAGAGAAGCATTCTCAGAAACTTCTTTGTGATCTGTCCATTCAACTCACAGAGTTGAACCTTCCTTTTTATGGAGCAGTTTTGAATCACTGTTTTTGGAGAATCTGCAAGTGGATATTTGGAGCGCTTTGAGGCCTATGGTAGAAAAAGAAATATCTGCCTCTAAAAACCAGACAGAAGCATTCCGAGAAACTTCTTTGTGATGTTTGCATTCAACTAGCAGAGTTGAACCTTCCTTTTGATAGGGCAGTTTGGAAACACTCTTTTTGTAGAATCTGCATGTGGATATCTGGAGTGGTTTGAGGCCTACGGTCAAAAAGGAAATATCTTCCTGGGAAAAATAGACGAAAGCATTCTCAGAAACTGCTTTGTGATATGTGCATTCGACTCACCGAGTTTAAACTTTTTTTTGATAGAGCAGTTTTGAAACACTCTGTAGAATCTGAAAGTGGATATTTGGAGCTCTTTGAGGGCTATGGCGGAAAAGAAAATATATTCACATTAAAGTAGACAGCAGCATTCTCAGAAACTTCTTTAGGATGTTTGCAGTAAACTCACAGAGTTGAACATACCTTTCCGTAAAGCAGTTTTGAAACACTCTGTTTGTGGGATCCGCAAGTGGATATTTGGACCGCTTTGAGACCTTTGCTGGAAATGGGAATATCTTCACATATAAACTAGACAGAAGCATTCTCAGAAACTTCTTCGTGATGTGTGCATTGTACTCCCAAATTTGAATCTTCCTTCTCATGGAGCAGTTTTGAAACACTCTGTTTGTGCAATCTACAATTGGAGAATTGGAACGCTTGGATGCCCGTGGTAGAAAAGGAAATATCCTCATATAAAAACTAGACAGAAGGATTCACAGAAAATGCTTTGTGATGTGTGCATTCAAATCACGGAGTTGAATCTTTCTTTTGTCAGAGCAGTTTTGGAACACTGTTTCTGTGGAATCTGCCAGCGGACACTTGGAGCGCTTTGAGGGCTATGGTGGAGAAGGAAATATCTTCCCATAAAAACTAGAGAGAAGCATTCTCAGAAACATTTATGTGAAGCGTGCATTCAACTCACAGAGTTGAACCTTCCTTTTGATACAACAGTTTTGAAACACTCTTTTGAACAATTGCAGGTGAATCTTTGGAGCGCTTTGAAGCCTTTGTTGGAAATGGGAATATCTTCACACACAAACTAGCCAGAAGCATTCTCAGAAACTTCTTTGTGATGTGTGCGTTGAACCCAGAGAGATGAACCTTTCCTTCGATAGAGCAGTTTTGAAACGTGTTTTTGTAAGTTCGGCAAGCGGATAATTGGCTTCGCTTTGTGTCCTTTGGTGGAAACGGGAATATCTTCTAATAAAAACTAGACAGAGATATTCTCAGAAACTTCTTTGTGATGTGGGCATTCAACTAACACAGTCGAACATTTCTTTTCACAGAGCAGTTTTGAAACACTCTTTTGGACGAATCTGCCAGTGGATATTTGGAGCGCTTTGAGGGCTATTGTGCCAATGGAAATATCTGCCCCTAAAAACTAGACAGAAGCATTCTCAGAAATTACTTTGTGATGTTTGCATTCAACTCACAGATTTGAACATACCTCCTCATAGAGCAGTTTTGAAAACATCTTTTTGTAGAATCTGCAAGTGGATATTCGGACCACTTTGAGGCCTTCATAGGAAACAGTAATATCTTCACAGAAAAACTAGATAGAAGCATTGTCAGAAAGTTCTTTGTGATGTGTGAATTCAACTCACAGAGTTGAACCTTCCTTTAATAGAGCAGTTTTGAAACACTCTTTTTCTAGAATCTGCAAGTAGATATTTGGAGCGCTTTGAGGCCTTCTTTGGAAACCGGAATATCTTCACATAAAAAGTAGATAGAGGCATTCTCAGAAACTCTTTGTGATATGTAGATTCAACTCACAGCGTTGAACCTTTCTTTGGATGGAGCAGTTTTGAAAAACTCTTTTATCGAATCTGCAGGTAGACATTTGGGGTGCTTTGAGGGCTGTGGTGCAAAAGGAAATGTCTTCCCATAGAAACTAGCCTGAAGCATTCTCAGCAACTTCTTGGTGACGTTTGCATTCATCTCACAGTGTTGAACATACCTTTCCATAGAGTGGTTTTGAAACACTGTTTTTGTAGAATCGGCAAGTGGATATTTGGACTGCTTTCAGGCCTTCATCGGAAACGGGAATATCTTCACATAAACACTAGAGAGAAGCATTCTCAGAAACTTCTCTGTCATCTGTCCATTCAACTCACAGAGTTGAACCTTCCTTTTTATGGAGCAGTTTGGAAACACTCCTTTTGGAGAATCTGCAAGTGGATATTTGCAGCGCTTTGAGGCCTATGGTAGAAAAAGAAATATCTGCCTCTGAAAACCAGACAGAAGCATTCCGAGAAACTTCTCTGTGATGTTTGCATTCAACTAGCAGAGTTGAACCTTCCTTTTGATAGGGCAGTTTGGAAACACTCTTTTTGTAGAATCTGCATGTGGATATCTGGAGCGGTTTGAGGCCTACGGTCAAAAAGGAAATATCTTCCTGGGAAAAATAGACAAAAGCATTCTCAGAAACTGCTTTGTGATATATGCATTCGACTCACCGAGTTGAAACTTTTTTTTGATAGAGCAGTTTTGAAACACTCTGTAGAATCTGAAAGTGGATATTTGGAGCTCTTTGAGGGCTATGGCGGCAAAGAAACTATATTCACATTAAAGTAGACAGCAGCATTCCCAGAAACTTCTTTAGGATGTTTGCAGTAAACTCACAGAGTTGAACATACCTTTCCGTAGAGCAGTTTTGAAACACTCTGTTTGTGGGATCCGCAAGTGGATATTTGGACCCCTTTGAGACCTTTGCTGGAAACGGGAATATCTTCACATATAAACTAGACAGAAGCATTCTCAGACACTTCTTGGTGATGTGTGCATTGTACTCCCAAATTTGAATCTTCCTTCTCATGGAGCAGTTTTGAAACACTCTGTTTGTGCAATCTACTATTGGAGAATTGGAACGCTTGGATGCCCGTGGTAGAAAAGGAAATATCCTCATATAAAAACTAGACAGAAGGATTCACAGAAAATGCTTTGTGATGTGTGCATTCAAATCACGGAGTTGAATCTTTCTTTTGTTAGAGCAGTTTTGAAACACTGTTTCTGTGGAATCTGCCAGCGGACACTTGGAGCACTTTGAGGGCTACGGTGGAGAAGGAAATATCTTCACATAAAAACTAGAAAGAAAGCATTCTCAGAACCATTTATGTGAAGCGTGCATTCAACTCACAGTAGTTGAACCTTCCTTTTGATAGAACAGTTTTGAAACACTCTTTTGAACAATTGCAGGTGAATATTTGGAGGGCTTTGAAGCCTTTGTTGGAAATGGGTATATCTTCACACACAAACTAGCCAGAAGCATTCTCAGAAACTTCTTTGTGATGTGTGCGTTGAACCCAGAGAGATGAACCATTCCTTTGATAGAGCAGTTTTGAAACGTGTTTTGTAAGATCTGCAAGCGGATAGTTGGCTTCGCTTTGTGTCCTTTGGTGGAAACGGGAATATCTTCTAATAAAAACTAGACAGAAATATTCTCAGAATCTCCTTTGTGATGTGGGCATTCAACTAACACAGTTGAACATTTCTTTTCACAGAGCAGTTTTGAAACACTCTTTTGGTAGTATCTGCCAGTGGATATTTGGAGCGCTTGGAGGGCTATTGTGCCAATGGAAATATCTGCCCCTGAAAACTAGACAGAAGCATTCTCAGAAACTACTTCGTGATGTTTGCATTCAACACACAGAGTTGAACATACCTCTTCACAGAGCAGTTTTGAAAACCTCTTTCTGTACAATCTGCAAGTGGATATTCGGACCACTTTGAGGCCTTCATAGGAAACAGTAATATCTTCACATAAAAACTAGACAGAAGCATTGTCAGAAAGTTCTTTGTGATGTGTGAATTCAACTCACAGAGTTGAACCTTCCTTTAATAGAGCAGTTTTGAAACACTCTTTTTCTAGAATCTGCAAGTAGATACTTGGAGCGCTTTGAGGCCTTCGTTGGAAACCGGAATATCTTCACAGGAAAAGTAGATAGAGGCATTCTCAGAAACTTTTTTGTGATATGTAGATTCAACTCACAGCGTTGAACCTTTCTTTGGATGGAGCAGTTTTGAAAAACTCTTTTATCGAATCTGCAGGTAGACATTTGGGGAGCTTTGAGGGCTGTGGTGCAAAAGGAAATGTCTTCCCATAGAAACTAGACTGAAGCATTCTCAGCAACTTCTTTGTGACGTTTGCATTCATCTCACAGTGTTGAACATACCTTTCCATAGAGTAGTTTTGAAACACTGTTTTTGTAGAATCTGCAAGTGGATATTTGGAATGCTTTGAGGCCTTCATCGGAAACGGGAATATCTTCACATAAACACTAGAGAGAAGCATTCTCAGAAACTTCTTTGTGATCTGTCCATTCAACTCACAGAGGTGAACCTTCCTTTTTATGGAGCAGTTTTGAAACACTGTTTTTGGAGAATCTGCAAGTGGATATTTGGAGCGCTTTGAGGCCTATGGTAGAAAAAGAAATATCTGCTTCTAAAAACCAGACAGAAGCATTCTGAGCAAACTTCTTTGTGATGTTTGCATTCAACTACCAGAGTTGAACCTTCCTTTTGATAGGGCAGTTTGGAAACACTCTTTTTGTAGAATCTGCATGTGGATATCTGGAGCGATTTGAGGCCTACGGTCCAAAAGGAAATATCTTCCTGGGAAAAATAGACGAAAGCATTCTCAGAAACTGCTTTGTGATATGTGCATTCGACTCACCGAGTTGAAACTTTTTTTTGATAGAGCAGTTTTGAAACACTCTGTAGAATCTGAAAGTGGATATTTGGAGCTCTTTGAGGGCTATGTCGGAAAAGAAAATATATTCACATTAAAGTAGACAGCAGCATTCTCAGAAACTTCTTTAGGATGTCTGCAGTAAACTCACAGAGTTGAACATACCTTTCCGTAGAGCAGTTTTGAAACACTCTGTTTGTGGGATCCGCAAGTGGATATTTGGACAGCTTTGAGATCTTTGCTGGAAATGGGAATATCTTCACATATAAACTAGACAGAAGCATTCTCAGAAACTTCTTCGTGATGTGCGCATTCTACTCCCAAATTTGAATCTTCCTTCTCATGAAGCAGTTTTGAAACACTCTATTTGTGCAATCTACAATTGGATAATTGGAACCCTTTGATGCCCATGGTAGAAAAGGAAATATCCTCATATAAAAACTAGACAGAAGGATTCACAGAAAATGCTTTGTGATGTGTGCATTCAAATCACGGAGTTGAATCTTTCTTTTGTTAGAGCAGTTTTGAAACACTGTTTCTGTGGAATCTGCCAGCGGACACTTGGAGTGCTTTGAGGGCTATGGTGGAGAAGGAAATATCTTCACATAAAAACTAGAAAGAAGCATTCTCGGAAACATTTATGTGAAGCGTGCCTTCAACTCACAGAGTTGAACCTTCCTTTTGATAGAACAGTTTTGAAACACTCTTTTGAACAATTGCAGGTGAATCCTTTGGAGCGCTTTGAAGCCTTTGTTGGAAATGGGAATATCTTCACACACAAACTAGCCAGAAGCATTCTCAGAAACTTCTTTGTGATGTGTGCGTTGAACCCAGAGAGATGAACCTTTCCTTTGATAGAGCAGTTTTGAAACGTGTTTTTGTAAGATCGGCAAGTGGATAATTGGCTTCGCTTTGTGTCCTTTGGTGGAAACGGGAATATCTTCTAATAAAAACTAGACAGAAATATTCTCAGAATCTTCTTTGTGATGTGGGCATTCAGCTAACACAGTTGAACGTTTCTTTTCACAGAGCAGTTTTGAAACACTCTTTTGGTAGAATCTGCCAGTGGATATTTGGAGCGATTTGAGGGCTATTGTGCCAATGGAAATATCTGCCCCTAAAAACTAGACAGAAGCATTCTCAGAAACTGCTTTGTGATGTTTGCATTCAACTCACAGTGTTGAACCTACCTCTTCATAGAGCAGTTTGGAAAACCTCTTCTTGTAGAATCTGCAAGTGGATATTCGGACCACTTTGAGGCCTTCATAGGAAACAGTAATATCTTCACATAAAAACTAGATAGAAGCATTGTCAGAAAGTTCTTTGTGATGTGTGAATTCAACTCACAGAGTTGAACCTTCCTTTAATAGAGCAGTTTTGAAACACTCTTTTTCTAGAATCTGCAAGTAGATATTTGGAGCGCTTTGAGGCCTTCGTTGGAAAGCGGAACATCTTCACAGGAAAAGTAGATAGAGGCATTCTCAGAAACTTTTTTGTGATATGTAGATTCAACTCACAGCGTTGAACCTTTCTTTGGATGGAGCAGTTTTGAAAAACTCTTTTATCGAATCTGCAGGTAGACATTTGGGGTGCTTTGAGGGCTGTGGCGCAAAAGGAAATGTCTTCCCATAGAAACTAGACTGAAGCATTCTCAGCAACTTCTTTGTGACGTTTGCATTCATCTCACAGTGTTGAACATACCTTTCCATAGGGTAGTTTTGAAGCACTATTTTTGTAGAATCTGCAAGTGGATATTTGGACTGCTTTGTGGCCTTCATCGGAAAGGGGAATATCTTCACATAAACACTAGACAGAAGCATTCTCAGAAACTTCTTTGTGATCTGTCCATTCAACTCACAGAGTTGAACCTTCCTTTTTATGGAGCAGTTTTGAAACACTGTTTTTGGAGAATCTGCAAGTGGATATTTGGAGCGCCTTGAGGCCTATGGTAGAAAAAGAAATATCTGCCTCTAAAAACTAGACAGAAGCATTCTGAGAAACTTCTTTGTGATGTTTGCATTCATATACCAGAGTTGAACCTTTCTTTTGATAGGGCAGTTTGGAAACACTCTTTTTGTAGAATCTGCATGTGGATATCTGGAGCGATTTGAGGCCTACGGTCCAAAAGGAAATATCTTCCTGGGAAAAATAGACGAAAGCATTCTCAGAAACTGCTTTGTGATATGTGCATTCGACTCACCGAGTTGAAACTTTTTTTTGATAGAGCAGTTTTGAAACACTCTGTAGAATCTGAAAGTGGATATTTGGAGCTCTTTGAGGGCTATGGCGGAAAAGAAAATATATTCACATTAAACTAGACAGCAGCATTCTCAGAAAGTTCTTTAGGATGTTTGCAGTAAACTCACAGAGTTTAACTTACCTTTCCGTAGAGCAGCTTTGAAACACTCTGTTTGTGGGATCCACAAGTGGATATTTGGACCGCTTTGAGACCTTTGCTGGAAATGGGAATATCTTCACATATAAACCAGACAGAAGCATTTTCAGAAACTTCTTCGTGATGTGTGCATTCTACTCCCAAATTTGAATCTTCCTTCTCATGAAGCAGTTTTGAAACACTCTGTTTGTGCAATCCACAATTGGATAATTGGAAAGCTTTGATGCCCATGGTAGAAAAGGAAATATCCTCATATAAAAACTAGACAGAAAGGATTCACAGAAAATGCTTTGTGATGTGTGCATTCAAATCACGGAGTTGAATCTTTCTTTTGTCAGAGCAGTTTTGAAACACTGTTACTGTGGAATCTTCCAGCGGACACTTGGAGCGCTTTGAGGGCTATGGTGGAGAAGGAAATATCTTCACATAAAAACTAGAAAGAAGCATTCTCAGAACCATTTATGTGAAGCGTGCGTTCAACTCACAGAGTTGAACCTTCCTTTTGATAGAACAGTTTTGAAACACTCTTTTGAACAATTGCAGGTGAATATTTGGAGGGCTTTGAAGCCTTTGTTGGAAATGGGAATATCTTCACACACAAACTAGCCAGAAACATTCTCAGAAACTTCTTTGTGATGTGTGCGTTGAACCCAGAGAGATGAACCTTTCCTTTGAAAGAGCAGTTTTGAAACGTGTTTTTGTAAGATCGGCAAGCGGATAATTGGATTCGCTTTGTGTCCTTTGGTGGAAACGCGAATATCTTCTAATAAAAACTAGACAGAAATATTCTCAGAATCTCCTTTGTGATGTGGGCATTCAACTAACACAGTTGAACATTTCTTTTCACAGAGCAGTTTTGAAACACTCTTTTGGTAGAATCTGCCAGTGGATATTTGGAGCGCTTGGAGGGCTACTGTGCCAATGGAAATATCCTGCCCCTGAAAACTAGACAGAAGCATTCTCAGAAACTGCTTTGTGATGTTTGCATTCAACTCACAGAGTTGAACATACCTCTTCATAGATCAGTTTTGAAAACCTCTTTTTGTAGAATCTGCAAGTGGATATTTGGACCACTTTGAGGCCTTCATAGATACAGTAATATCTTCACATAAAAACTAGATGGAAAGCATTGTCAGAAAGTTCTTTGTGATGTGTGAATTCAACTCACAGAGTTGAACCTTCCTTTAATAGAGCAGTTTTGAAACACTCTTTTTCTAGAATCTGCCAGTAGATATTTGGAGCGCTTTGAGGCCTTCGTTGGAAACAGGAATATCTTCACATAAAAAGTAGATAGAGGCATTCTCAGAAACTTTTTTGTGATATGTAGATTCAACTCACAGCGTTGAACCTTTCTTTGCATGGAGCAGTTTTGAAAATCCCTTTTATCGAATCTGCAGGTAGACATTTGGGGTGCTTTGAGGGCTGTGGTGCAAAAGGAAATGTCTTCCCATAGAAACTAGACTGCAGCATTCTCAGCAACTTCTTGGTGACGTTTGCATTCATCTCACAGTGTTGAACATACCTTTCCATAGAGTGGTTTTGAAACACTGTTTTTGTAGAATCGGCAAGTGGATATTTGGACTGCTTTGAGGCCTTCATCGGAAACGGGAATATCTTCACATAAACACTAGAGAGAAGCATCCTCAGAAACTTCTTTGTCATCTGTCCATTCAACTCACAGAGTTGAACCTTCCTTTTTCTGGAGCAGTTTTGAAACACTCTTTTTGGAGAATCTGCAAGTGGATATTTGGAGCGCTTTGAGGCCTATGGTAGAAAAAGAAATATCTGCCTCTAAAAACCAGACAGAAGCATTCCGAGAAACTTCTCTGTGATGTTTGCATTCAACTAGCAGAGTTGAACCTTCCTTTTGATAGGGCAGTTTGGAAACACTCTTTTTGTAAAATCTGCATGTGGATATCTGGAGCGGTTTGACGCCTACGGTCAAAAAGGAAATATCTTCCTGGGAAAAATAGACGAAAGCATTCTCAGAAAGTGCTTTGTGATATGTGCATTCGACTCACCGAGTTGAAACTTTTTTTTGATAGAGCAGTTTTGAAACACTCTGTAGAATCTGAAAGTGGATATTTGGAGCTCTTTGAGGGCTATGGCGGAAAAGAAAATATATTCACATTAAAGTAGACAGCAGCATTCTCAGAGACTTCTTTAGGATGTTTGCAGTAAACTCACAGAGTTCAACATACCTTTCCGTAAAGCAGTTTTGAAACCCTCTGTTTGTGGGATCTGCAAGTGGATATTTGGACCGCTCTGAGACCTTTGCTGGAAATGGGAATATCTTCACATATAAACTAGACAGAAAGCATTCTCAGAAACTTCTTCGTGATGTGTGCATTCTACTCCCGAATTTGAATCTTCCTTTTCATGAAGCAGTTTTGAAACACTCTGTTTGTGCAATCCACAATTGGATAATTGGAACGCTTTGATGCCCATGGTAGAAAAGGAAATATCCTCATATAAAAACTAGACAGAAAGATTCACAGAAAATGCTTTGTGATGTGTGCATTCGAATCACGCAGTTGAATCTTTCTTTTCTTAGAGCAGTTTTGAAACACTGTTTCTGTGGAATCTGCCAGCGGACACTTGGAGCGCTTTGAGGGCTATGGTGGAGAAGGAAATATCTTCCCATAAAAACTAGAAAGAAGCATTCTCGGAAACATTTATGTGAAGCGTGCATTCAACTCACAGAGTTGAACCTTCCTTTTGATGGAACAGTTTTGAAACACTCTTTTGAACAATTGCAGGTGAATCTTTGGAGCGCTTTGAAGCCTTTGTTGGAAATGGGAATATCTTCACACACAAACTAGCCAGAAGCATTCTCAGAAACTTCTTTGTGATGTGTGCGTTGAACCCAGAGAGATGAACCTTTCCTTGGATAGAGCAGTTTTGAAACGTGTTTTTGTAAGATCGGCAAGTGGATAATTGGCTTCGCTTTGTGTCCTTTGGTGGAAACGGGAATATCTTCTAATAAAAACTAGACAGAAATATTCTCAGAATCTTCTTTGTGATGTGGGCATTCAACTAACACAGTTGAACATTTCTTTTCACAGAGCAGTTTTGAAACACTCTTTTGGTGGAATCTGCCAGTGGATATTTGGAGCGCTTTGAGGGCTATTGTGCCAATGCAAATATCTTCCCCTAAAAACTAGACAGAAGCATTCTCAGAAACTGCTTCGGGATGTTTGCATTCAACTCACAGAGTTGAACATACCTCTGCATAGAGCAGTTTTGAAAACCTCTTTTTGTAGAATCTGCAAGTGGATATTCGGACCACTTTGAGGCCTTCATGGGAAACAGTAGTATCTTCACATAAAAACTAGATAGAAGCATTGTCAGAAAGTTCTTTGTGATGTGTGAATTCAACTCACAGAGTTGAACCTTCCTTTAATAGAGCAGTTTTGAAACACTCTTTTTGTAGAATCTGCAAGTAGATTTTTGGAGCGCTTTGAGGCCTTCTTTGGAAACCGGAATATCTTCACATAAAAAGTAGATAGAGGCATTCTCAGAAACTTTTTTGTGATATGTAGATTCAACTCACAGCGTTGAACCTTTCTTTGGATGGAGCAGTTTTGAAAAACTCTTTTATTGAATCTGCAGGTAGACATTTGGGGTGCTTTGAGGGCTGTGGTGCAAAAGGAAATGTCTTCCCATAGAAACTAGACTGAAGCATTCTCAGCAACTTCTTTGTGACGTTTGCATTCATCTCACAGTGTTGAACATACCTTTCCATAGAGTAGTTTTGAAGCACTATTTTTGTAGAATCTGCAAGTGGATATTTGGACTGCTTTGAGGCCTTCATCGGAAACGGGAATATCTTCACATAAACACTAGACAGAAGCATTCTCAGAAACTTCTTTGTGGTCTGTCCATTCAACTCACAGAGTTGAACCTTCCTTTTTATGGAGCAGTTTTGAAACACTGTTTTTGGAGGATCTGCAAGTGGATATTTGGAGCGCTTTGAGGCCCATGGTAGAAAAAGAAATATGTGCCTATGACAACTAGACAGAAGCATTCCAAGAAACTTCTCTGTGATGTTTGCATTCAACTAGCAGAGTTGAACCTTCCTTTTGATAGGGCAGTTTGGAAACACTCTTTTTGTAGAATCTGCATGTGGATATCTGGAGCGGTTTGAGGCCTACGGTCAAAAAGGAAATATCTTCCTGGGATAAATAGACGAAAGCATTCTCAGAAACTGCTTTGTGATATGTGCATTCGACTCACCGAGTTGAAACTTTTTTTTGATAGAGCAGTTTTGAAACACTCTGTAGAATCTGAAAGTGGATATTTGGAGCTCTTTGAGGGCTATGGCGGAAAAGAAAATATATTCACATTAAACTAGAGAGGAGCATTCCCAGAAACTTCTTTAGGATGTTTGCAGTAAACTCACAGAGTTGAACATACCTTTCCGTAGAGCAGTTTTGAAACACTCTGTTTGTGGTATCCGCAAGTGGATATTTGGACCGCTTTGAGACCTTTGCTGGAAACGGGAATACCTTCACATATAAACTAGACAGAAGCATTCTCAGAAACTTCTTCGTGATGTGTGCATTCTACTCCCAAATTTGAATCTTCCTTTTCATGAAGCAGTTTTGAAACACTCTGTTTGTGCAATCCACAATTGGATAATTGGAACGCTTTGATGCCCATGGTAGAAAAGGAAATATCCTCATATAAAAACTAGACAGAAGAATTCACAGAAAATGCTTTGTGATGTGTGCATTCAAATCACGGAGTTGAATCTTTCTTTTGTCAGAGCAGTTTTGAAACACTGTTTCTGTGGAATCTGCCAGCGGACACTTGCAGCGCTTTGAGGGCTATGGTGGAGAAGGAAATATCTTCCCATAAGAACTAGAAAGAAGCATTCTCAGAAACATTTTTGTGAAGCGTGCATTCAACTCACAGAGTTGAACCTTCCTTTTGATACAACAGTTTTGAAACACTCTTTTGAACAATTGCAGGTGAATCTTTGGAGCGCTTTGAAGCCTTTGTTGGAAATGGGAATATCTTCACACACAAACTAGCCAGAAGCATTCTCAGAAACTTCTTTGTGATGTGTGCGTTGAACCCAGAGAGATGAACCTTTCCTTTGATAGAGCAGTTTTGAAACGTGTTTTTGTAAGATCTGCAAGCGGATAGTTGGCTTCGCTTTGTGTCCTTTGGTGGAAACGGGAATATCTTCTAATAAAAACTAGACAGAAAATATTCTCAGAATCTTCTTTGTGATGTGGGCATTCAGCTAACACAGTTGAACGTTTCTTTTCACAGAGCAGTTTTGAAACACTCTTTTGGTAGAATCTGCCAGTGGATATTTGGAGCGCTTTGAGGGCTATTGTGCCAATGGAAAATCTGCCCCTAAAAACTAGACAGAAGCATTCTCAGAAACTGCTTTGGGATGTTTGCATTCAACTCACAGAGTTGAACATACCTCTGCATAGAGCAGTTTTGAAAACCTCTTTTTGTAGAATCTGCAAGTGGATATTCGGACCACTTTGAGGCCTTCATAGGAAACAGTAATATCATCACATAAAAACTAGATAGAAGCATTGTCAGGAAGTTCTTTGTGATGTGTGAATTAAACTCACAGAGTTGAAACTTCCTTTAATAGAGCAGTGTTGAAACACTCTTTTTCTAGAATCTGCAAGTAGATATTTGGGGCGCTTGGAGGCCTTCGTTGTAAACCGGAATATCTTCACAGGAAATGTAGATAGAGGCATTCTCAGAAACTTTTTTGTGATATGTAGATTCAACTCACAGCGTTGAACCTTTCTTTGGATGGAGCAGTTTTGAAAAACTCTTTTATCGAATCTGCAGGTAGACATTTGGGGTGCTTTGAGGGCTGTGGTGCAAAAGGAAATGTCTTCCCATAGAAACTAGACTGAAGCATTCTCAGCAACTTCTTGGTGACGTTTGCATTCATCTCACAGTGTTGAACATACCTTTCCATAGAGTGGTCTTGAAACACTGTTTCTGTAGAATCGGCAAGTGGATATTTGGACTGCTTTGAGGCCTTCATCGGAAACGGGAATATCTTCACATAAACACTAGAGAGAAGCATTCTCAGAAACTTCTTTGTGATCTGTCCGTTCAACTCACAGAGTTGAACCTTCCTTTTTATGGAGCAGTTTTGAAACACTGTTTGTGGAGAATCTGCAAGTGGATATTTGGAGCGCCTTGAGGCCAATGGTAGAAAAAGAAATATCTGCCTCTAAATACTAGACTGAAGCATTCCGAGAAACTTCTCTGTGATGTTTGCATTCAACTAGCAGAGTTGAAACTTCCTTTTGATAGGGCAGTTTGGAGACACTCTTTTTTTAGAATCTGCATGTGGATATCTGGAGCGGTTTGAGGCCTACGGTCAAAAAGGAAATATCTTCCTGGGAAAAATAGACGAAAGCATTCTCAGAAATTGCTTTGTGATATGTGCATTCGACTCACCGAGTTGAAACTTTTTTTTGATAGAGCAGTTTTGAAACACTCTGTAGAATCTGAAAGTGGATATTTGGAGCTCTTTGAGGGCTATGGCGGAAAAGAAAATATATTCACATTAAAGTAGACAGCAGCATTCCCAGAAACTTCCTTAGGATGTTTGCAGTAAACTCACAGAGTTGAACACACCTTTCCATAGAGCAGTTTTGAAACACTCTGTTTGTGGAATCCGCAAGTGGATATTTGGACCGCTTTGAGACCTTTGCTGGAAACGGGAATATCTTCACATATAAACTGGACAGAAGCATTCTCAGAAACTTCTTCGAGATGTGTGCAGTCTACTCCCGAATTTGAATCTTCCTTTTCATGAAGCAGTTTTGAAACACTCTGTTTGTGCAATCCACAATTGGATAATTGGAACGCTTTGATGCCCATGGTAGAAAAGGAAATATCCTCATATAAAAACTAGACAGAAGGATTCACAGAAAATGCTTTGTGATGTGTGCATTCAAATCACGGAGTTGAATCTTTCTTTTGTCAGAGCAGTTTTGAAACACTGTTTCTGTGGAATCTGCCAGCGGACACTTGCAGCGCTTTGAGGGCTATGGTGGAGAAGGAAATATCTTCCCATAAGAACTAGAAAGAAGCATTCTCAGAAACATTTATGTGAAGCGTGCATTCAACTCATAGAGTTGAACCTTCCTTTTGATACAACAGTTTTGAAACACTCTTTGGAACAATTGCAGGTGAATCTTTGGAGCGCTTTGAAGCCTTTGTTGGAAATGGGAATATCTTCACACACAAACTAGCCAGAAGCATTCTCAGAAACTTCTTTGTGATGTGTGCGTTGAACCCAGAGAGATGAACCTTTCCTTTGATAGAGCAGTTTTGAAACGTGTTTTTGTAAGATCGGCAAGCGGATAATTGGCTTCGCTTTGTGTCCTTTGGTGGAAACGGGCATGTCTTCTAATAAAAACTAGACAGAGATATTCTCAGAAACTTCTTTGTGATGTGGGCATTCACCTAACACAGTTGAACATTTCTTTTCACAAAGCAGTTTTGAAACACTCCTTTGGTCGAATCTGCCAGTGGATATTTGGAGCGCTTTGAGGGCTATTGTGCCAATGGAAATATCTGCCCCTAAAAACTAGACAGAAGCATTCTCAGAAACTGCTTTGTGATGTTTGCATTCAACTCACAGAGTTGAACATACCTCTTCATAGAGCAGTTTTGAAAACCCCTTTTTGTAGAATCTGCAAGTGGATATTTGGACCACTTTGAGGCCTTCATAGAAAACAGTAATATCCTCACATAAAAACTAGATGGAAACATTGTCAGAAAGTTCTTTGTGATGTGTGAATTCAACTCACAGAGTTGAACCTTCCTTTAATAGAGCAGTTTTGAAACACTCTTTTTCTAGAATCTGCAAGTAGATATTTGGAGCGCTTTGAGGCCTTCGTTGGAAACCGGAATATCTTCACAGGAAAAGTAGATAGAGGCATTCTCAGAAACCTTTTTGTGATATGTAGATTCAACTCACAGAGTTGAACCTTTCTTTGGATGGAGCAGTTTTGAAAAACCCTTTTATCGAATCTGCAGGTAGACATTCGGGGTGCTTTGAGGGCTGTGGTGCAAAAGGAAATGTCTTCCCATAGAAACTTGACTGAAGCCTTCTCAGCAACTTCTTTGTGACGTTTGCATTCATCTCACAGTGTTGAACATGCCTTTCCCTAGAGTAGTTTTGAAACACTATTTTTGTAGAATCTGCAAGTGGACATTTGGACTGCTTTGAGGCCTTCATCGGAAACGGGAATATCTTCACATAAACACTAGACAGAAGCATTCTCAGAAACTTCTTTGTGATCTGTCCATTCAACTCACAGAGTTGAACCCTCCTTTTTATGGAGCAGTTTTGAAACACTGTTTTTGGAGAATCTGCAAGTGGATATTTGGAGCGCTTTGAGGCCTATGGTAGAAAAAGAAATATCTGCCCCTAAAAACTAGACAGAAGCATTCTGAGAAACTTCTTTGTGATGTTTACATTCACCTACCAGAGTTGAACCTTCCTTTTGATAGGGCAGTTTGGAAACACTCTTTTTGTAGAATCTGCATGTGGATATCTGGAGCGATTTGAGGCCTACTGTCCAAAAGGAAATATCTTCCTGGGAAAGATAGACGAAAGCATTCTCAGTAAACTGCTTTGTGATATGTGCATTCGACTCACCGAGTTGAAACATTTTTTTGATAGAGCAGTTTTGAAACACTCTGTAGAATCTGAAAGTGGATATTTGGAGCTCTTTGAGGGCTATGGCGGAAAAGAAAATATATTCACATTAAACTAGACAGCCAGCATTCTCAGAAACTTCTTTAGGATGTTTGCAGTAAACTCACAGAGTTGAACATACCTTTCCGTAGAGCAGTTTTGAAACACTCTGTTTGTGGGATCCGCAAGTGGATATTTGGACCGCTTTGAGACCTTTGCTGGAAATGGGAATATCTGCACATATAAACTAGACAGAGCATTCTCAGAAACTTCTTCGTGATGTGTGCATTGTACTCCCAAATTTGCATCTTCCTTCTCATGGAGCAGTTTTGAAACACTCTGTTTGTGCAATCTACAATTGGAGAATTGGAACGCTTGGATGCCTGTGGTAGAAAAGGAAATATCCTCATATAAAAACTAGACAGAAGGATTCACAGAAAACGCTTTGTGATGTGTGCATTCAAATCACGGAGTTGAATCTTTCTTTTGTTAGAGCAGTTTTGAAACACTGTTTCTGTGGAATCTGCCAGCGGACACTTGGAGCGCTTTGAGGGCTATGGTGGAGAAGGAAATATCTTCACATAAAAACTAGAAAGAAGCATTCTCAGAAACATTTATGTGAAGCGTGCATTCAACTCACAGAGTTGAACCTTCCTTTTGATACAACAGTTTTGAAACACTCTTTTGAACAATTGCAGGTGAATCTTTGGAGCGCTTTGAAGCCTTTGTTGGAAATGGGAATATCTTCACACACAAACTAGCCGGAAGCATTCTCAGAAACTTCTTTGTGATGTGTGCGTTGAACCCAGAGAGATGAACCTTTCCTTTGATAGAGCAGTTTTGAAACGTGTTTTTGTAAGATCGGCAAGCGGATAATTGGCTTCGCTTTGTGTCCTTTGGTGGAAACGGGAATATCTTCTAATAAAAACTAGACAGAAATATTCTCAGAATCTCCTTTGTGATGTGGGCATTCAACTAACACAATTGAACATTTCTTTTCACAGAGCAGTTTTGAAACACAGTTTTGGTAGAATCTGCCAGTGGATATTTGGAGCGCTTGGAGGGCTACTGTGCCAATGGAAATATCTGCCCCTGAAAACTAGACAGAAGCATTCTCAGAAACTGCTTCGTGATGTTTGCATTCAACTCACAGGGTTGAACATACCTCTGCATAGAGCAGTTTTGAAAACCTCTTTTTGTAGAATCTGCAAGTGGATATTCGGACCACTTTGAGGATTTCATAGGAAACAGTAATATCTTCACATAAAAACTAGATAGAAGCATTGTCAGAAAGTTCTTTGTGATGTGTGAATTCAACTCACAGAGTTGAACCTTCCTTTATTAGAGCAGTTTTGAAACACTCTTTTTCTAGAATCTGCAAGTAGATATTTGGAGGGCTTTGAGGCCTTCGTTGGAAACCGGAATATCTTCACATAAAAAGTAGATAGAGGCATTCTCAGAAACTTTTTTGTGATATGTAGATTCAACTCACAGTGTTGAACCTTTCTTTGGATGGAGCAGTTTTGAAAAACTCTTTTATCGAATGTGCAGGTAGACATTTGGGGTGCTTTGAGGGCTGTGGTGCAAAAGGAAATGTCTTCCCATAGAAACTAGACTGAAGCATTCTCAGCAACTTCTTGGTGACGTTTGCATTCATCTCACAGTGTTGAACATACCTTTCCATAGAGTGGTTTTGAAACACTCTTTTTGTAGAATCGGCAAGTGGATATTTGGACTGCTTTCAGGCCTTCATCGGAAACGGGAATATCTTCACATAAACACCAGAGAGAAGCATTCTCAGAAACTTCTTTGTCATCTGTCCATTCAACTCACAGAGTTGAACCTTCCTTTTTATGGAGCAGTTTTGAAACACTCATTTTGGAGAATCTGCAAGTGGATATTTGGAGCGCTTTGAGGCCTATGGTAGAAAAAGAAATATCTGCCTCTAAAAACCAGACAGAAGCATTCTGAGAAACTTCTTTGTGATGTTTACATTCAACTACCAGAGTTGAACCTTCCTTTTGATAGGGCAGTTCGGAAACACTCCTTTTGTAGAATCTGCATGTGGATATCTGGAGCGATTTGAGGCCTACGGTCCAAAAGGAAATATCTTCCTGGGAAAAATGGACGAAAGCATTCTCAGAAAGTGCTTTGTGATATGTGCATTCGACTCACCGAGTTGAAACTTTTTTTTGATAGAGCAGTTTTGAAACACTCTGTAGAATCTGAAAGTGGATATTTGGAGCTCTTTGAGGGCTATGGCGGAAAAGAAAATATATTCACGTTAAAAAAGTAGACAGCAGCATTCTCAGAAACTTCTTTAGGATGTTTGCAGTAAACTCACAGAGTTGAACATACCTTTCCATAGAGCAGTTTTGAAACACTCTGTTTGTGGGATCCGCAAGGGGATATTTGGACCGCTTTGAGACCTTTGCTGGAAATGGGAATATCTTCACATATAAACTAGACAGAAGCATTCTCAGAAACTTCTTTCGTGATGTGTGCATTCTCCTCCCGAATTTGAATCTTCCTTTTCATGAAGCAGTTTTGAAACACTCTGTTTGTGCAATCCACAATTGGATAATTGGAACGCTTTGATGCCCATGGTAGAAAAGGAAATATCCTCATATAAAAACTAGACAGAAGGATTCACAGAAAATGCTTTGTGATGTGTGCATTCAAATCACGGAGTTGAATCTTTCTTTTGTTAGATCAGTTTTGAAACACTGTTTCTGTGGAATCTGCCAGCGGACACTTGGAGCGCTTTGAGGGCTACGGTGGAGAAGGAAATATCTTCACATAGAAACTAGAAAGAAGCATTCTCAGAACCATTTATGTGAAGCGTGCATTCAACTCACAGCAGTTGAACCTTCCTTTTGATAGAACAGTTTTGAAACACTCTTTTGAACAATTGCAGGTGAATATTTGGAGGGCTTTGAAGCCTTTGTTGGAAATGGGAATATCTTCACACACGAACTAGCCAGAAGCATTCTCAGAAACTTCTTTGTGATGTGTGCGTTGAACCCAGAGAGATGAACCTTTCCTTTGATAGAGCAGTTTTGAAACGTGTTTTTGTAAGATCTGCAAGCGGATAGTTGGCTTCGCTTTGTGTCCTTTGGTGGAAACGGGAATATCTTCTAATAAAAACTAGACAGAAAATATTCTCACAATCTCCTTTGTGATGTGGGCATTCAACTAACACAGTTGAACATTTCTTTTCACAGAGCAGTTTTGAAACACTCTTTTGGTAGAATCTGCCAGTGGATATTTGGAGCGCTTTGAGGGCTGTTGTGCCAATGGAAATATCTGCCCCTAAAATCTAGACAGAAGCATTCTCAGAAACTACTTCGTGATGTTTGCATTCAACTCACAGAGTTGAACATACCTCTTCACAGAGCAGTTTTGAAAACCTCTTTTTGTAGAATCTGCAAGTGGATATTCGGAGCACTTTGAGGCCTTCATAGGAAACAGTAATATCTTCGCATAAAAACTAGATAGAAGCATTGTCAGAAAGTTCTTTGTGATGTGTGAATTCAACTCACAGAGTTGAACCTTCCTTTAATAGAGCAGTTTTGAAACACTCTTTTTCTAGAATCTGCCAGTAGATATTTGGAGCGCTTTGAGTCCTTCGTTGGAAACCGGAATATCTTCACATAAAAAGTAGATAGAGGCATTCTCAGAAACTTTTTTGTGATATGTAGATTCAACTCACAGCGTTGAACCTTTCTTTGGATGGAGCAGTTTTGAAAAACTCTTTTATCGAATCTGCAGGTAGACTTTCGGGGTGCTTTGAGGGCTGTGGTGCAAAAGGAAATGTCTTCCCATAGAAACTAGACTGAAGCATTCTCAGCAACTTCTTTTGACGTTTGCATTCATCTCACAGTGTTGAACATACCTTTCCATAGAGTAGTTTTGAAACACTGTTTTTGTAGAATCGGCAAGTGGATATTTGGACTGCTTTGAGGCCTTCATCGGAAACGGGAATATCTTCACATAAACACTAGAGAGAAGCATTCTCAGAAACTTCTTTGTGGTCTGTCCATTCAACTCACAGAGTTAAACCTTACTTTTTATGGAGCAGTTTTGAAACACTGTTTTCGGACGAACTGCAAGTGGATATTTGGAGCGCTTTGAGGCCTATGGTAGAAAAAGAAATATCTGCCTATGACAGCTAGACAGAAGCATTCCGAGAAACTTCTTTGTGATGTTTGCATTCAACTAGCAGAGTTGAACCTTCCTTTTGATAGGGCAGTTTGGAAACACTCTTTTTGTAGAATCTGCATGTGGATATCTGGAGCGGTTTGAGGCCTACGGTCAAAAAGGAAATATCTTCCTGGGAAAAATAGACGAAAGCATTCTCAGAAACTGCTTTGTGATATGTGCATTCGACTCTCCGAGTTGAAACTTTCTTTGGATAGAGCAGTTTTGAAACACTCTGTAGAATCTGAAAGTGGATATTTGGAGCTCTTTGAGGGCTATGGCGGAAAAGAAAAGATATTCACATTAAACTAGACAGCAGCATTCTCAGAAACTTCTTTAGGATGTTTGCAGTAAACTCACAGAGTTGAACCTACCTTTCCGTAGAGCAGTTTTGAAACACTCTGTTTGTGGGATCCGCAAGTGGATATTTGGACCGCTTTGAGACCTTTGCTGGAAATGGGAATATCTTCACATATAGAACTAGACAGAAGCATTCTCAGAAACTTCTTCGTGATGTGTGCATTCTACTCCCAAATTTGAATCTTCCTTCTCATTAAGCAGTTTTGAAACACTCTATTTGTGCAATCTACAATTGGAGAATTGGAACACTTGGATGCCCGTGGTTGAAAAGGAAATATCCTCATATAAAAACTAGACAGAAGGATTCACAGAAAATGCTTTGTGATGTGTGCATTCAAATCACGGAGTTGAATCTTTCTTTTGTTAGAGCAGTTTTGAAACACTGTTTCTGTGGAATCTGCCAGCGGACACTTGGAGCGCTTTGAGGGCTATGGTGGAGAAGGAAACATCTTCCCATAAAAACTAGAAAGAAGCATTCTCAGAACCATTTATGTGAAGCGTCCATTCAACTCACAGAGTTGAACCTTCCTTTTGATAGAACAGTTTTGAAACACTCTTTTGAACAATTGCAGGTGAATATTTGGAGGGCTTTGAAGCCTTTGTTGGAAATGGGAATATCTTCACACACAAACTAGCCAGAAGCATTCTCAGAAACTTCTTTGTGATGTGTGCGTTGAACCCAGAGAGATGAACCTTTCCTTTGATAGAGCAGTTTTGAAACGTGTTTTTGTAAGGTCTGCAAGCGGATAATGGGCTTCGCTTTGTGTCCTTTGGTGGAAACGGGAACATCTTCTAATTAAAACTAGACAGAAATATTCTCAGAATCTCCTTTGTGATGTGGGCATTCAACTAACACAATTGAACATTTCTTTTCACAGAGCAGTTTTGAAACACAGTTTTGGTAGAATCTGCCAGTGGATATTTGGAGCGCTTGGAGGGCTATTTTGCCAATGGAAATATCTGCCCCTGAAAACTAGACAGAAGCATTCTCAGAAACTACTTCGTGATGTTTGCATTCAACACACAGAGTTGAACATACCTCTTCACAGAGCAGTTTTGAAAACCTCTTTCTGTAGAATCTGCAAGTGGATATTCGGACCACTTTGAGGCCTTCATAGGAAACAGAAATATCTTCACATAAAAACTAGATAGAAGCATTGACAGAAAGTTCTTTGTGATGTGTGAATTCAACTCACAGAGTTGAACCTTCCTTTAATAGAGCAGTTTTGAAACACTCTTTTTCTAGAATCTGCAAGTAGATATTTGGAGCGCTTTGAGGCCTTCGTTGGAAACCGGAATATCTTCACAGGAAAAGTAGATAGAGGCATTCTCAGAAACTTTTTTGTGATATGTAGATTCAACTCACAAGCGTTGAACCTTTCTTTGGATGGAGCAGTTTTGAAAAACTCTTTTATCGAATCTGCAGGTAGACATTTGGGGAGCTTTGAGGGCTGTGGTGCAAAAGGAAATGTCTTCCCATAGAAACTAGACTGAAGCATTCTCAGCAACTTCTTGGTGACGTTTGCATTCATCTCACAGTGTTGAACATACCTTTCCATAGAGTAGTTTTGAAACACTGTTTTTGTAGAATCGGCAAGTGGATATTTGGACTGCTTTGAGGCCTTCATCGGAAACGGGAATATCTTCACATAAACACTAGAGAGAAGCATTCTCAGAAACTTCTTTGTGATCTGTCCATTCAACCCACAGAGTTGAACCTTCCTTTTTATGGAGCAGTTTTGAAACACTCCTTTTGAAGAATCTGCAAGTGGATATTTGGAGCGCTTTGAGGCCTATGGTAGAAAAAGAAATATCTGCCTCTAAAAACCAGACAGAAGAATTCTGAGAAACTTCTTTGTGATGTTTGCATTCAACTACCAGAGGTGAACCTTCCTTTTGATAGGGCAGTTTGGAAACACTCTTTTTGTAGAATCTGCATGTGGATATCTGGAGCGATTTGAGGCCTACGGTCCAAAAGGAAATATCTTCCTGGGAAAAATAGACGAAAGCATTCTCAGAAACTGCTTTGTGATATGTGCATTCGACTCACCGAGTTGAAACTTTTTTTGGATAGAGCAGTTTTGAAACACTCTGTAGAATCTGAAAGTGGATATTTGGAGCTCTTTGAGGGCTATGGCGGAAAAGAAAATATATTCACAATAAACCAGACAGCAGCACTCTCAGAAACTTCTTTAGGATGTTTACAGTAAACTCACAGAGTTGAACATACCTTTCCGTAGAGCAGTTTTGAAACACTCTGTTTGTGGGATCCGCAAGTGGATATTTGGACCTCTTTGAGACCTTTGCTGGAAATGGGAATATCTTCACATATAAACTAGACAGAAAGCATTCTCAGAAACTTCTTCGTGATGTGTGCATTCTCCTCGCAAATTTGAATCTTCCTTTTCATGAAGCAGTTTTGAAACACTCTGTTTGTGCAATCCACAATTGGATAATTGGAACGCTTTGATGCCCATGGTAGAAAAGGAAATATCCTCATATAAAAACTAGACAGAAGGATTCACAGAAAATGCTTTGTGATGTGTGCATTCAAATCACGGAGTTGAATCTTTCTTTTGTCAGAGCAGTTTTGAAACACTGTTTCTGTGGAATCTGCCAGCGGACACTTGGAACGCTTTGAGGGCTACGGTGGAGAAGGAAATATCTTCCCATAAAAACTAGAAAGAAGCATTCTCAGAAACATTTATGTGAAGCGTGCATTCAACTCACAGAGTTGAACCTTCCTTTTGATACAACAGTTTTGAAACACTCTTTTGAACAATTGCAGGTGAATCTTTGGAGCGCTTTGAAGCCTTTGTTGGAAATGGGAATATCTTCACACACAAACTAGCCAGAAGCATTCTCAGAAACTTCTTTGTGATGTGTGCGTTGAACCCAGAGAGATGAACCTTTCCTTCGATAGAGCAGTTTTGAATCGCGTTTTTGTAAGATCGGCAAGCGGATAATTGGCTTCGCTTTGTGTCCTTTGGTGGAAACGGGAATATCTTCTAATAAAAACTAGACAGAAATATTCTCAGAATCTCCTTTGTGATGTGGGCATTCAACTAACACAGTTGAACATTTCTTTTCACAGAGCAGTTTTGAAACACTCTTTTGGTCGAATATGCCAGTGGATATTTGGAGCGCTTGGAGGGCTATTGTGCCAATGGAAATATCTGCCCCTGAAAACTAGACAGAAGCATTCTCAGAAACTGCTTTGTGATGTTTGCATTCAACTCACAGAGTTGAACATACCTTTTCATAGAGCAGTTTTGAAAACCTCTTTTTGTAGAATCTGCAAGAGGATATTCGGACCACTTTGAGGCCTTCATAGGAAACAGTAATATCTTCACATAAAAACTAGATAGAAGCATTGTCAGAAAGTTCTTTGTGATGTGTGAATTCCACTCACAGAGTTGAACCTTCCTTTAATAGAGCAGTTTTGAAACACTCTTTTTCTAGAATCTGCAAGTAGATATTTGGAGCGCTTTGAGGCCTTCTTTGGAAACCGGAATATCTTCACATAAAAAGTAGATAGAGGCATTCTCAGAAACTTTTTCGTGATATGTGGATTCAACTCACAGCGTTGAACCTTTCTTTTGATAGAGCAGTTTTGGAAAACTCTTTTATCGAATCTGCAAGTAGACATTTGGAGTGCTTTGAGGGCTGTGGTGCAAAAGGAAATGTCTTCCCATAGAAACTAGACTGAAGCATTCTCAGCAACTTCTTTGTGACGTTTGCATTCATCTCACAGTGTTGAACATACCTTTCCATAGAGTAGTTTTGAAACACTATTTTTGTAGAATCTGCAAGTGGATATTTGGACTGCTTTGAGGCCTTCATCGGAAACGGGAATATCTTCACATAAACACTAGACGGAAGCATTCTCAGAAACTTCTTTGTGATCTGTCCATTCAACTCACAGGAGTTGAACCTTCCTTTTTATGGAGCAGTTTTGAATCACTGTTTTTGGAGAATCTGCAAGTGGATATTTGGAGCGCTTTGAGGCCTATGGTAGAAAAAGAAATATCTGCCTCTAAAAACCAGACAGAAGCATTCTGAGAAACTTCTTTGTGATGTTTGCATTCAACTACCAGAGTTGAACCTTCCTTTTGATAGGGCAGTTTGGAAACACTCTTTTTGTAGAATCTGCATGTGGATATCTGGAGCGATTTGAGGCCTACGGTCAAAAAGGAAATATCTTCCTGGGAAAAATAGACGAAAGCATTCTCAGAAAGTGCTTTGTGATATGTGCATTCGACTCACCGAGTTGAAACTTTTTTTTGATAGAGCAGTTTTGAAACACTCTGTAGAATCTGAAAGTGGATATTTGGAGCTCCTTGAGGGCTATGGCGGAAAAGAAAATATATTCACATTAAAGTAGACAGCAGCATTCTCAGAAACTTCTTTAGGATGTTTGCAGTAAACTCGCAGAGTTTAACATACCTTTCCGTAGAGCAGTTTTGAAACACTCTGTTTGTGGGATCCGCAAGTGGATATTTGGACCGCTTTGAGACCTTTGCTGGAAATGGGAATATCTTGACGTATAAACTAGACAGAAGCATTCTCAGAAACTTCTTCGTGATGTGTGCATTGTACTCCCAAATTTGAATCTTCCTTCTCATGGAGCAGTTTTGAAACACTCTGTTTGTGCAATCTACAATTGGAGAATTGGAACGCTTGGATGCCCGTGGTAGAAAAGGAAATATCCTCATATAAAAACTAGACAGAAAGGATTCACAGAAAATGCTTTGTGATGTGTGCATTCAAATCACGGAGTTGAATTTTTCTTTTGTTAGAGCAGTTTTGAAACACTGTTTCTGTGGAATCTGCCAGCGGACACTTGGAGCGCTTTGAGGGCTATGGTGGAGAAGGAAATATCTTCACATAAAAACTAGAAAGAAGCATTCTCAGAACCATTTATGTGAAGCGTGCGTTCAACTCACAGAGTTGAACCTTCCTTTTGATAGAACAGTTTTGAAACACTCTTTTGAACAATTGCAGGTGAACATTTGGAGGGCTTTGAAGCCTTTGTTGGAAATGGGAATATCTTCACACACAAACTAGCCAGAAGCATTCTCAGAAATTTCTTTGTGATGTGTGCGTTGAACCCAGAGAGATGAACCTTTCCTTTGATAGAGCAGTTTTGAAACGTGTTTTTGTAAGATCTGCAAGCGGATAGTTGGCTTCGCTGTGTGTCCTTTGGTGGAAACGGGAATATCTTCTAATAAAAACTAGACAGAAATATTCTCAGAATCTTCTTTGTGATGCGGGCATTCACCTAACACAGTTGAACGTTTCTTTTCACAGAGCAGTTTTGAAACACTCTTTTGGTAGAATCTGCCAGTGGATATTTGGAGCGCTTTAAGGGCTATTGTGCCAATGGAAATATCTGCCCCTAAAAACTAGACAGAAGCATTCTCAGAAACTACTTCGTGATGTTTGCATTCAACACACAGAGTTGAACATACCTCTTCACAGAGCAGTTTTGAAAACCTCTTTCTGTAGAATCTGCAAGTGGATATTCGGACCACTTTGAGGCCTTCATAGGAAACAGTAATATCTTCGCATAAAAACTAGATAGAAGCATTGTCAGAAAGTACTTTGTGATGTGTGAATTCAACTCACAGAGTTGAACCTTCCTTTAATAGAGCAGTTTTGAAACACTCTTTTTCTAGAATCTGCAAGTAGATATTTGGAGCGCTTTGAGGCCTTCGTTGGAATCCGGAATATCTTCACATAAAACGTAGATAGAGGCATGCTCAGAAACTTTTTTGTCATATGTAGATTCAACTCACAGCGTTGAACCTTTCTTTTGATAGAGCAGTTTTGAAAAACTCTTTTATCGAATCTGCAAGTAGACATTTGGAGTGCTTTGAGGGCTCTGGTGCAAAAGGAAATGTCTTCCCATAGAAACTAGACTGAATCATTCTCAGCAACTTCTTGGTGACGATTGCATTCATCTCACAGTGTTGAACATACCTTTGCATAGAGTAGTTTCGAAACACTATTTTTGTAGAATCTGCAAGTGGACATTTGGACTGCTTTGAGGCCTTCATCGGAAACGGGAATATCTTCACATAAACACTAGACAGAAGCATTCTCAGAAACTTCTTTGTGATCTGTCCATTCACCTCACAGAGCTGAACTTTCCTTTTTATGGAGCAGTTTTGAAAAACTGTTTTTGGAGAATCTGCAAGTGGATATTTGGAGCGCTTTGAGGCTTATGGTAGAAAAAAAATATCTGCCCCTAAAAACCAGACAGAAGCATTCTGAGAAACTTCTTTGTGATGTTTGCCTTCAACTACCAGAGTTGAACCTTCCTTTTGATAGGGCAGTTTGGAAACACTCTTTTTGTAGAATCTGCATGTGGATATCTGGAGCGATTTGAGGCCTACGGTCCAAAAGGAAATATCTTCCTGGGAAAGATAGACGAAAGCATTCTCAGAAACTGCTTTGTGATATGTGCATTCGACTCACCGAGTTGAAACTTTTTTTTGATAGAGCAGTTTTGAAACACTCTGTAGAATCTGAAAGTGGATGTTTGGAGCTCTTTGAGGGCTATGGCGGAAAAGAAAATATATTCACATTAAACTAGACAGCAGCATTCTCAGAAACTTCTTTAGGATGTTTGCAGTAAACTCACAGAGTTGAACATACCTTTCCGTAGAGCAGTTTTGAAACACTTTGTTTGTGGGTTCCGCAAGTGGATATTTGGACCGCTTTGAGACCTTTGCTGGAAATGGGAATATCTTCACGTATAAACTAGACAGAAGCATTCTCAGAAACTTCTTCCTGATGTGTGCATTCTCCTCCCGAATTTGAATCTTCCTTTTCATGAAGCAGTTTTGAAACACTCTGTTTGTGCAATCCACAATTGGATAATTGGAACGCTTTGATGCCCATGGTAGAAAAGGAAATATCTTCATATAAAAACTAGACAGAAGGATTCACAGAAAATGCTTTGTGATGTGTGCATTGAAATCACGGAGTTGAATCTTTCTTTTGTTAGAGCAGTTTTGAAACACTGTTTCTGTGGAATCTGCCAGCGGACACTTGGAGCGCTTTGAGGGCTATGGTGGAGAAGGAAATATCTTCACATAAAAACTAGAAAGAAGCATTCTCAGAAACATTTATGTGAAGCGTGCATTCAACTCACAGAGTTGAACCTTCCTTTTGATACAACAGTTTTGAAACACCCTTTTGAACAATTGCGGGTGAATCTTTGGAGCGCTTTGAAGCCTTTGTTGGAAATGGGAATATCTTCACACACAAACTAGCCAGAAGCATTCTCAGAAACTTCTTTGTGATGTGTGCGTTGAACCCAGAGAGATGAACCTTTCCTTTGATAGAGCAGTTTTGAAACGTGTTTTTGTAAGATCGGCAAGCAGATAACTGGCTTAGCTTTGTGTCCTTTGGTGGAAACGGGAATATCTTCTAATAAAAACTAGACAGAAATATTCTCAGAATCTCCTTTGTGATGTGGGCATTCAACAAACACAATTGAACATTTCTTTTCACAGAGCAGTTTTGAAACACAGTTTTGGTAGAATCTGCCAGTGGATATTTGGAGCGCTTGGAGGGCTATTGTGCCAATGGAAATATCTGCCCCTGAAAACTAGACAGAGGAATTCTCAGAAACTACTTTGTGATGTTTGCATTCAACTCACAGAGTTGAACATACCTCTTCATAGAGCAGTTTTGAAAACCTCTTTTTGTAGAATCTGCAAGTGGATATTCGGACCACTTTGAGGCCTTCATAGGAAACAGTAATACCTTCACATAAAAATTAGATAGAAGCATTGTCAGAAAGTTCTTTGTGATGTGTGAATTCAACTCACAGAGTTGAACCTTCCTTTAATAGAGCAGTTTTGAAACACTTTTTTTCTGGAATCTGCAAGTAGATATTTGGAGCGCTTTGAGGCCTTCGTTGGAAACCGGAGTATCTTCACAGGAAAAGTAGATAGGGGCATTCTCAGAAACTTTTTTGTGATATGTAGATTCAACTCACAGCGTTGAACCTTTCTTTGGATGGAGCAGTTTTGAAAAACTCTTTTATCGAATCTGCAGGTAGACATTTGGGGTGCTTTTAGGGCTGTGGTGCAAAAGGAAATGTCTTCCCATAGAAACTAGACTGAAGCATTCTCAGCAACTTCTTTGTGACGTTTGCATTCATCTCACAGTGTTGAACATACCTTTCCATAGAGTAGTTTTGAAGCACTATTTGTGTAGAATCTGCAAGTGGATATTTGGACTGCTTTGAGGCCTTCATCGGAAACGGGAATATCTTCACATAAACACTAGACAGAAGCATTCTCAGAAACTTCTTTGTCATCTGTCCATTCAACTCATAGAGTTGAACCTTCCTTTTTATGGAGCAGTTTTGAAACACTCCTTTTGGAGAATCTGCAAGTGGATATTTGGAGCGCTTTGAGGCCAATGGTAGAAAAAGAAATATCTGCCTCTAAAAACCAGACAGAAGCATTCTGAGAAACTTCTTTGTGATGTTTGCCTTCAACTACCAGAGTTGAACCTTCCTTTTGATAAGGCAGTTTGGAAACACTCTTTTTGTAGAATCTGCATGTGGATATCTGGAGCGATTTGAGGCCTACGGTCCAAAAGGAAATATCTTCCTGGGAAAGATAGACGAAAGCATTCTCAGAAACTGCTTTGTGATATGTGCATTCGACTCACCGAGTTGAAACTTTTTTTGGATAGAGCAGTTTTGAAACACTCTGTAGAATCTGAAAGTGGATATTTGGAGCTCTTTGAGGGCTATGGCAGAAAAGAAAAGATATTCACATTAAACTAGACAGCAGCATTCTCAGAAACTTCTTTAGGATGTTTGCAGTAAACTCACAGAGTTGAACATACCTTTCCGTAGAGCAGTTTTGAAACACTCTGTTTGTGGGATCCGCAAGTGGATATTTGGACCGCTTTGAGACCTTTGCTGGAAATGGGAATATCTTCACATATAAACTAGACAGAAGCATTCTCAGAAACTTCTTCGTGATGTGTGCATTCTACTCCCGAATTTGAATCTTCCTTTTCATGAAGCAGTTTTGAAACACTCTGTTTGTGCAATCCACAATTGGATAATTGGAACGCTTTGATGCCCATGGTAGAAAAGGAAATATCCTCATATAAAAACCAGACAGAAGGATTCACAGAAAATGCTTTGTGATGTGTGCATTCAAATCACGGAGTTGAATCTTTCTTTTGTTAGAGCAGTTTTGAAACACGGTTTCTGTGGAATCTGCCAGCGGACACTTGGAGCGCTTTGAGGGCTATGGTGGAGAAGGAAATATCTTCCCATAAAAACTAGAAAGAAGCATTCTCAGAAACATTTATGTGAAGCCGTGCATTCAACTCACAGAGTTGAACCTTCCTTTTGATAGAACAGTTTTGAAACACTCTTTTGAACAATTGCAGGTGAATCTTTGGAGCGCTTTGAAGCCTTTGTTGGAATTGGGAATATCTTCACACACAAACTAGCCAGAAGCATTCTCAGAAACTTCTTTGTGATGTGTGCGTTGAACCCAGACAGATGAACCTTTCCTTTGATTAGAGCAGTTTTGAAACGTGTTTTTGTAAGATCTGCAAGCGGATAATTGGCTTCGCTTTGTGTCCTTTGGTGGAAACGGGAATATCTTCTAATAAAAAGTAGACAGAAATATTCTCAGAATCTCCTTTGTGATGTGGGCATTCAACTAACACAGTTGAACATTTCTTTTCACAGAGCAGTTTTGAAACACTCTTTTGGTAGAATCTGCCAGTGGATATTTGGAGCGCTTGGAGGGCTATTGTGCCAATGGAAATATCTGCCCCTGAAAACTAGACAGAAGCATTCTCAGAAACTACATTGTGATGTTTGCATTCGACTCACAGAGTTGAACATACCTCTTCATAGAGCAGTTTTGAAAACCTTTTTTGTAGAATCTGCAAGTGGATATTCGGACCACTTTGAGGCCTTCATAGGAAACAGTAATATCTTCACATAAAAACTAGATAGAAGCATTGTCAGGAAGTTCTTTGTGATGTGTGAATTCAACTCACAGAGTTGAACCTTCCTTTAATAGAGCAGTTTTGAAACACTCTTTTTCTAGAATCTGCAAGTAGATATTTGGAGCGCTTGGAGGACTTCGTTGGAAACCGGAATATCTTCACAGGAAATGTAGATAGAGGCATTCTCAGAAACTTTTTCGTGATATGTGGATTCAACTCACAGCGTTGAACCTTTCTTTTGATAGGGCAGTTTTGTAAAACTCTTTTATCGAATCTGTAAGTAGACATTTGGAGTGCTTTGAGGGCTGTGGTGCAAAAGGAAATGTCTTCCCATAGAAACTAGACTGAATCATTCTCAGCAACTTCTTGGTGACGTTTGCATTCATCTCACAGTGTTGAACATACCTTTGCATAGAGTAGTTTCGAAACACTATTTTTGTAGAATCTGCAAGTGGACATTTGGACTGCTTTGAGGCCTTCATCGGAAACGGGAATATCTTCAACATAAACACTAGACAGAAGCATTCTCAGAAACTTCTTTGTGATCTGTCCATTCAACTCACAGAGTTGAACCTTCCTTTTTCTGGAGCAGTTTTGAAACACTCTTTTTGGAGAATCTGCAAGTGGATATTTGGAGCGCTTTGAGGCCTATGGTAGAAAAAGAAATATCTGCCCCTAAACACCAGACAGAAGCATTCTGAGAAACTTCTTTGTGATGTTTGCATTCAACTACCAGAGTTGAACCTTCCTTTTGATAGGGCAGTTTGGAAACACTCTTTTTGTAGAATCTGCATGTGGATATCTGGAGCGATTTGAGGCCTACGGTCAAAAAGGGAAATATCTTCCTGGGAAAAATAGACGAAAGCATTCTCAGAAACTGCTTTGTTATATATGCATTCGACTCTCCGAGTTGAAACTTTTTTTTGATAGAGCAGTTTTGAAACACTCTGTAGAATCTGAAAGTGGATATTTGGAGCACTTTGAGGGCTATGGCGGAAAAGAAATTATATTCACATGAATCTAGACAGCAGCATTCTCAGAGACTTCTTTAGGATGTTTGCAGTAAACTCACAGAGTTGAACATACCTTTCCGTAAAGCAGTTTTGAAACCCTCTGTTTGTGGGATCTGCAAGTGGATATTTGGACCGCTTTGAGACCTTTGCTGGAAATGGGAATATCTTCACATATAAACTAGACAGAAGCATTCTCAGAAACTTCTTCGTGATGTGTGCATTCTCCTCCCGAATTTGAATCTTCCTTTTCATGAAGCAGTTTTGAAACACTCTGTTTGTGCAGTCCACAATTGGATAATTGGAACGCTTTGATGCCCATGGTAGAAAAGGAAATATCCTCATATAAAAACTAGACATAAGGATTCACAGAAAATGCTTTGTGATGTGTGCATTCAAATCACAGAGTTGAATCTTTCTTTTGTCAGAGCAGTTTTGAAACACTGTTACTGTGGAATCTGCCAGCGGACACTTGGAGCGCTTTGAGGGCTATGGTGGAGAAGGAAATATCTTCCCATAAAAACTAGAAAGAAGCATTCTCAGAAACATTTATGTGAAGCGTGCATTCAACTCACAGAGTTGAACCTTCCTTTTGATACAACAGTTTTGAAACACTCTTTGGAACAATTGCAGGTGAATCTTTGGAGCGCTTTGAAGCCTTTGTTGGAAATGGGAATATCTTCACACACAAACTAGCCAGAAGCATTCTCAGAAACTTCTTTGTGATGTGTGCGTTGAACCCAGAGAGATGAACCTTTCCTTTGATAGAGCAGTTTTGAAACGTGTTTTTGTAAGATCTGCAAGCGGATAGTTGGCTTCGCTTTGTGTACCTTTGGTGGAAACGGGAATATCTTCTAATAAAAACTAGACAGAAATATTCTCAGAATCTTCTTTGTGTTGTGGGCATTCAACTAACACAGTTGTACGTTTCTTTTCACAGAGCAGTTTTGAAACACTCTTTTGGTAGAATCTGCCAGTGGATATTTGGAGCGCTTTGAGGGCTATTGTGCCAATGGAAATATCTTCCCCTAAAAACTAGACAGAAGCATTCTCAGAAACTACTTCGTGATGTCTGCATTCAACACACAGAGTTGAACATACCTCTTCACAGAGCAGTTTTGAAAACCTCTTTCTGTAGAATCTGCAAGTGGATATTCGGACCACTTTGAGGCCTTCGTAGGAAACAGTAATATCTTCACATAAAAACTAGATAGAAGCATTGTCAGAAAGTTCTTTGTGATGTGTGAATTCAACTCACAGAGTTGAACCTTCCTTTAATAGAGCAGTTTTGAAACACTCTTTTTCTAGAATCTGCAAGTAGATATTTGGAGCGCTTTGAGGCCTTCGTTGGAAACCGGAATATCTTCACAGGAAAAGTAGATAGAGGCATTCTCAGAAACTTTTTTGTGATATGTAGATTCAACTCACAGCGTTGAACCTTTCTTTTGATAGAGCAGTTTTGAAAAACTCTTTTATCGAATCTGCATGTAGACATTTGGAGTGCTTTGAGGGCTGTGGTGCAAAAGGAAATGTCTTCCCATAGAAACTAGACTGAAGCATTCTCAGCAACTTCTTTATGACGTTTGCATTCATCTCACAGTGTTGAACATACCTTTCCATAGAGTAGTTTTGAAACACTATTTTTATAGAATCTGCAAGTGGATATTTGGACTGCTCTGAGGCCTTCATCGGAAACGGGAATATCTTCACATAAACACTAGACAGAAGCATTCTCAGGAAACTTCTTTGTGATCTGTCCATTCAACTCACAGAGTTGAACCTTCCTTTTTATGGAGCAGTTTTGAATCACTGTTTTTGGAGAATCTGCAAGTGGATATTTGGAGCGCTTTGAGGCCTATGGTAGAAAAAGAAATATCTGCTTCTAAAAACCAGACAGAAGCATTCTGAGAAACTTCTCTGTGATGTTTGCATTCAACTAGCAGAGTTGAACCTTCCTTTTGATAGGGCAGTTTGGAAACACTCTTTTTGTAGAATCTGCATGTGGATATCTGGAGCCGTTTGAGGCCTACGGTCAAAAAGGAAATATCTTCCTGGGAAAAATAGACGAAAGCATTCTCAGAAACTGCTTTGTGATATGTGCATTCGACTGACCGAGTTGAAACTTTTTTTTGATAGAGCAGTTTTGAAACACTCTGTAGAATCTGAAAGTGGATATTTGGAGCTCTTTGAGGGCTATGGCGGAAATGAAACTATATTCACATTAAAGTAGACAGCAGCATTCTCAGAAACTTCTTTAGGATGTTTGCAGTAAACTCACAGAGTTGAACCTACCTTTCCGTAGAGCAGTTTTGAAACACTCTGTTTGTGGGATATGCAAGTGGATATTTGGACAGCTTTGAGAACTTTGCTGGAAATGGGAATATCTTCACATATAAACTAGACAGAAGCATTCTCAGAAACTTCCTCGTGATGTGTGCATTCTACTCCCGAATTTGAATCTTCCTTTTCATGAAGCAATTTTGAAACACTCTGTTTGTGCGATCCACAATTGGATAATTGGAACGCTTTGATGCCCATGGTAGAAAAGGAAATATCCTCATATGAAAACTAGACAGAAGGATTCACAGAAAATGCTTTGTGATGTGTGCATTCAAATCACGGAGTTGAATCTTTCTTTTGTCAGAGCAGTTTTGAAACACTGTTTCTGTGGAATCTGCCAGCGGACACTTGGAGCGCTTTGAGGGCTGTGGTGGAGAAGGAAATATCTTCCCATAAAAACTAGAAAGAAGTATTCTCAGAAACATTTATGTGAAGCGTGCATTCAACTCACAGAGTTGAACCTTACTTTTGATACAACAGTTTTGAAACACTCTTTTGAACAATTGCAGGTGAATCTTTGGAGCGCTTTGAAGCCTTTGGTGGAAATGGGAATATCTTCACACACAAACTAGCCAGAAGCATTCTCAGAAACTTCTTTGTGATGTGTGCGTTGAACCCAGAGAGATGAACCTTTCCTTTGATAGAGCAGTTTTGAAACGTGTTTTTGTAAGATCTGCAAGCGGATAATTGGCTTCGCTTTGTGTCCTTTGTTGGAAACGGGAATATCTTCCAATAAAAACTAGACAGAAATATTCTCAGAATCTCCTTTGTGATGTGGGCATTCAACTAACACAGTTGAACATTTCTTTTCACAGAGCAGTTTTGAAACACTCTTTTGGTAGAATCTGCCAGTGGATATTTGGAGCGCTTGGAGGGCTATTGTGCCAATGGAAAGATCTGCCCCTGAAAACTAGACAGAAGCATTCTCAGAAACTACTTCGTGATGTCTGCATTCAACACACAGAGTTGAACATACCTCTTCACAGAGCAGTTTTGAAAACCTCTTTCTGTAGAATCTGCAAGTGGATATTCGGACCACTTTGAGGCCTTCATAGGAAAGAGTAATATCTTCACATAAAAACTAGATAGAAGCATTGTCAGAAAATTCTTTGTGATGTGTGAATTCAACTCACAGAGTTGAACCTTCCTTCAATAGAGCAGTTGTGAAACACTCTTTTTCTAGAATCTGCAAGTAGATATTTGGAGCGCTTTGAGGCCTTCGTTGGAATCCGGAATATCTTCACAGGAAAAGTAGATAGAGGCATTTTCAGAAACTTTTTTGTGATATGTAGATTCAACTCACAGCGTTGAACCTTTCTTTGGATGGAGCAGTTTTGAAAAACCCTTTTATCGAATCTGCAGGTAGACATTTGGGGTGCTTTGAGGGCTGTGGTGCAAAAGGTAATGTCTTCCCATAGAAACTAGACTGAAGCATTCTCAGCAACTTCTTTGTGACGTTTGCATTCATCTCACAGTGTTGAACATACCTTTGCATAGAGTAGTTTTGAAACACTATTTTTGTAGAATCTGCAAGTGGATATTTGGACTGCTTTGAGGCCTTCATCGGAAACGGGAATATCTTCACATAAACACTGGACAGAAGCAATCTCAGAAACTTCTTTGTGATCTGTCCATTCAACTCACAGAGTTGAACCTTCCTTTTTATGGAGCAGTTTTGAAACACTGTTCTTGGAGAATCTGCAAGTGGATATTTGGAGCGCTTTGAGGCCTGTGGTAGAAAAAGAAATATCTGCCTCTAAAAACTAGACAGAAGCATTCTGAGAAACTTCTTTGTGATGTTTGCATTCAACTATCAGAGTTGAACCTTCCTTTTGATAGGGCAGTTTGGAAACACTCTTTTTGTAGAATCTGCATGTGGATATCTGGAGCGGTTTGAGGCCTACGGTCAAAAAGGAAATATCTTCCTGGGAAAAATAGACGAAAGCATTCTCAGAAACTGCTTTGTGATATGTGCATTCGACTCTCCGAGTTGAAACTTTTTTTGGATAAAGCAGTTTTGAAACACTCTGTAGAATCTGAAAGTGGATATTTGGAGCTCTTTGAGGGCTATGGCGGAAAAGAAAAGATATTCACATTAAACTAGACAGCAGCATTCCCAGAAACTTCTTTAGGATGTTTGCAGTAAACTCACAGAGTTGAACATACCTTTCCGTAGAGCAGCTTTGAAACACTCTGTGTGTGGGATCCGCAAGTGGATATTTGGACCGCTTTGAGACCTTTGCTGGAAACGGGAATATCTTCACATATAAACTGGACAGAAGCATTCTCAGAAACTTCTTCGTGACGTGTGCATTGTACTCCCAAATTTGAATCTTGCTTCTCATGGAGTAGTTTTGAAACACTCTGTTTGTGCAATCTACAATTGGAGAATTGGAAGGCTTGGTTGCCCGTGGTAGAAAAGGAAATATCCTCATATAAAAACTGGACAGAAGGATTCACAGAAAATGCTTTGTGATGTGTGCATTCAAATCACGGAGTTGAATCTTTCTTTTGTTAGAGCAGTTTTGAAACACGGTTTCTGTGGAATCTGCCAGAGGACACTTGGAGCGCTTTGAGGGCTATGGTGGAGAAGGAAATATCTTCCCATAAAAACTGGAAAGAAGCATTCTCAGAAACATTTATGTGAAGCGTGCATTCAACTCACAGAGTTGAACCTTCCTTTGGATACAACAGTTTTGAAACACTCTTTTGAACAATTGCAGGTGAATCTTTGGAGCGCTTTGAAGCCTTTGTTGGAAATGGGAATATCTTCACACACAAACTAGCCAGAAGCATTCTCAGAAACTTCTTTGTGATGTGTGCGTTGAACCCAGAGAGATGAACCTTTCCTTTGATAGAGCAGTTTTGAAACGTGTTTTTGTAAGATCGGCAAGCGGATATTTGGCTTCGCTTTGTGTCCTTTGGTGGAAACGGGAATATCTTCTAATAAAAACTAGACAGAGATATTCTCAGAAACTTCTTTGTGATGTGGGTATTCAACTAACACAGTCGAACATTTCTTTTCACAGAGCAGTTTTGAAACACTCTTTTGGTCGAATCTGCCAGTGGATATTTGGAGCGCTTTGAGGGCTATTGTGCCAATGGAAATATCTGCCCCTAAAAACTAGACAGAAGCATTCTCAGAAACTACTTCGTGATGTTTGCATTCAACACACAGAGTTGAACATACCTCTTCACAGAGCAGTTTTGAAAACCTCTTTCTGTAGAATCTGCAAGTGGATATTCGGACCACTTTGAGGCCTTCATAGGAAACAGTAATATCTTCACATAAAAACTAGATAGAAGCATTGTCAGAAAGTTCTTTGTGATGTGTGAATTCAACTCACAGAGTTGAACCTTCCTTTAATAGAGCAGTTTTGAAACACTCTTTTTCTAGAATCTGCCAGTAGATATTTGGAGCGCTTTGAGGCCTTCTTTGGAAACCGGAATATCTTCACATAAAAAGTAGATAGAGGCATTCTCAGAAACTTTTTTGTGATATGTAGATTCAACTCACAGCGTTGAACCTTTCTTTGGATGGAGCAGTTTAGAAAAACTCTTTTATTGAATCTGCAGGTAGACATTTGGGGTGCTTTGAGGGCTGTGGTGCAAAAGGAAATGTCTTCCCATAGAAACTAGACTGAAGCATTCTCAGCAACTTCTTTGTGACGTTTGCATTCATCTCACAGTGTTGAACATACCTTTCCATAGAGTAGTTTTGAAACACTGTTTGTGTAGAATCGGCAAGTGGATATTTGGACTGCTTTGAGGCCTTCATCGGAAACGGGAATATCTTCACATAAACACTAGAGAGAAGCATTCTCAGAAACTTCTTTGTGATCTGTCCATTCAACTCACAGAGATGACCTTCCTTTTTATGGAGCAGTTTTGAATCACTGTTTTTGGAGAATCTGCAAGTGGATATTTGGAGCGCTTTGAGGCCTATGGTAGAAAAAGAAATATCTGCCTCTAAAAACCAGACAGAAGCATTCCGAGAAACTTCTCTGTGATGTTTGCATTCAAGTAGCAGAGTTGAACCTTCCTTTTGATAGGGTAGTTTGGAAACACTCTTTTTGTAGAATCTGCATGTGGATATCTGGAGCGGTTTGAGGCCTACGGTCAAAAAGGAAATATCTTCCTGGGAAAAATAGACGAAAACATTCTCAGAAACTGCTTTGTGATATGTGCATTCGACTCACCGAGTTGAAACTTTTTTTGGATAGAGCAGTTTTGAAACACTCTGTAGAATCTGAAAGTGGATATTTGGAGCTCTTTGAGGGCTATGGCGGAAAAGAAAATATATTCACATTAAACTAGACAGCAGCATTCTCAGAAACTTCTTTAGGATGTTTGCAGTAAACTCACAGAGTTGAACATACCTTTCCGTAGAGCAGTTTTGAAACACTCTGTTTGTGGGATCCGCAAGGGGATATTTGGACCGCTTTGAGACCTTTGCTGGAAATGGGAATATCTTCACATATAAACTAGACAGAAACATTCTCAGAAACTTCTTCGTGATGTGTGCATTCTCCTCCCGAATTTGAATCTTCCTTTTCATGAAGCAGTTTTGAAACACTCTGTTTGTGCAATCCACAATTGGATAATTGGAACGCTTTGATGCCCATGGTAGAAAAGGAAATATCCTCATATAAAAACTAGACAGAAGGATTGACAGAAAATGCTTTGTGATGTGTGCATTCAAATCACGGAGTTGAATCTTTCTTTTGTTAGAGCAGTTTTGAAACACTGTTTCTGTGGAATCTGCCAGCGGACACTTGGAGCGCTTTGAGGGCTGTGGTGGAGAAGGAAATATCTTCCCAAAAAAACTAGAAAGAAGCATTCTCAGAAACATTTATATGAAGCGTGCATTCAACTCACAGAGTTGAACCTTCCTTTTGATACAACAGTTTTGAAACACTCTTTTGAACAATTGCAGGTGAATCTTTGGAGCGCTTTGAAGCCTTTGTTGGAAATGGGAATATCTTCACACACAAACTAGCCAGAAATATTCTCAGAATCTTCTTTGTGATGTGGGCATTCAACTAACACAGTTGAACATTTCTTTTCACAGAGCAGTTTTGAAACACTCTTTTGGTAGAATCTGCCAGTGGATATTTGGAGCGCTTTGAGGGCTATTGTGCCAATGCAAATATCTGCCCCTAAAAACTAGACAGA